>NC_000007.14:156518388-156831453 GCF_000001405.40 Homo sapiens | reverse complement strand
GTGAGAACTGATGAGTTAGGGTGATCTGGGTTCAAATTCTGGACCCATGATTAACTTGAGTCCAGAAGAGATGGAGAAACAAATATTCACTTTCTGTGTATGTAAAACAGAGTTCTCACCTACTTTGCAGTACTGTTGTGTGGATTAAATAGCATTTGCCAAAAAAAAAAAAAAAAAATCTAGGGTAGGGTGCTTGATACAATTAGGGGTGAAATTAATGTTTCCTCCACCGTAGCGCTTTTGACCTGTTTTGTCTGCTTAGAATTCTTTTCTGTCAGATATCCCACTGAATTAACTCTCACCTTATTTAGTTTTGTTTTGCTTTGTGTTTTTCCCTAAGTCTCAACTTTTCAGTGAGGCCTTCCCTAAGTGCCACACTTAATATTGAAACCTGTGTGTCCTCCTCCCCATTTCCAGTCTTCCTTACCGTGTTTTCCTGTAACACTTATCATCTTTAGTTTATTATACATTTACATATTTAATGTTTTATTGTTTATTGCCTGACTCTCTGCAGTCCAGGATAAGCCCTCCTTGGGCAAGAATGTTCGCTTGTGTTCGTTCACTGTTCTCAAGTGCCTAGCACAGTCCTGGCACGGGAGCAGGCACTCTGCAAATACCTGTATAGTGAGGGAGCCCCACCTGAAAGACCCACTGAGGTAGAATCTCCGAGATGGGCTTTAACAAAAGCTCCATAGGTGATCCTGACAGTGTTACCGCTTAAGAATCACTAGTTTAGAGTGACGTATTAGGAAGCCTAATTCATGCAGCAAATGTTTATTGATTAGCTGAGATGAAGACTTAAGATGGAATGCTGGTATGCCAACATTTCACAGATGAATGTAAAATGTCACTCAATTTGTTACTTTTCTGTTGCACAGAGAATCAGACCTTTTGATGATATTTGGGAGGGTGTGAGCAAAATGCTAAATATGAAACTTTCTTTGTCATCAACACTATATACATCTTACTGAATAATTTTGAATGATTTAAATTCAACTATGATAAAGTCTTGTTTCCATATGTACTTCTTGATTAGATATTATCAACCTGTTAAACTTTAAGATGTAAAGTGGCAGGTTTTGCTTATGATTAGTTTTTTTAATTTAAAAAAATTGAAATACTAACCCATGAAATATATTTTTATAGTAATCTGTATTTTGCAGTGGAGTTTTAAAAAGGTGAGGTCTTTCATTTTATTGATAACTACAAATAAATAAAAAGCATTTATTTTTTGTTTAAAAAAATTGAGTGTCACATTGAGTCTGAGATTGAAAAATGAGGAAGAGGGAGTATTGTAGAAGTTGGGGAAAGAGTTTCAAGAAGGAAGTAGTGCTTATCAATTTGAAATGTCATAGAAGGTCACATTCAGATTGCAATTAAAAAGGATCTGATGGATTTGACCGTAAGGAGCACCTGTTTCACTCTAGGTGAGGAGCAGAAGTCCTACTGTAGTGGGTTAATAAAGAAGTTGAGGATAAAGAAGTAAAGGTGTGATATGTGAGTTCTGCTTCAGAAGCATTTTGAAAGAGCAGAAGCACCTGAGGATATTTATTTTTGGCCGGTCAGCAGCTAGAGGGAGGATGACTAACCGGTGAAGCAAGGCCCCTGGAGACGGCAGAGGTAGAGATCGGCACAGATGAGCAGGAGGTTGACAGATAGGAGAATAATTGTGTCTGTTGATAGCTTTATCAGGTGGTAAGTATGGAGGGATCATACCCCTTTTTTCATTCTGAAACGGGAGAGTCAGTCATTTGCTGGGAATGAGGAGCAGCAGGGCCATGGTAGAAAGCTTAGGAAGAGCCTGATAGTGTTAGTCTGTTATGTGTTGCTATAAAGGAGCACTTGAAACTGGGTAGTTGATAAAGAAAGATTTATTTGGCTCGCAGTTCTGCAGATGTACAAGCATGACACTGCCATCTGCTTGGCTTCTGGTGAGGCCGCAGGAAGCGTTTACTCATGGTGCAAGGTGAAGGGAGATCAGGATTGAAGAGAAGGTGCCAGGTTCCTTTAAACAACCAGCTCTCTTGTGAACTAACAGAATGAGAACTCACTCATTACTGTAGGGTCTGTCTGCTCCTACGATCCAGTACCTCCCATGAGGCCCCACCTCCAACACTGGGGGATCACATTTCAGCATGATATTTGGAGGGGACAGATATCCAAACCATATCACTGTTAGGAATAACACTGAAAATCCTAAGGAAATTGAACGCTCAAACAAAGAATTCTTAGTAAAGCAATTTTACTTCTGCGCAGAGGGGTGTCTCCTTGGCCAGTCGCCATGAGAGCACACCTGAATAAAGGGGCACGAGAGCCTTTATTCCTGACGCAAGTCCTGCCCCTGTATGCTTTCCCCGTTGGCTGGGGTCGGATTGTACAATCTAATCCCAGTTGGCTAAACGTTTGATTTTTTTTAGATAAGGTAGGCACGTAAAAGCGGAGAGGAAAGGGAAAGGGGCGTCTAATGAGCTAGAAAGTTCTCTTTCCAAATAAGGAATGTGAGCTGGTACTGATAACGCCTGGTACTGTGGTGTGCCTGGGCATCTAACAAAGGCAAAAAGGAAAAAGGAGGAAAAGGGAAAATTTGGGTGGGGCACCATGAATTAAAGAGTAAAAGATTGATCAGATTATTCGAAGAGAAACCTCATCATATCCCACATCACTGATGATGGGGGTTAAGAACAGGAGATGAGAGACTCATAAATCAAGGATCCTGGTCCTTGTTTGCTAACTGAAAGTATGTGAAAGCTTTGTGGAGTGTTAAAGTGATTTAAGGTGGTTTTATTGTTTTAATTATCATCACCTTGCAAAGACACTTTACAATATGATCTGTAGATATGGCTTTTTTTTACACTAGTTATATTCAGTGACTAGTTATATTCAGCATCTGAGTGTATGCCCTCATCACCTTATTTTATTTAGACAAAGGTTCTGTCTTCCTGGTTGGATTGAGGACCTAGTCACAAATGTCAGATATTTGGGGAAACACTTGTCTTACTACCACAATTAGAAAAGATGCATTACTCTGAAGATGTAATTTTTAAAAATAATGCTCCATTTCAGAAGGTGAAGTTGAGGAATGCTTCACAGGGCAAATGATGTTTAGGGTCTGTCTTGAAATTCATGTATGAGTTTGCCATGCAACTTAGAGGGTATTCTAGGGAGTGAGTAGACTGTGCAGAGGGGCAAGAAGGAACCCTGAAAATCCATTTCATGTTTGGGCTATGAGGGGGTTAGGTAAGTCTAAGTGTATGTCGAAATGGGTCATAGTGAGAGAAGAGCCTGGAAAATTATCTTGGGATAGCCGTGTGGGACCTGGAATGGTGAGATTTTGGATTTGATCTCAATTTTAGCATAGGAAGGAATGATAGCAATCAGGATAGCTTCCTCCCATGACTGGAGAAGCTTGCTGGAGACCGCTTGCTGGCTGGTCGCTGCCAGAGCTGGCTGCGGACCTGAGACAGCACTTGTCTGAGGGCTTTTCCCAGGAAATGCGGTGTCTATTGAGCAAAATGAATTCACAGAAATTCTGTATCTGATATCAGTTGTATTTTTCTTAAGTATCATATGGTCTGTATTTTAAAATTTATAATTGATTTACTAAACCAAGGAGGTTTCCTGGTTATTTTTGGCTTTTGAAGTAGGAATACACTTCTGTTGGTTGCCACAAGATGGCATTGGCCTCAAAGTTTCTCTGTTAGATGTGTTTTTGGGTATTTAGTATTTTTTTTTCCTGCTTTTAAAAAATATTTTCTTATATTTATTTTTACTTTCTTCCAATATTAACTTTAATAGAACTTTAATATCCATTCTATCTCTAATATTAGTGAAGTTCTTTTTTCCTTTGCCAATTTATCCTTTTAAAATCTTTTAAAAAGTTAGGTGTTTCTTGTAGAAAATAAAAATGTTTCAGAAATGTGTAACTGAGAAGGTGAAAGCACCTTATAATCCCTCTTTCCTATGGGATTGTTACATGTTATGCTGGATTTTTTTGTACCTCTGTATAAATATGCATTTGGTGGGGGGAGAACATGTTTTACATTTATTGTCCATGCTTTTCTTCATTATTTTGTTGACTTATTTTAGATATTCTTCCATATTAGTACCTATTAAAGCTATCTTTTTTATGACAAAGTAGTGTTTTAAATATTAATAGTACAATACTGTTTAATAGTTTTCTGTTTTTTATTACTATAATTTATTTAATCTTTACCCATTAAAAAGATGTCAGGCCAATGGCTTTCTAAGTTTTTTTTCCTCTGAAATAAACATTTTAAATTAATTTGTTTTTTTATACTGCTTTCATAGTAATTTTTTCACCTCAGTTGTTGCATTGCTGTTAGCATATGTTGTCAAAGTTGTTAATTAAATGCAATTGTGAAATAAATACTTACATTTAAAAGAGGAATGAACTACAATTTTTTCTTTGTAAAATATGTGAAGTACTGTGTCTTCAGTATGTCTTTATCTTTTAGGTACTATTTGTTAGACTTACTGACCTTTTCATAGAGTAAGGAGTTTTAGAGTTTATCTAGTTTAACTTCTAGGCCCATATGTATATCATTTGTCTCCCAACTACATATATTTAATAAAGTTCTTAATATAATGCTTTTTTGATTAAAACATTAAAGAGTTTGCATTCTTTTTGATGACTTTCGTGTTCATTGCTTTTTCAGATCACTTGTGATGGTGACTCTCCTTTCTTCCAGGTTGTTTTTGAGCACGTTCACTCTCGCAGTGTCAGCTGGGGCTGTTTTGCTTTTACCCTTCTCAATCATCAGCAATGAAATCCTGCTTTCTTTTCCTCAGAACTACTATATTCAGTGGCTAAATGGCTCCCTGATTCATGGTTAGTATATATTGCTTAATATAATCACAATTAATATTTTAATTTTTTACTGCACCATATTTTTAGATTTTTCTTTTCTCAGTTTTCTTCATAATTTGTGACTTCCTCCAGTAAACGATTTGGGTCTTTAATAATGTCAGAAAACCAGATTTTACTTATCATTTCTATGTTTAATTAGTTGTGAAAGACTTTTCTCTTAGTTAAGAAGCAGTGTTTATACTTATGATTTTGATAAATACATTTTCATTTCAGTATTTAGCTAGAGTATTTTGGTTTATCTGACTATGTCAGAAGAACTCAACCTCCATTTAAGAACTAGAAAACTGGCCGGGCGTGGTGGCTCATGCTTGTAATCCCAGCACTTTGAGAGGTCGAGGTGGGTGGATCACCTGAGGTCAGGAGTTCGAGACCAGCCTGGCCAACATGGAGAAACCCTGTCTCTACTAAAAATATAAAAATTAGCCAGGCATGGTGGCACGCGCTTATAATCCCAGCTACTTGGGAGGCTGAGGCAGGAGAATCACTTGAACCTGGGAGGTGGAGATTGCAGTGAGCCGTGATCGCACCATTGCCCTCTGGCCTGGGCAAGAAGAGTGAAACTCCATCTCAAAAGAACTAAAAAACAGCAGCTATAGTTTCTATTTTATTTATTTGCTAGTAGTTTCTTTAGTCATTTCAAAATATAGAAGGGGAAAAACACTCTATGTCAAGTACAAATAGATATCATGGTGTATTGCTTTGTAGTCTTTGGGAAAGCCACTGTCCTCTCACCGCGGCTTCCTGTTGTCTTAGTTGGGATGATAAATAAAACCCAGCTTGTTTTTGCAATAGGAATGATGTATGTAAAGTAATTGTCTTTTAGTAGGCACTTAATAGGTGGTAGCTATTATGATAGTTATTTAGGCTGTGAGGTGTTTTCTTTCTGAAGAATCTTACTGTTTTTACAAATCAATTTAGTGTATGTAAACTGAACTCTTGTCTCTCATAGAACATGCTGGCATAATTCTTTTTTGAGTTCTAATTTATTTTTATTTTTTAATGTTTTAATTTTAATTTTTGTGAGTACATAGTTGGTGTATATATTAAAGGCATGCAATGCAAAAGACTCACATCAGGGTAAACAGGGTGTCTATCACCTCAAGCATTTATTCTTTGTTAAGATTTTGTAATTATGTTTTAGAATTATAGCTCTTAGGAATTTGGATATCTTTCTTGCTCATCATACCCATACCCGTCTCTCATTTTATTAGTGTTGATTTGTGTTACTAGTAACTATATTACTAATTATTATTTTGTTAATGTAGTTAGTTGGTGTTATCAGTGTTAATAGTTATTTTAATTTGTTATGTATTTCAATTTCTTCATCTCATTTTAAGGTAAAAGTTTTTTGAAAATTTTTTTTCTTAGTAAGAACCTTATGAGTTAATGGTAAAATGTCCTCCTTTGACAATATTTAAGCTAAGTTGCCATTTGACTTAAATATATATCAGAGATAGCTTGTTTCCATTAAATTTGTATTATAGGTCAGTGAATTTGGAATTTCTGAGTTAACATAAGGACGTGTTAGGATCTCAAATCCAGGGAAAGAAATGGAATAACTTGCTTGTGTGGTAGCGTTACAGCTAAGTATGCTTTCGTTTTTATCCAAGGAAAGAAATAGAATTTCTTGCCTGTGTGGTAGCGTTACAGTTAAGTGTGCTTTCGTTTTTATAGTAGGCATTTTCCACTTGGAAAACATCACTTTTTTTTTTTTTTTTATTGAGACAGGGTCTCGCTCTGTCGCCTAGCCTAGAGTGCAGTGACACGATCATGGCTGTCTGCAGGCTCCACCTCCTGGGCTCAGGTGATCCTCCCACCTCAGCCTCCCAGGTAGCTGGAACTGCAGGTGTGTGACACCACGCCAAGCTAATTTTTGGTGTTTTTTTTGTAGAGACAGGGTTTTGCCATGTTTCCCAGGCTGGTTTTGAACTCTTGGGTTCAAGTGATCTCCCACCTTGGCCTCCCAAAGTGCCGGGACTAGACATGTTGCCAAGATGTCACTTTTTATGTGTGACACGTGATTACTTGAGTTGCTGTAGAAGGCTGTGGTGCATTAGACTAATAATGTATATTCTTTTTTCATTGCTATTATGTTCATGGTGCTGTAATCCAGTGGAAGAAAAAGCAAGTTTAAATTTAAGAGATTACTAGTTTTATATGTAAGATAAATATACTTATTTGTCTTATTTCCTGTCTCTTGTTGTTTGAGAAAGTATAGAAGATAATTTTTGTAGGTGATGCTACCTTAGCAATCCCGTAAGCTTCTGCTGAGACTGTGGCCCTGTGTATTAAGAACAACAGCAACACCAACCGCTCCCTTATTTTTTTCTGCTCATAAAGTAGTGTGTGCTCACTATACAGAATATAGAAAATACTAAAATGTAGAAACAAGGAAAACTCCACATTTTTTCAGCGCGCGCGCGTGTGTATATATATATTGTTGTTGTTGTTGTTGTTGTTGTTGTTGTTGTTTTTTGAGATGGAGTCTCTCTCTGTCACCCAGGCTGGGGTGCAGTGGTGCGATCTTAGCTCACTGCAAGCTCCGCCTCCCAGGTTCATGCCATTCTCCTGCCTCAGCCTCCTAAGTAGCTGGGGCTACAGGTGCCTGCCACTATACCCAGTTAATTTTTTTGTATTTTTAGTAGAGACTGGTTTCACCGTGTTAGCCAGGATGGTCTCGATCTCCTGACCTTGTGATCCGCCCGCCTCAGCCTCCCAAAGTGCTGGGATTACAGGCGTGAGCCACCGTGCCCGGCTGCATGTGTGTATTATATATAGCATATGCAGTTTATACCTTTAAAACCTTTAATATTATATTGTGTTTTCCATACCTTTTATGTTCTTCAAAACCATTTTTAGTGGTGTAACCTGAGCCATGTATTTAGCAATATATTAAGCTAGTGGTTTTCAAAGGCTATTTCGTCATTTTAAAGGGTGGAACCATTTATCCCTCCAGTGACTTGCTACCTGCATTTTTTTCAGATTTGCAATAGAAAACAGCTGAGTTGTTCCTCAGGCACCAAACCCACCCTGTCCTCTTTGTGAAACATTTCACTTCACCAGTAAACTGTTGTTGAGCATCTAGAGGATTTTTAAATTTTCATTATTATTTGGGTTTCTGACAATTTCTTTACATGGAAATTAGAATGAAAATTATTAGGCTAATGAGTATTAATTGCTAAACTGTTTTCTAGAATTACTTGTTTATATTCTCTTGATAGACCATGAAGGTGCCTCTTGTTTTTAGCCATAAACTTAATAACAGTGAATATTAGTATCTTTAAAATCTTTTCCATTTTCATGGGTAGAAGGTAGTTTCTCATTATTGTAATGTTAATTTAAAAAATTTTTAGTCAGATAGGACATTTTAATTTTAATTTATAAAATATAGAAAAATATCTAATACATATATCATTTTATTTTTATTTATTTATTTTATTATTATAATTTTTTTGAGATGAAGTGTTGCTCTGTTGCCCAGGCTGGAGTGCAGTGGCGCAGTCTTGGCTCACTGCAACCTCTACCTCCCGGGTTCAAGCGATTCTCCTGCCTCAGCTTCCTGAGGAGCGGGGACTACAGGTGTGTGCCACCACGCCCAGATCATTTTTATATTTTTAGTAGAGACAGGGGGTTTCACCATGTTGGCCAGGCTGGCCTCAAACTCCTGACCTCAAGTGATCCACCCTCTTCGGCCTCTGAAATGCTGGGATTACAGGCATGAGCCACCGTGCCCAGCCCATGTATATTTTATTTGATTAATGTCCTTTGCCCTTTTTTGTGGTTGTTGCTTTTTTCATATTGAATTTATGATCTCTTTGTTTGAACACATCAGCTTTTCATTTCAATTTTTTACATGTTTTTCTGATTGTTATTTTGCTTTTTAATATTAATTGCTTTTTTCCAGAATTTGAATATTTTTTATAATATTTGGTTTTTCTTTTTCTCTTGGTGTCTCTAATTGTTTTTGTGTTTAGAAGATTGTTTCCCACCCTGAGATATGACAGCTAGTTGTCCCAATACCATTAATTGAATATTCTTTTCTGTACTGATTTTTTATGCTTCATTTTCAGTAAGCTAAATATTATATTAGCGTTTGTTTCTGGGCTCAGGTATGCAGGTTTTGGAGTCAGATAGACCTGGGCTTGAATTTCAAATCTGTCTGAAACCCTTAGCAACCTTGAGCATATTGTTTACGCTTTCAGAGTCTCAGTCTTTTATCTATAAAATGACCATATCAAGGTCTAGTTTATAGAATTATTATATGTAGTAAGTGGAATATATGTATAGTATAAAGTACCTAGTCTATTGCCTGGTGGCCAAGAGTAAGCAGGAAATAAATGCTGAGTTTTACTTTCTGTTTTTTCCCTCTGGTTTGTCTGTCTATTCCTATGCCAGTGCCATATTGTTTTAAAGACTGTAGTTTTGTAATACTTTGCTCCTACTAGGTTTTAAAAAGTTCATACATTTTATGAAGGTTTTCGTAAGCAAAGGCATGTATTTTGTGCAATATGGGACATTACAATGCTATGGAAATTTGTCTTTTAATTGTTTTGTCTGTGTTAGGGAAATGTATGTGTATAAACATGTTCGTGTGTGTTTAAATAAATAAATATTTGGTGGGGAGATTTGGAAAACAAAAGTCACAGTTAGCAGATTGGGTCCTTAGCAGTGGCTGTAGCCAGGCCAGCCTTGGTGAGTAGAAGGTGCTGGGTCCATGTATGATCTCCGTCCCTACCATCATGGTGACTTTGTTCCTGAGCCCATTGGGCAATGACAGGGGTGGCTGGGGAAGGAGGCTGACTAGTATCCACAGAGCCAGTCAGCCTATCCACTTAATTATTAAAATCTTCCTCTGCTGAGGTCACCCTTTGGTGAGCATTCACATGGGACACAAATACTTTCACATTTTTTTCCCATTCAAAGAGGTCTGTTCATGTACCTCATCCCAATTTTCTTATTTCCAGTTTTCCAATTGTGTTTCTTCAAGACTCTGAGCATCTGGCCAAACCATTGGCCATGGTCCATTAATATGTAATAATCACACATTTGGCTATTTCTCTTTCCAAGCAAAGCAAACCACCAGATGTACAGCCCATAGATCTGCCCATCGGAGAGTTTCCCTTCACCGCTGTCCTTTTAGGGATGTTCCAGAAAGGGGCAGTAGTGCTGCAGTTGTCCACTAACGTGGGGGCCTGCATATCATGCAGAACCATCTGTAAACCAGGCCCAGGTCTTCCTCCGTCAGCTGATTTTAGGGAACTCTCCAGGAGACTGTAGGTGCAGGCTGGGAGAGAGAAGGCAGCGTAGCGGGAGTGGGGACCGTCGGCATTGGCGGCACTTCTTTATGTAACTTGTGCCTTTAGGGCCTACTTAGGCCCAGACATGTACCACTTCCATTTGATGATGGAATGCTGCTGTGCACACCCAACTTTCTGGCTTGGTGGGTCGGAAAACATTCAGTTCATGATGGGCAACTCAGGTCCCATGGTAACTTGGTGGTCCATGTTTCAGCATTCAATCCCTACTAAAGCCCCATAGTGGGTCAAGAGCTGTTTCTCAAAGGCAGTTGTTACCCACAAGGATGGCAGGGCGTTGCCCCAACATCCTAAGGGCCTGTGCTGCAGTTCACCTTGAGAGGAACCTGCCAAAGGCTCCACACAGCATGCGTCTCTGCCTCTGCCCTTTCAGACACCCTTGGATCTGCTGGGTCATGTGGCCCAGGAGGCAGAGCAGCCTGCACAGAGCCTGGAGCTGCCGCAGAGCCTTCCCTCCTTCTGGGCTGTACTCAAAACCAGCAGCTTTTCAGGCCGCTCAGTAAACCAGCTGGAGCAACACACGCAAATGAGAAATGTGTTGTCTTCGAAGTCCAGAGAGGCCTGCTAGATGTTATGCCTCTTTTTTGATGCAGGAGGCGCCAGATTCAACAATTTATCCTTCACCTTAGAAAGGATATCTCCATATACCCTACAACACTGGACCCCTAGAAATTTCACTGAGATAGAAGGCCCCTAAATTTTTGTCAGATTTATTTCCCACTTTTTGACACACAAATGTCTTACCAATAAGTTTAGAGTGGTTGTTAACTTCTCACTCACTAGTTACAATCAGCAAAATATCGTCAACATAATGGGCCAGTGTGATATTAATATCCTATGGAAGGGAAAGGTGATCAAGATTTCTGTGAACTAAATTATAATACAGGGCTACAGAATTTATATACCCTTGACGTAGGGCAGTGAAGGCGTATTGCTGGCCTTGTCAGCTGAAAGCAAACTGCTTCTAGTGGTCTTTACTAACAGGGACAGAGAGAAAAGCATTTGCCAGATCAGTAGCTGCATACCAGATAGGTGGCATGTTAATTTGTTCAGGCAATGAAGCCACATCTGGTACAGCAGCTGTAATTGGACTCACCACCTAGTTAAGCTTAACGATAATCTTCTGTTATTCTGGAAGCTCTGTCTGTCTTCTGCACAGACCAGATAAGAATCGAATGGGGGTGTAGTGGGAATCCCCACCCCTGCATCTTTCAAGTCCTCGACGGTGGCAGTAATCTCTGAAATCCCTCTAAGAATGCAGTATTGGTTTTGGTTTACTGTTTTCCCAGGTAGATGCAGTTCTAGTAGCTTCCACTTGGTCTTTCCCACCATAATAGCCCTCACTCCACAGGTCAGGAAATCAGTATGGGGATTCTGCTAGCCATTCCATTCCATTAATTGCCTTCTGGAAGAGAGGAGACAACCACAGGATGGGTTCAGGGACCCGCTCTGAGTTGGGCCTCTGCTAAAATTCCACTGATTACCTGACCTCCATAAGCCCCTACTCTGACTGGAGAGCCACAGGGAAGGTCTCCTAGGATCAGTGTCAGTTCAGAGCCAGTGTCCAGAAGTTCACGAACGGTCTGGTTATTTCCTTTTCCCCAGAGCACAGTTATATCACTAATATTCATTTGTCAATCTGTCATTTACAGTTTTGTGACATTTATGGGATTCTGTGAGTACTCAGAAAATGTTCAGATTCCTTTAATCTCCCATGGAGCATCTGTTCTAGTACTTTCATGTTGAAAGTGTTCAATAAATATTGATTGATTGAAGGAATAAAAGTCATTATAATTATATCATTAGGAATATTTTGGCAAAAGTGAATTTGAAAGGAAATTTAATGGCTTATTTTATAAAATTGTCAGTATGGATGTTTTTGATTGTGCCTTTAATGTGTAAATCACATATGGATTAGAGGCTAAATGTGTTGATAATGCTTTTTTTTGTATGTGCAAATATATTTAGTTTGGCTTAAATATAGTGTTTGGATTTTGGATACAGGTTTGAGATGTTATGTGTTAACCATATTACCTTGGAATGCTACTTTACTTTTCTGGGCAAGAATTTTGTAACACAAATAAAATAATAACCTTAGTAAACTGTGTCATGTAAGCAAGATGTATCTCTGTCTGCAGTGAGAAAATAGCTTGAAAAATGTGATACAGAAAAATGACATTGGAGCATTGGAGTTAGGAGACCTGATGATGATCCTCTGGCCTCTGGGTTTTGGCTGGTGGTTGTCATCACTTGTCAGCTTGATGCTGTGAGATGTGTTCTGTCATTCACACAGTGTGGGTCCATGACATGCCAGCAACTGTAGTTTGTTGTAGGATAGGGCAGAGATGACAAATTAAAATGGTAGTGTAAGTTCTTTTTGTTGTTAAAATAGGAAAAAGGGTTAAAAAATGGACCGAAAAAATAAAGTATCCACTTCTATACATTTTCTATATCTTGTGTACTGTTAAAAAATTAATAGGAAAATATGAAACTCTTCATTTCCATAAGTTGAAAAACAATGATACAGCTGCTTTGTGGGTTTTCCTTTTGGGGGTGATAAAAATGTTTCGGAGTTAGGTAAAGGTGGTGGTTGCACACCATTGCAAATGAACAGTTCAGTGCAAATGCCACTGAATTGTTCACTTTAAAATCGCTAATTTTAAGTAATGTGAGTTTAATATCAAAATAAGAGCTAAATAACAATAAAAATTTGGAAGATAGGAAAATGATGGAGTTAGATTGTACCCTTAAATAAAACCAGGAAATAATTCTTCAGTTTTTGAGTGATTTTTCCCCAGTGGGGCCCAATTTTGGCTAAGCTGTCCACTCACTTATGACCAGAGATAGAGACAAAACAAACATTTGTGACATGAATGCCCAGTTTGAGATTGTCTGTTAAAATATAACCACAATGAATCCGACAAGTCACTGCAAGGACTGTGTGCTTTATTTTGATTTGTCATCAGGAATAGGCGATACACTGTTTGGACATCATGAAGGAACAATGCAAAATCCATCCTTTTAAAATTCATTTTTAAGTTCCATAGAAGATCCAAAAAACCAGACTTTTAGAGTATAAGCAGTCAAACTTAAGAAAATATTATATTTACTTATGAATAGATGCTAAGTCAAAAGTAAGTCCCTAATAAATTTTAATGTACTGTTGTTCACTAAATGTTCCTAGTCATTTGGGCTCAGTAGTTCAGTCATTTATCATAATGTGTATCAAGATAGTTACTGGATATTGAGGTATTGTTTATAACATTACAAATAGAAAAATCCTAGTGTTTGGGATAGGAAATTAATCATATCTTGTCGATCCAAACAGTGGAGTGCTTTTCTGGACATTATAGATGATAATGTAGGTATTTGTTGATATACAGAGATACCAGAAAAAAGCCCATATTTACGATCCAATGCCTATTTTGTAAAAAGAAAAAAGAGTACATGTGTAGGTAGCTGCATCAAAAAATACCTGGAAGGGTAAATACAAAGAGTTTAACTTTTTGTAGGATTTTATGATATGCATTTTTTTTTGGTATTTACATTGCATTTGGTGTTTGCATTTATACAATGGACATATTATTTGTTTTTTAAGAAAAAAGTTATGTGAAGATAAAAAGTCCCACATTTCATTGGTAGTTGTTATTTATTTTTCTTCTAAGTAAATAAGCAGAGGCTATTCTAATTCTGAAGTTCTCTCTCTGTCTGTCTCTGTCTCTCTGTCTGTCTCTGTCTCTCTCTCTCTCTCTCTCTCTGTCTCTTTTTACCCCAAATCAACAGTGGCTAATAATTCTGAAGTCCTCACACTACTTGAAAACAGACTGTAATCTCTTTTCTAAGCCTTATGCTTTGTTGGTAGAATTTTTAAAAATTGTGTAAATTGCTTTTTGATAATTGGATTAGATCTTTAATTCTACTGAAATATTGAACTTTTGTCATTTTGGAAATTATTGAGTATGGCTGAACTCTGATTAATTTTTTAATTTAAATTCATGAAGGCTTTTGTCTATGTGAGGAAAAATGATAAATTATTTCCTCTATAGTATTGTATATTGTAGTTTGAAATATTTTGTAACTCCAGCAGATGGAGCTAGAAGTTAATGCATCCTATGGTGATCTGGAAATTCAGTCTTGTTTTGTTTTATTTTAAACCACAGTTAAATAACTTTAAATTCAAATACCTTTTCTGGGGATGGGCATTGGATATCTTTCAAATAGGTTTCTGTTATAGTGTTGCTGAATTTTTTAGGGTTTGACTACTATATGGAAATATGTAATTTTACCTTTCTAAAGCAGAGCGATTTGATTAATATTTATTTTACAAATTAATATGAAATAATGTATAATGAAATATATGTGTTGGCCCTAACAGTAATTTTTAAGAATGATTTATCAAAATTATAGAATATTATTAAGGAATATGTATGTGTGTATGTTGATGTATATTTATAAAATGTTAGAAATTTACTAAGCTTTGCAAAATTGCCAAGAATGTAATTACTACTTAGCAATATATCTTAGATACATTATTATGTCTATGTATTAGATGTTCTTCTCATAGTATTTTTACTTTCTTATATATTGCAAATTGTATTAGATTAGCGTAAGTTGAGTCTGAAATTTTCACATTTATTTATTCTGGCTAATAAACTTATTATTTTGCATTTAATTACCTAGGTTGAAAAAAGCTGGTTGATCAGTACATGAAACAGGCATCTAATTTCTTGACAAACTAAATTAACTGGTATTTGGAACCCTTCTTGATTCAGGGTACTGAATCGTTTTCTTCAGTTGTCCAACAGACATTACTCCTTGTTTGATCTACTGATAAAGATTTCTTCACCCCGTCTCCCATCACTACTAAAAATACAAACGTTAGCCTGGTGTGATGGTGCGTGTCTATAATCCCAGATGCTCGGGAGGCTGAGGCACAAGAATCACTTGAACCTGAGAGGTGGAGGCTGCAGTGAGCCAAGATTGCACCACTGCACTCCAGCCTGGGCAGCAGAGTGAGACTCTGTCTCCAAAAAGAGAAAAGAAAAAAGGAAGAAAGAAAAAAAAATATTTTTTTCATTTAGCTTTTGATAAACTATCTTTGTTTTAATAAAAGTAAGTGTATTGGTTAGTCAGAAGAGATACTTTTTAGTGATTTGTGAGCATTGCCTAAGGCAAAGTTTTATTTTTTTAACTTTGACATCTAGAGAAGAATTTGAATTTTACTGTATAAAAGGGACATGTATGATTAGAAAGATAAATTCTGGAAGCATGTATGTTTATGGATCAATAACAATAGAAAGAGCCTTCTTTTATGCTCCAGAATTTATCTTTTTAATCATACATGTCCCTTTTATACAGTAAAATTCAAATTCTTCTCTGGATGTTAAAAGTTAGAAATAGATTTTAAACTTTTTTTCTTCTGAATATAAAAGCATAGTGGACCCTTAGTATTCGAGGATTTATATTCATGGTTACAACAATTTGAGAGCAATATTTGAGGCTCCCCAACACGTGGTAATTTGTAATTTTGCTGAGGCTAAAATCTAAACTGTGCACTCAGAGAAACTAGTAAGTAAAGTGAGCCACGTGGCTAATGAGTGAGCCTAGCTCAGCATCCCCATCTCAGTTTAGCTTTATTATTTTCTGCCCTTTTAATTCATTTTATGGGGGAAACTGTATGATACAGGGATGTGGGGAATTTTGAGTTTCACAAAGATGTTTAAATATATGCTTTGTGAATTTTAGAGGACTTTATATGCTTCTTACAGAAAACTTAGAATATCCAGACAAAAAAATCACGCACAGTTGTGCTACATTGATATTGTTAATTAGTTGGGGTATTTATTTGCAGTTGATTTTCTATGCCTGGTTTTTGTCATTGTCATTTTAAAATATTTTCAATAACACCTATGTATATAGGTTTTGCTGGTTAAATTTTTTTTTTTAGTGAAATTAATGAGAATAATTCTTTAAGGAAAGGGTTGAGAGCTAACTGTAGTTACAACCTGCATCATTTTGTTGTTGTTATATGGTCTAAATGCTGGTGTATGTCAGAACTTTTCAGTTTTTTTGTACTTTTTTTTTTTTTTTTTTTGAGACGGAGTTTCACTCTTGTTGCCTAGGCTGGAGTGCAATGGCATGATCTTGGCTCACCACAACCTCTTCTTCCCAGGTTCAAGCGATTCTCCTGCCTCAGCCTCCCGAATAGCTGGGATTATAGGCGTGTGCCACCATGCCTGGCTAATTTTGTATTTTTAATAGAGATGGGGTTTTTCCATATTGGTCAGGGTGGTCTCGAGCTCTCAACCTCAGGTAATCTGCCTGCCTTGGCCTCCTAAAGTGATGGGATTACAGGTGTGAACCACCGCGCTTGGCCTTGTACCATTTTTATGATGTTGAGACAGGGCAGGGAAGAGGCACTGACATTTGTTTAACATATTGGGTGTTAATTTATCTTCTGTTCTTCATAAGAGCCCTGTGAATTATAGCCTATTGCATACCTGAGGAAACTGGGTGACAGAGTTGCAGTCCCTCTTCAAGGTCACGTATTTGTGATAGGTGCAAATCCAGGCTGTTAGACGTAAAGTGCTACGCACTTAGCTATCTGCCATTGAGAACTGGTGAGGTTTTAAAAATCACAAATTGTGTGAATACCTTGATTTTGTTAGAGTACATTATAGTACACTAAATAGATCTAATATATTCAATATTTTACTGAAATTAGATTTTTAAAAACCTTTCTGTAGTTGAAAGATGTCCTGGTGTTTTAAGAAGCCTTGCTTGTACATGTACACACCTACATGTAAACAACTGAGAAAACAAATGCAGACATGTTTTGTTCCATTTTACAAAACTGATTGCAGGCTCAGTTAAGCATTTTGTTTTATGTTGATAGAATTAATGGAATATCATATTCATTATTTCCCTTAGTAAAATCTTACTAAACTAATATATTCTTTTTGGCAGATAATATTAAGAAAACTCAAAACATTGTTCCTTTTTCACCCAGAATGTTAAGTATGAGACATTATTCAGTCATATGTAGAAAGAAAAAGAGATCTGGGATTTAATCCCAGGGCTACCATTTGTAAGTTGTGGAATTTGTGAGGAATTTATTGAGTCTCTTTTAAGAAAAAGTTCAGTTTATGGGTGCGTTGGCTAAGGGGATCTTAGGTTCTCTTCTGCTCTGTATCTTATTCTTGGTGCACTAAAATAAGAGCAAGGTTTTATTTATTTTGAACAGATTTTAATTTTAGATTCTTACAATTGTATCTGTTCTGCTTAAGTATTGAAATAAATATGTATTTTAGTTCGTTAGAGGAAAGAGGTTATTTCAGTCTAAAACAATTCTTTGTCTGGAAAAGATAAAAAAAAACTAGGACTTTTTTTCTTCAAGAGATGGTGTTTTTTCTGAATGTGGATTCAAAGTAGCAGGTATTGAACAGTGTAAAGGAACTTAACCAAAGTGAGGCTTTGCAATTATTTCATTATTATTTTAAAATTTTCTAATACAACATCATTTGAGTAGACTTTATTTTCTGAGTGTATCAAAGAACATAATAGAAAGAATGTGGGAAAAGGAGAAAAAGAATAAGCTTGATGATATCTGTGAAGCATCTTGGAGGCCCACTGTAGAAATGTATACTGGAATAGTTAGGTTTTAGGAATTTGGGGCAAGAGAATGAAGAGAACGTATATTTCACAATAGGGAGCAGTATTCCATCTAGTAAGAGAAAACTAAGACATAGGAGTTGAGGCTTACTCTTTTAGTAATAAACAGACTTTGTTTTGTTGTTGAGTTGTATGTTGAGAGAATTAAACAAGGGGCAAGGATATCAATAAGTATTTGGGGAGGCCAACTTGAAATAGAGTAGGTAACTACAGTTTTAAAACATTTTTTCTATGATCAGCAAATCCATTAGGATAGATAGGTAGTGAAGAACAAGCACTCTTTGCTGATGTTTTATGCCCAGAGCTTTTTCTGTATTATTGAGGACTAAGGCTCAGACGTGGAGTATGAAAAATTAGGCCAGGTGTGGTGAGCCTGTAATCCCAACATTTTGGGAGGCCGAGGTGGGAGGATTGCTTGAAGCCAGATCAAGACCAGCCTGAGCAACAAAACGAGACCCTGTATCTACAAACAACAAAAAGCCAATATTCAAGTGTTGGTAGAGAAACACTTTAAAAGCTAAATAGTCTGGCTAAGGTGGAGTAAGGTGGACTGGATATATACCCTCCCACCTGAAATGACTAGGTTTTTGAGAAACTATAGGCAAAGAAGGACAATAATCCCCAGAGATGGGGGCAAACAAGGTGCTGCCTTGAGAGAATTTCCACACTGCAGTACAGAGAGGGGGAACCCAGGTGGAGCTGAGCAGTGTTCTGGGTTGAGAACCCAGGAGTTTTGAGAGACCAAGGGGGCTAGAGTGTACCAGGCAGAGTACTGGAAAGGAGATTGCTGCACAGAGAATCATTTTGTTTTACACTGATGGGTAGAATTAATGGGATATCATTTTCTCAGTTCGAACGTTTTCCGTAGTAAAACCTTACTAAACTGGTGTTCTGTTTTTGGCAAATGAAGGCCCTCTGTGTAGAGTCTTACAGGCTGAAATCAAGATGTTCACAGTGTTGCCTTCCTCATTGGAGGCCCCGGGGAAGAATTTGGTTTCAGACTGTTGGCTGAATTTGGTTCTTTGTAGTTTTAGGACTGAGGCCCTCATTTCCTTCCTACCTCTCAGCCAGGTGCTAGCCTTTGTTTCTAGAGGTTGCTTGCCTCTTTTCTCTTCCATGTGATACCCTCTAACAAAGGTGGGTCAAGTTTTTCTCTGACTTCCCTTCTGCTGCATCTTTCTGACTGCAGCTGGAGAAAGTCCTCTGCGCTCTTGTGTTTTCTCTCCCTCTCTCCCTCTTGCTGTCTCTCTCTCTCTCTCTCTGTGTGTTTAAAAATCACATGAAAGGCTCATGTAATTAGATTATGGCCACCTGGATAATCCAAAATGGTCTTGCTGTCTTCCTATTTGAAGGTCCATAACCTTAATTACACCTGCCAAGTCCTTTTTGCCATATGTACTGAGGTGAGTAGTATCGTGTTCCCCCAAAATTCAGGTTCACTCAGAACATCAGGATGTGAACTTATTTGGAAATAACAGTCTTTGTAGACATAATTAGTGAAGATGAAGTCATCTTAGATTAGCGAAGACCCAAATCCAAAGACTGGTATCCCCCTAAAAACATAAAGCAGAGACACAGACACACAGGGAAGAAAGCTGTGTGAAGACAGAGGCCAAGCATGGAATAAGGGCATCAGCAAGCCCAGGAATGCCAAAGATTGCAGGCAGCCACCCACAGATAGTAGGAAGGATTCTTCCCTGGAGACTTTGGAAGGAGCGTGGTCCTGCTGACACCTTGATTTCAGACTTCTAGTCCCTGGAACTGTAAGAGAGTAGATTTCTGTTGCTTGAAGCCATTCGGTTTGTGGTGCTTTGTTTCCTCAGTTCCAGAAAACCAGTACACCATGCAACATACTCACAGAAGGCTGGGGATTCAGGCATGGGGACCTTGTCCACTATGCCTACCTTGAGTCTGCAACTGAGATGTCAGAATTAGTAGACAAATACATGAAAACAATTCTTTTTTTTTTTTGAGACGGAGTCTGACTCTGTCGCCCAGGCTGGAGTGCAGTGGTGCAATCTTGGCTCACTGCAACCTCCGCCTCCCGGGTTTAGGTGATTCTTCTGCCTCAGCCTCCCGAGTAGCTGGACTACAGGCGTGTGCCACCATGCCCAGCTAATTTTTGTATTTTTAGTAGAGACGGGGTTTCACCATGTTGGCCAGGATGGTTTTGATCTCTTGACCTCGTGATCCACCTGCCTCGGCCTCCCAAAGTGCTGGGATTACAGGCGTGAGCCACCGCGCCTGGCCAGGAAAACAATTCTTATAACTATTCCATATGTTCCAGAAACTTAGAGGAAATGTTGAACATACTGAGATGTAAAAGATGTAAAAAAACAAAATTCTAGAGATGAAAACTATAGCATGTGATGTGAAAGTATATAAAACAGTAGATTAATAGCAGATTAGACATTGCAGAAGAGATTAATGAATTTGAGGACATAGCAATAGAAAACTATTCAAAAGTGGGGCTGGGCGCTGTGGCTCATGCCTGTAATCCTGGCACTTTGGGAGGCTGAGGTGGGTGGATCACCTGAGGTCGGGAGTTCAAGACCAGCCTGGCCAACTTGGTGAAACCTCGTCTCTACTAAAAATACAAAAATTAGCCAGGCATGGTGGTGCATGCCTGTAGACTCAGCTACTTGGGAGGCTGAGGGAGGAGAATCGCTTGAACCCGGGAGAGGTGGAGGTTGTAGTGAGCCAAGATTGCGCCACTGTACTCCAGCCTGGGTGACAGAGCAACACTCCATGTAAAAAAACAAAAAACAAAAAAATCAAAAAACTATGTGAAAGTGAAACACAGAGGGAAAAATGGCTGAAAAGTGACAATAGTGCTGTAGTTTGGATGTTTATTCCCCCATACCTCATGTTGAAATTTGACTCCCAGGGCCAGGCATGGTGGCTCACACCTGTAATCCCAGCACTTTGGGAAGCCTGGGTGGGTGGATCACTTGAGGTCAGGAGTTTGAGACCAGCCTGGCCAACATGATGAAACACCATTTTTACTAAAAATACAAAAATTAGCCAGGCGTGGTGGTGCATGCCTGTAATCCCAGCTACTCGGGAGGCTGAGGCAGGAGAATCACTTCAACCTGGGAGGCAGAGGCTGCAGTGAGCTGAAATTGTGCCACTGCACTCCAGCCTGGAGGACAGAGCGAGACACTATCTCAAAAAAAGAGAGAGAAATTTGATTCCTAGTGTTGGAGGTGGATCTAGTGGGAGGTGTTTGGGCCAGTGGGGCAGATCCCCCAAGAATAGATGAATTCCCTCCCGGGAGGTGGGTGAGTGAGTTCTTTATTCTCATAAGAGCTGGTTGTTAAAAAGAGCCTGGCACAACCCCCTCTCCATTGCTTCCTGTCTTCTCCTGTGATCTCTGCATATGCCAGCTCCCCTTCGCCTTTCGCCACGAATGGAAGCAGCTTGAGGCCCTCCTCACAGCAGCTGTTGGCACCAAGCTTCTTGTACAGCCTGTAGAACTGTGAGCCAAATAAATCTCTCTCTTTTTTTTTTAATAAATTACCCAGCCTCAGGTATTCCTTGATGGCAATGCAAAGTGGGCTAACACACAGGGTATCAGTGATGTAGTTGGTGTTTCTAAAGGAGGGGAGTTGAGAAAAATATTTGGAAACTTAATGGCAGAAACATTTCAAAATTGATGAGAACTATAAACCCACTGATTTTAGAAGCTTAACCAGTTCTATGTACAAGAAACATGAGGAAAACTGTACCAACGCATGTAATCTGATGGCTCAAAATCAGTGATAAAGAGAAAATCTTAAATGCATCTACAAAAAGAGACACGTTAAGTTCAGAGGAGCAATAATAAGAATCACAGCATGTTTCTGGTGGGAAACAATGCAAGCCAGATGACGTTGTGACAGTGTAGCAACAGTGTAGTCAGCCCTCTGGATCTGTGGATTCTAGATCTGTAGATTCAACCAACCACGGATCACAAATATTGGAAAAAAAGATGGTTGTGTTTATAGTGAGCATGTACAGAGTTTTTTCTTCTTATTCCCTAAACAATATAGTATAATTATTTACATAGATTTACACTGTATTAGGTATTGTAAGTAATCTATGGATGATTTAAAGTATATAGGAGGATATGCATAGGTTATATGCAAATACCATGCCATTTTACATAAGGGACTTGAGCATCTGTGGATTTTAGTATCTATGGGAGGTCTTGGAACCAATCCCCTACAGACACTGAGGGAGGATTGTACTAAAAGAAAAATCCCAGCCAGTCTAGTTTTATCCCCAGTGAAAATATTTTTCAAAACAAAGGCAAAATAGTGATAGTGTCAGATACACAAAAGATAAAAATTCATCATCAGCAGAGCTGTACATTAAAAAATGTTACAGGTTGTCCTTCATGTGGTAGGAGGTGGGTAGGAGATAGATATCTAGGAACCGTGAGCTAAACAAACCCGAGGGAATATATCTTAACTCATTTCCTAACTCTACAAAATGAAATGAAGAGCACTAGAAGCAGCAGTTTATATGTAGAGAAGCTTTTTAAAAATCCTGTGTTTAGAAAAGATAATTGGCTGTTTAAAAAGTAGTAACAATGTATTATGAATTTTATTATAGATGTACAAGTAAGTTATATGACAACGATAACACACAGGAGGAAAGCCACGGAAGCACACTGTTGTGAAGTTCTCATGCTCTACGTGAAGTGTTATCTTTTTTTTTCTAAGTGACAGCAAGTTTATTAAGAAAGTAAAGGAATAAAAGGAATGGCTATTTCATTGGCAGAGCAGCCAATAAAATCATCTGAAGGCAGATTGTGATGAGTTAAAGGCGTATATGATAAACCTGAAGACAAACCAGAAATAGCCCAACAGAGATATAGTGAATAAGTAAACAAAGGAAATAAACTAGAATCATAAAAAATACTTAATCTGTGGGAACATAGAAGAAGGGAAGCTAACACATGGGGCAAATAGAAAACAAAAAGCAAGTTGATAGATTTAAAGCTAACTATATCAATAATCACTTTAAATGTAATGTTCTAAACACTACAACTAAAAGGCAGAGATTATCAAATTGAATATAAAAGCAAGACTGAAGTATATCTGCTTGCAGGATACCCACTGTAAAGACAAAACTAGGTCAATGGCAGTAGGAGAAAAAAGATACACCATGCTAATTTTAAACAGAGCAAAGTTGGAGTGGCTATATGATTATCAGACAAGGGCAAAGAATATTACCAGTCATAAAGAAGATCATTTCATCATGTTGAAGTGGTTTGTTCACCCAAAGAGCCTAATGATACTTAGCATATATCTGCCTAATGACATATATTAAGTACATGAAGCAAAAACGGAAAGTGTAGTCAGAATCACAATTACATTCAGATATTTCAACACCCTTCTTTCAATAATTGATAGAACATATAGAAGAAAAAATCACGATATAGAAGATTTGAATAATACTATCAACTGACTTGACCTAATTAACATTTATAGAACATCCAAGAATAGAATACATATTCTTTTCCAGTACAATGTGGGCATTTACCAAGAGAGATCACATTCTTTGCCATAAAATAAGTCTCAATACATTTTAGGATTTTAAGTCATACAAGATACACTCTGTAAGGACAATGAAATTAAATAAGTGTCAGAAAACTTACCTAGAAACAATCTAGAAGATCCCTGAGTATTTGGTAATTGATAACATACTTTACAATAACTCACTGGTCAAAGAATAATCAAAAGGGAAATTTGAAAGTGCTTTGAACTGAATGAAATGAAAATAAAACATTTTAATATTTGCGGGATGTGTCTAAAAAGTTTTTAAAGGTCAATGTATAGCACGAAATACCTGTATTACAACAGAAAAAAGGCCTCAAATCAGTTTCTGCAGAGTCAACGAATAGATCCCAAAGAAGGGAAATCTTTCTTTAAAAATCTTGAGAGAGGAAATCAATGAAATAGAAAACAGGAAATCACCAAGAAGAACACTGAAATTGATAAACAATGCCAGAATGATCAGCAAAAAAGAAGAGACCAATTGCCAGTATTAGGAATGAGAGAGGTGACATCACTACATATTGAACAGTGATTAAAAGGATAATAATTGCATATTATGAACACCTTTATCCAACAAATTCAACAACTTAGAGAAATGGACAAATTTCCTTAACAGGCAAAAACTATTAAAGCCTTCTCAAATATTCTGGGAATGTTAGAAACATTCTCACAAATAAAGCTTTAGGCCAGGAGGATTTACTGTCAGTTCTATCATATAGTTAAGGAAGAAATAATAGCAGTTCTGCACAGATTCTTCTAGAAAATTGAAGATGTGGGAACATTTCCTAATTCACTGAGGTCAGCATTACCCTCATACCAAAACCAGGCAGACAATACATGAAAACTGAAAGTTTCATGACAGGCCAGTGTCACGAACATAGATGCTTAAGTTCTAAATACAATTTTAGCGAATCAAATGTAACACTGTATAAAAATGATAATACATCATGACTTTTGCAATGCCAATCCATGTGATTTTATTAACGTGCTAGAAAAAAAAAAGTCATATGGTCGTAACAATACATGCAGAAAAAGCATATGACAAAATTCAGTATCCATTTCTGGTAAAATCTCTCAGCAAAGTAGGCCTGAAATGGGATGTTCTCATCCTAATAAAATGCATCAGGCTGGGCGTAGTGGCTCACGCCTGTAATCCCAGCACTTTGGGAGGCTGAGGCGGGTGGATCACCTGAGGTCAGGAGTTCGAGACCAGTCTGACCAATGTGGTGAAACCCTGTCCCTACTAAAAATATAAAACTTAACTGGGCATGGTGGTGTGCACCTGTAGTCCCAGCTATTCGGGAGGCTGAGACAGGAGAATTGCTTGAACCTGGGAGGTGGAGGTTGCAGTGAGCTGAGAAATCGCACCACTGCACTCCAGCCTGGGCGACAGAGTGAGACTCCGTCTCAAAAAAAAAAAAAAAAAAAAAAAAAAAAAGCATCTACAAAAAACCTACTGATAACATCATACTTAATGGTGAAAGACTGGATGCTTTCCCCCTGAGATCAGGAACAAGGCAAGGACATCTGTTCTTACCACTTCTATGTAACATCATTCTGGAGGTTTTTTTTAAAAAAAATAAGTCACTGAAGTTGGAAAGGAAACAGTAAAACTATTTCACAGATGATATTTTCTATGCGGAAATTCTGATGGGATCTGTTATAAAAAAGCTATTGGAACCAGTAAGTAAATTCTTCAAGGCTGCAGGATAGAAGATCAATATACAACAATTATATTTCTATATACTGGCAGTTAATAATTGGAAATTGAATTTACAACCCAATATCACTTATATGCAATAGCATCAAAAATACGAAATACTTAGGGATGCGTGAGACCTAAGTACTATAAACTAAGACATTGTTGAGAGAAATTAAAGAGTACCACAATAAGTGGAGACAGATACTGTGTTCATGGATTCGAAGACACTTTATCAGTTTGGGCTGCTATAACAATACCATAGACTGGGTGGCTTACAATACAAAACAAATATTTTTTACAGTTCTGGAGGCTGAAAGTCCCATATCAGGGTGCCACCATGGTTGGGTTCTTGATGAGGACCCTATTCTTGGCTCACGGATGGTTGTCTCCTCGCATCCTTCCATGGCTGAGAGCAGAGACAGAGAAAGCAAACTCTCTTCTGTCTCCTCCTATAGGGGCACCATCCCATCATGAGGATTGCCCTCTTGTGACCTAACTACCCCCAAGGGCTCCTGTCTCTAACGACCATCACACTGAGGATTAGGGTTTCAGTTATGAATTTGGGGGTGGGGACAGAAGCATTCAGTCTGTAACAGCAATATTAAGAGGTCAGCTCTCTTCAAATTGATAGAGATTCAACACCATGCCTGTCAAGATTCCAGCATACTTTGTAGAAATTGACAAGCTGATCTAAAATTCGGATGCAAATTCTATGGACTTAGAATAGCCTAAACAACTTTGAAAGATAACAAAGTTAGAGGATTGACCATCTGACCTAAAGACTCTTTTAAAGCTACAGTAATCAAGACTGTGTGGTGTGGCTGGGCACGGTGGCTTATGCCTGTAATCCCAGCGCTTT
Source organism: Homo sapiens (assembly GCF_000001405.40). Taxonomy (NCBI): domain Eukaryota; kingdom Metazoa; phylum Chordata; class Mammalia; order Primates; family Hominidae; genus Homo; species Homo sapiens. Next base: position 156,805,475 of record NC_000007.14, on the reverse strand, counting down.
GGGAGGCCAAGGCAGGCAGATCACTTGAGGTCAGGAGTTCGAGACAAGCCTGACCAACATGGTGAAACCCTGTGTCTACTAAAAATACAAAAATTAGCCTGGTGTGGTGCATGCACCTGTAATCCCAGCTACTTGGGAGTCTGAGGCAGGAGAATCGCTTGAACCTGGGAGGCGGAGGTTGCAGTGAGCCGAGACGTGCCACTGCACTCCAGCCTGGATGACAGAGCAAGACTTTGTCTCAAAAAAAAAAAAAAAAAAAAGTGCATGATGTTAGCATAAAGATAAACAGATCAAATCAGCAGAATAGACTGTCCAGGATTAGATACATACATATATTGTCAATTGATTTTTGACAAAGGTGCCAAGGGAATTTAGTGGGAAGATGATTTTTTTTTAAACAAATGGTGCTAGAACAATTTTTTAATTATAGGCAAAAAATGAACTTCAGTCCATACCTGGCACCATTCGCAAACTGTAACTCAAGGGATCATCGACTTAAATGTAAATCCTAAAACTATGAAACTTGTAGAAGAAAATGTAGGAGAAAGTCTTTGTAACATTGAACTAGGCCATAATTTTTTAGGTAGGATAGCGAAAGCACAATCCATAAAAGAAAAAAATGGATAAATTGGACTTCTAATAAATTTTGTTCTTTAAAGATACTGTTAAGAGAATAAAGAGAGTCTACAGACTGGGAGAAAATATTGACAAATCACATACCTTATAAAGGAGTTGTATTCAGAGCCCATAAAGAACTTGTCAAACTCAGTAATTAAAAAAAAATGAAAAAATGGGCAACAGATTTGAAGAGATACTTAGCTAAAAAAGACATGAATAGATGGCAAATAAGCTCATGAACAGATGTTCACATCATTATTTATTAGATAAATGGGAATTAAAACAGCAATAAGATATTCCTGTGTACCTGCCAGAATGGTTAAAATATTATTTTTAGTGAAAATGTGGATGAACTTGATCTCTGCTGGTGAGAGACTGTAAAATACAACCACTTTGGAAAACATTTTGGCAGTTTCTTAAAATGTTAAACAGGTATCTACCATATGACCTATGTATTTCCCAAAAGAAATGATCGCATAGGTCTACACAGACTTGTACATGAGCATTTATGACTATTTTATTTTTAATAGCCACAAATTGGGAACAACATAGATTGTTTGCAGGTGAATGGATGCAGTCCAATAGCGATTCAATCTAATCTCAAAATAGTTGTGCTAGATAACAGAAGCCAGACAAAAACAAGAGTATATATCACACAATCCATTTGTATAATGTTCTAGAAAATCCATCTTTTTTTTATTTTATTTTATTATTATTCTACTTTAAGTTTTAGGTTACATGTGCACAACGTGCAGGCTTGTTACATATGTATACATGTGCCATGTTGGTGTGCTGCACCCATCATCTCCTCATTTAGCATTAGGTATATCTCCTAATGCTATCCCTCCCCCCTCCCCCCACCCCACAACAGTCCCCGGTGTGTGATATTCCCCTTCCTGTGTCCATGTGTTCTCATTGTTCAATTCCCACCTATGAGTGAGAACATGCGGTGTTTGGTTTTTTGTCCTTGCGATAGTTTGCTGAGAATGATGGGTTCCAGTTTCATCCATGTCCCTACAAAGGACATGAACTCATCCTTTTTTATGGCTGCATAGTATTCCATGGTGTATATGTGCCACATTTTCTTAATCCAGTCTATCATTGTTGGATATTTGGGTTGGTTCCAAGTCTTTTCTATTGTGAATAGTGCCACAATAAACATACGTGTGCATGTGTCTTTATAGCAGCATGATTTATAATCCTTTGGGTATATACCTAGTAATGGGATGGCTGGGTCAAATGGCATTTCTAGTTCTAGATCCTTGAGGAATCGCCACACTGACTTCCACAAGGGTTGACAGTCCCACCAACAGTGCAAAAGTGTTCCTATTTCTCCACATCCTCTCCAGCACCTGTTGTTTCCTGACTTTTTAATGATCGCCATTCTAACTGGTGTGAGATGGTGTCTCATTGTGGTTTTGATTTGCATTTCTCTGATGGCCAGTGATGATGAGCATTTTTTCATGTGTTTTTTGGCTGCATAAATGTCTTCTTTTGAGAAGTGTCTGTTCATATCCTTCGCCCACTTTTTGATGGGGTTGTTTGTTTTTTTCCTGTAAATTTGTTTGAGTTCATTGTAGATTCTGGATATTAGCCCTTTGTCAGATGAGTAAGTTGCAAAAATTTTCTCCCATTTTGTAAGTTGCCTGTTCACTCTGATGGTGGTTTCTTTTGCTGTGCAGAAGCTCTTGAGTTTAATTAGATCCCATTTGTCAATTTTGGCTTTTGTTGCCATTGCTTTTGGTGTTTTAGACATGAAGTCCTTGCCCATGCCTATGTCCTGAATGGTAATGCCTAGGGTTTCTTCTAGGGTTTTTATGGTTTTAGGTCTAACATGTAAGTCTTTAATCCATCTTGAATTAATTTTTGTATAAAGTGTAAGGAAGGGATCCAGTTTCAGCTTTCTACATATGACTAGCCAGTTCTCCCAGCACCATTTATTAAATAGGGAATCCTTTCCCCATTTCTTGTTTTTGTCAGGTTTGTCAAAGATCAGATAGTTGTAGACATGCGGCATTATTTCTGAGTTCTTTTCTAAAGTGCAGAGTCAGTGGCTGACTGGGAATCAGGGGGAGGTGGGGAGTGGCAGGGGGCAGGGATTATAAAAGGATATGAGAAAATTTGGGGGTGATGGATGTGTTTATGTTCATTAGCTTAATTGTGGTGATGGTGTCATTGGTGCATTCTCATGACAAAACTTATCAAATTATATACTCCATGTGTAGCTTATTTTATGTAGTTCAATAAAGCTGTTAAAAATTAATATTTCTTATATTTGTATATGTTATAATTTTGTTCATTTTGTACTGACAATTGAGAATTAATTCTGAGACTACTTCTTTAGTTCAGCCTGTGACCTTTTTCCTGAGAGAGTCTTTTCCTGTTAACATTTAGCTATATGGATTGTAATATTGTTTGTTTATGGAACTCATTTTTATTGATTACTCAGCACTGTAGCAGGCATTGGGAAATAAAAAATGAGGTGTAGAAATATATTCATGCCTCATGGACCTTTGATCTAGAGATTTGTAATCATACATTTGCAAGCATCTCTAAAGAATATAAGAAGTTTAGGGGCCAGGCGTGGTGGCCCATGCCTGTAATCCCAGCACTTTGGAAGGCCGAAGCGAGTGGATCACCTGAGGTCAGGGGTTCAAGAGCAGCCCAGCCAACATGGTGAAACTCCGTCTCCACTGAAAATACAAAAATTAGCCTGGCGCAGTGGCGCGTGCCTGTTATCCCAGCTACTCAGGAGGCTGAGGCAGGAGAATCGCTTGAACCCGGGAGGCGGAGATTGCGGTGAGCCGAGATTGCGCCATTGCACTCCAGCCTGGGCAACAGAGTGAGACTCCATCTGAAAAAAAAAAGGTTAGGAAATGGTGGAATTTATGTTGCCTAAAAACATTACAGCATATTAGAAGGAATAGCTTAAGTTTTTCTTGCTCTGGGACAAGGGCACGTTTCTGAACCTGAAGTCCGTCTGTAAAACGGGGGACCTTCCCTCATAAAATATTAAGGTGGTAGCTGGCTGAGTGCAGTGGCTCACATCTGTAATCCCAGCACTTTGGGAGGCTGAGGTGAGTGGATCGCTTGAGCCCAGGAGTTTGAGACCAGACTGGACAACATGGTGAAACCTCATCTCTACAAAAAATACAAAAATCAGCCTGGCACGGTGGCATGTGCCTATAGTCTCAGCTACTTGGTAGGCTGAGGCGGGAGGATCACCTGAGTCTGGGAAGTCAAGGCTGCAGTGAGCCATGATCACACCACTGTCTCAGAAAAAAAGATAGCATCTTAACGTATCCAGAACAATGCCTACTATGTTACATACCTAACAGTGACAGGCATACCTTGGAGATACTGCAGGGTTGGTTCCAGTGTACTGTGATGAAGCGAATGTGGCAATAAAGTGAATCACACAAATTTTTTGATTTCTCAGAGCATATAAAAATTATACTTAACACTATAATGCCATTTATTAAGTGTGCAATAGCAATGTGTGTACATGCCTTTATTGCTAAAAAATGGTAACAATTATCTGAGCCTTTAGTGAGCTGTAATCTTTTTGCTGGTGGAGGTCTTGCCTTGATTTTGCTAAAGGTTGCGTGACCGTGGCAATTTCTTAAAATAAGACAACAGTGTAGTTTGCCATATTGATTGACTCTTCCTTTCACAAAAGATTTCTGTGTAGCATGTGATGCTGTTTGACAGCATTTTACTCACAGTAGAAGTTCTTTCAAAATTGAAGTCCATCCTCTCAAACCCTGCCTCTGTTTTATCAACTAAGTTTATGATATTCTAAGTCCTTTATTGTCATTTCCACAATGTTCACAGCATCTTCACCAGGGTAGATTCCATCTCAAGAAACCACTTTCTTTGTTCATCCCTAAGAAGCAGCTCCTCGTTCATTTCAAGTTTTATCATGAGATTGCAGCAATTCAGTCACATCTTCAGGATCCACCTCTAATTCCAGTCCTCTTGCTATTTTTACCACATCTGCAGAGACTTTCTCCACTGACATCTCAAACCCATCACTTCCAAACTCCAGGTGAGGTTGATATTTTGACCTCCCATGAATCACAGATATTCTTAATGGCATCTAGAATGGTGCATCCTTTCCAGAAGGTTTTCAGTTTACTTTGCACAATCCATCAGAGGAATCTGTAGCAGGTATAGCCTTACAGAATGTATCTTAAATAATATGACTTGAAAGTCAGAATTACTCCTTGATCCATGGGCTACAGAATGGATGTTGTGTTAAGGCATGAAAATATTGATCTTTTTAAACATCTCCACCAGGGCTCTTTCATCTCCATCAGCAGGTGCATTGTCAATGAGCAGTAGTATTTTGAAAATCTTTTTTTTTTTTTTTTTTGAGTAGCAAGTCTTAACAGTAGGCTTAAACTATTTAGTAAACCATGCTGTAAACAGATGTGCTGCCATCCGGGCAGGTTTGTTGTTCTTGTTTATAGACCACAGGCAGAATGGGCTTAGGATAATTCTTAAGGGTTTTAGGATTTCTGGAATGGTGAATGAGCACTGGCTTCAACTTAAAGTCACTTTCTGTATTTGCCCCTAACAAGTGAGTCAGCCTGTTGATTGAAGCTTTGAAGCCAGACATTGAACTTGTCTCTGGCTATGCAAGTCCTAGATGGCGTCTTCTTCCAGTGTAAGGCTGTTTTTGTCTACCTTGAAAATCTGTTGTTTTGTGCAGCCACTTTCATTGATGGTCTTAGCCAGATCTTCTGGAGAACTTGCTACAGCTTCTCCATCAGCACTTGCTGCTTCACCTTGCACTTTTATGTTATGGAGGTGGCTTCTTTCCTTAAACCTCATGAACCAACCTCTGGTAGCTTCAGACTTTTCTTTTGGAGCTTCCTCACCTCCCTCAGCCTTCATAGATGTGAAGAGTTACAACCTTGCTCAGGCTGTGGCTTTAGGGAATGTTGTGGCTGGTGTGATCTGTCCAGAGCACAAAACCTTTCTCCATATCAGCAGTAAGGCTGTTTTGCTTTCTTGTCATTTGTGTGTTCACTGGAGTAGCACTTTAATTTCCTTTAGGAACTTTTCCTTTGCATTCACAACTTGGCTAACTGGCATAAGAGGCCTAGCTTTCAGCCTATCTCATTTTTTGACATGCCTTCCTCACTAAGCTTCTAGCTTTTGATTGAAAGTGAGAGATGTGTGAGTCTTCCTTTCATTTGAACACTTAGAGGACATTGTAGGATTATTACATGGCCTACTTTCAATATCGTTGTGTCTCAGGGAATGGGGAGGCCCTAGGAGAAGGAGAGAGATGAAGGAACAGCCAAGCAGAGGTGCAGTCAACACACACAATATTTATTGATTAAGTTTGGCATCTTTTATGGGCACAATTTGCAGCGCCCCCAAACAATTAACATAGTAACATCAAAGATCACTGGTCATAGATCATAACAGATGTAATAATAGTGAAAATGTTTGAAGTATTGCAAAAATTACCAAAATATGACATGGAGAAATGAAGTGAGCACGTGGTATTGGGAAAATGGCACAGATAGACTTGTTCACCACAGAGTTGTCACAAACCGTCACACGGTATCTGCAAAGCACAGTACAGCAACATGCAATCGGCTTTAGGTATACTTGTAGTAGATAACTTCTTTTTTTTTTTTTTGAGATGGAGTCTCGCTCTGTTGCCCAGGCTGTAGTGCAGTGGTGCAATCTCGGCTCACTGCAACCTCTGCCTGCTGGGTTCAAGCAATTCTCCTGCCTCAGCCTCCTGAGTAGCTGGGACTACAGGTGCGCACCACCATGCCCAGCTAATTTTTTTTTTTTTTTGTATTTTTATTAGAGACAGGGTTTCACCATGCTGGCCAGGCTGGTCTCGAACTCCTGACCTCGTAATCTGCCTGCCTCGGCCTCCCAAAGTGCTGGGATTACAGGTATGAGCCACCATGCCCGGCCAGTAGATAACTTTTAAAAATGTTTTTTTAAAAAGACTATGAGATATTTAATTGGAATAAAACTATCTTGTGTAAAATGAATATAATTCGTGACACACTGACCTTTATCTTTCATAACACAAATGATTTGAAACGGTCATGTATTTTTCACCACGCCTAAATAAAGCAATAGATTAACAACCATGGTTCTCTAGCCTACTAAAGAATAATAATAATGTAATTTACATAATACTAATTATTGTTATACCCCACATATCTGAAAGTAACTTACTTGGAAACCATAAAGAAGAGAAAATGCTGTTGAGCAGGCAAAAGAGAGGCCAAAGACCATGCACTTTAGGTTATGAATTGGACCTGGAAGGTACAGCTTTGATCCAGGTCAATTTATTCTTTAGATACAACTTTTAAAAGTTGCGTATATGATACCTTTACCCATAGGCTGTTGGGGGAGGGAAGAGATTGTTCCTGGACACATGCTCATTTCTAGTAACAAAAACCAGGAGCCAATACACTTGGTAGAAAGAAGATGAAAGGGAAAACTAGCAAGCGAGCCTGGAGTCTCAGGAAGGATGGTAGTTTGGTGTGGGAGCTGATAGCACTGTTACTAGTAGCCTCTGGTGCTGTAACTTAAAAGCAAAAATTAATTAAATGCTTATTTTATGACAGGCATTGTGTCAGTTGTTGTACGTGCATTATTTAATGCTTACCAATGTCTACAGACCCGTCATTAGCCATATTTGATAGATGAAGAACCTGTGATTTAGCAATGTTGTCACATAGAAGTGCAGCAGGACGTGCACCCAGGTCTGCCTAGAACTCAATTGTGTGCATGCAGCCATCGTTCTGTATGCTCTTCCAGTAATTAGCACAATAAAACAATTGACTCTAATTATACTCTTTTTGAATAAAGAAAACAGAATGTTTGGCTTTTTTTAAAGGCTGGAAAATATAAAATTATTTACATTTTTTAAAATTTAAAATTTTTAAAAATTTTAAATAGTTCAAATTGCAGTTTTTCCACTAAAAGATGTTAAGATATTGTTTTATAAAAGATTTTACTTTCTACAAAGATAAATGTACATTGTAAATTTGTTAAATCCATGTAGATTTTTGAATAAGAAACTGTGAGTTGATTTTATTATATTACCTTGTCTACTAAAGGAAGTGAATCTCCCCAGCTGACCCGTATTAATTGCTAAATTAATTGTGTTTGTTTATACTCCATGCTATTCCAAAGGACATTAGGACAGTTACAAACCTTTATGTTTATTCAAAACTGCAGTAGTTAGGGACGGCTCTGCTCCCTGTGCCCACTGCCAGCTCAGAGGTAGTCTCTGCATGCAGCTCTGCAGCGTGAGCAGCTCTGAGAGCAGAGGGGTTGTGTTTCTTCATCACCACATCTCCACTGCTTGGAAATGAAGGTGTTGAGAAAGCATTAGTTGCCTACTTTCAAAAACATTGAATTATAATGGCAAACAGTTCATTGAATTTATCCTTGACGTAAATTTTATCTTTGACTCTTGATTTTATAAACTTTTGTAATGATTATCACCATCATTTTGAAACTCAGTTTTAAATTTTATTTTTTTACCTGTAAAAAATATGATCTGACATGTTGGGCCAAATACCCTCCCAATGACATACCTAACAGGGCTCTGTCTTTTGCTAAATCTGTTCTTATTTTACTTGCCATTTTGTGCCAGGGAGGAAAAGGTCACTTAAGATTGCCAGTCTCTGTGACTTTTTCTTTCCCACTTGGAATTGTTTACCAAAATTTCTGTGATGTAGTGATTTTTTAAAATCCTGGAATTAAGTCAGCTCTGCCACTTGGATGCTCTACAGCTGTGGCAAGTTGCATAGCCTGCTCCTCTTCTGTCATCTTGGGGCAGTAATGCTACCTGCCTCATGGGATTGCTGTGGCAAGTAAATGAGTTCGGATAATGTCTGTAAATCACTTAGAATAGTGCTTGGCACATAAGGGCTCAATAAATGCTAATTATTATTTTTAGGGTTTTTATGAGGCTTAAATTAAATGGGATTATGCATGTAAAATGTTCAGTAGAGTATCTGGCATTTATTAGGGGCTCAATAAATGCTAGTGGCTCTAATTTAAATATTCCGGTGCCTATATGTCTAAAGAGGCTGTGCCTTTGGATCTCTGCACACGTCATATTTTTAGTGAATTTACTTTAGGGCATGGAAAAAAACATTAGTTTCTATACTGACTTTTCCCAATAGGTACAAGTTACAATGTTAAAAAAATTTAAATAAATACATACTATAATTATTTTATGATTTCTAAGTTTAGGTCATTTGTTACTTTTTGTTTATTTTTACTATTTAAAAGTATAGATCTTGATTAATACCACAATTTCAATATCTAACCTGTTTTTCTTCTTTTCTTGTTACCCTTTTTATAGGTTTGTGGAATCTTGCTTCCCTTTTTTCCAACCTTTGTTTATTTGTATTGATGCCCTTTGCCTTTTTCTTTCTGGAATCAGAAGGCTTTGCTGGCCTGAAAAAGGTAAGTGAATCTAGTATTGGAATTAAATTGGTTAAGTGAGGAATTAAATATCATTCACATTGAACTAGAAAAAGCAGACTTAAATTATTTAAATGGAATATAAAAAATGCGTAGTAAATAATATTGATAACACATTGTTAACAATAACAGTAATTCTGCATATTGAATTACTTTGCATGTCCATGAGAGAGAGACATCTTTTAGACCTGTGAGTACTTTTACAGTATGCATACATCTAGTGTAATGGATAAACCTGATATAATAGCTTTTATTCTTTCCTTAGGGTATCTTATTTAGTTTAAGGTGACAGTAAAGTGTTATTTCCATGGGCTCCCCTTTCTGTTATCTAGCTGTTATTCCATACGTTAACAGTCTGCAGCTGAAAACTGACAGCTGATTTCACATTTAGTAAATATACCAGGATCAGAATGAATGACTCTGGCAGTCAAACCTGACATTAAGAAAACTGGCTTTTATGCATTGGAATTTAAAAAATCATGATGTATTCTTAAGACAGGCAATTAAAATTTAGTCAATGGCCGGGTGCAGTGGCTCACACCTGTAATCCACCACTTTGGGAGGCTGCGGCAGGAGGGTTGCTTGAGGCCAGTTTTTCGAGACCAGTTTGGGCAACACAGTGAGACCCTGTCTGTACTAAAAATAAAAAAATTAACTGGGTGTGGCGATGGGTACCTGTGGTCCCAGCCCCTCTGGAGACTAAGGTGGGAGGATTGCTTGAGCCTGCAGGTTGAAGCTGTGGTGTGAGCTGTGATTGCGTCACTGCACTCCAGCCTGTCTCAGAAACAAACAAAAACCAAGAATAAACAACAAGAAGAAAGGAGGTCATTGTAGACTCTTGAGAAGGCAATTTCTGTAGAATTTTGGAAACATAACTTTTGATGGATATTCATTCATTCAACAGAGAATGAATTTTATTGAGAATTCAGTTTTATTAACCAATTCCTTAAGTAGCAGTTATTATGCTCTTTATAGGAGCTTGCTGGGGACACAGATGAAAAGATGGGCCTCTGGCCTTCAAGGGTCGGACAGTGGGAGAAATGACAGATGTAAACAAATAAGATGCAGTTTGAAGCCCTTTTATATAATGAAGTCCTATGGGAAACCCTGAAAGGAAAGGATATCTTGATTTTCCTGGGGAATCTGAGCAGGCTTCACAGGGGAAGTCAATCTGGACTTGGGCTGGGACTTGAAGGATGAGCAGGGGTTTGCTAGAGTGTGGCATTCCAGGCTTGAGCAAAGGCCTAGAGCTCTGACAGTATTGAGGGAATGGCCGGTACTTAGATACTGGAGAATGGTGAGAGATGAGGGTGCACAAGCCGCTTGCCAGGGTCGAATTCTGGAGGCCTGGAGTCCTCCATCTGGTCATTTGAGTTTTATGTTGTAGGCAACAGAGAAGCCAGAATAGGATTTTTGAAAATAATTTTTTTTCATCTACCACTTGAGTATATTTAGAGATAAATATGCATTTTAGACTTTGTGCAGGTCACAAAGGAAAGGAGTACAAAGGAGTACATGCCCCACACAGTGCAGAACACTGATCTGTAGACACGGCACCGAATCAGTCCTGCACCTGACTCTGTGACATTGCCTGCCGACGTTTGCTTTCAATAAGCAAAGTTCTTCCCTCTTCCTGACACTACCTCTTGTGTAATAGTACCACATACAAAAAACAAATGATAAAGCTTGGTGTGAACTATATTTTCATATTTGACATTATAAACAGTATCTACCTAATTTATACTTTTTATAACAATCTAGTTGAATAGATTGTTATTTACAATAACAGGGTGTAATATGGACAAACTCTTTGCCTCCAAGTTATTTTCTTCCCTTCTTGTGAATTAACCAACTAGGAAAGGGACTTGGCTAAATCTGTTTGAAGAATTAGCAACAATCTCCAGAATTAAAAAAGAAAAAAATGACAAAAAATCCCAGTGACATGTCATTTTTCTCCTGTTCCCCCTTACAGACTTAAGGTCAAAGGGAGAATCAGCTGAGGAGGGATCATAGAAGTTAATTAGAGATATTTCACACATACGATTGTACAGCACTTACTTCCTCTATTTTAAAAAAATTTTTAGTCTTTTTATACATGATTAATATTCTTTTCTTAGCACATCTTTGACCATGTTAGTTGCCTAAAAATCACTCGAGGGTCACCAGCTGTGTTTCTTGACCTCAAATGGGACTGAAATATTGAATGACTGTAGGATACAGGCAACTATGAATCCAATTAATTCCCAAACACAGCAGAAGGTGGAGCCCCGGACGACTGCCATTTGTCCAACTTGGGAAGTTGTAATAGGTGCTGCAGAAAACCAAATTAAAGAATTTGGTTGTTAATGCCGTTAAAGGAAGGAGGGAGATGGGATTCTAGCTTGAAGGTAGGGAAAGAGGCCAGCGGAAGATGGTGAAGCTGCAACCGTGAGAAAATTTGGCATCAGTCAGACTGCCTGGGAGGTGACTTCATCTAAACCGCGGGGTTGCTTTCTATAAAATGGGTGTAATAATGATCTTTACTTTATTGTATCATTTTGGTGATTAAATGAGATGTGATTATTCATGTAATGCACATAGCCCAGGACTTCATTTAGTAAATTAGCTATTATTAAATTACCTTTATCTTCGAGGTAGTCTTTAAATGCATTTGACTAATAAGTATTCTATAAAATATCACTAATCACTAATAAGTTTTCTAGAATACTTATTATCACTAAATATTCTATAAAATATGAGCCTCAGAAAGCAAGCAACTGAATACAGTACAGTCATCTTTTAATTCCTCACAGATTATTATCTCAGGCGGTTTTAAAATATGTTTCCCATTTTGCAATGGCATGTACTGAAGTAGAATAACTCAGCTTGAGCATTACAGCTAGCATACTTTGAAACAAACTTGTTTGAAGATAAGGTGTGTTCTAGATCCTAGTAGAAATGTTTAGAAAGTTTTAAAATTAAGCTAATCAAGACATGTTATTTTAAAATATTCATATTTTTCGGTTTTAAAATCAGTCACATGAAAGTTGGAAAGGTTACTAATATTGTGTCGTTAAGTCTAAATGTGTTAAGCATACATTTGAGCCCTTTCATGTTGTATATTTCTGTAGTCTAGAATCATTTGTTAACTACCTGTGTAAGTTCTAAATAACATTTTTAAAGATACATGGTTCTTTACACAGTGCTTATTAGAATTAACTTCGTTGCTTTATTGAAATTAATGTTATGATTGATCACAGTCATTAGAATGTTTAACATATTTGGCGAATAAGTACATATATTTATGTATATTCCTTTAAAGCTGCTTGCTCATCGATTACATTTGACACATATAGTTGCTGAAGTGATACTGAAGAGAGGCTAGAAACATTTCTAATGGGTAGATTCAGCGCACTAATTTGAGCAATGACAAACTTGTAATATGGTTAAGTAAAATTTCCTTTTTTTTTTTTTTTCCTGTGGCCACCCTCCTGGTGCTGTTTTACTGTGTCTAAGTCTGGTGTATCCCTAAATGGCATATGGCCCCACTCTACTCCCATGGATTCCCCTGGGCAATCGATGTTCAAACAGCTTCTTGCATATTGTGCCGAGATGCGGAAATTGGCCACTGGCCATGGGCGGATGCAGAGCTTGAATTGAAAATCAAATTAAGCAGAATTCTCTACTTAGTTTTTAATTAAACCACTATGTTAATTCAAACAGGACATATTAGGCCTGGGGGGTTGACTATGTCCTTTTAAGGGCCTTCAATAGCTTTGCTTCTCTCTTCTTACCGTGGCAGCGGTGTGTGTTTCTATTTTATTAGGACCATCTCCTTGCTATTCCCTTACTTTATAATTCTGAAGTGTAAGAGCATAGAAATGGTTTTGATAAAGTAAAAGTTTTTTTTTAGTAAGCAGCTAACTTTTATCTTGGAATTTAGACTTATTATTAGCAGTTAAATGTTTACCAAATTTAGATTATTTTGCTGTCACCTATGTGTATTGAGCTTTAGGTATGTTCATAGGTATTTGAAAGTGACTCCGTTTACATCTTAATTTTTCAACTGATAAAAAGGTTCCATTTGGTGATTTTTGTTTTGTTTTGCAGTAAGCCTGCTTTTTCTGCAGTATGTGGCTCTTAGGGCTCAGGGAACATCTTAAGGCAGCCATCACTGCTGTGCTTATCATACCTCAGATTGGCTGTATGATTTATCTCCCTCCTCCACTCCAGAAAAGACCTCCAGGTTATCTGGATTAATATCAGAGATGTTTTCTGATTTTGTAAGGAACTCTGGAGGTATAACCTCTGGCCAGTGTTTAAATGGTAGTTAGGCATATATTTGTTTTATATTATATCTTAACATCTTATTTTGAATAAAAATGTCAGGAGGAAAAAAAATTCAGCAACTTAATGAAAGTGGGAGAAAATATCTCCATATGATTGTTATGTAAAATTTATGACAGATTAATTCATAAACCCAAGATTTTTCTGGGAGTAAATTTCTATTGTACTTAACTTTAATGCCTATGTTTGATTTGAAGTCATAGCATAAAAGGTAACATAAGCAACATCCTGACCAATTATCCAAACCATCCAGACATCCCTGAATGGCCAGAGCGTAGCACACGGTCTGTAGGATTAAGAGGTTAACTCCTATAACTTCAAACAAAGTGCCTGATAATAAAAGCAAAAAGTACAAAATTTTAGGTAACTTCCTTTCTTAATTAATTGGACTGACCAGGTGGAAGCGAAGAGTTCTGTGCTGGTGCTTGGAATGTCTATAAAGCTGAGCAACATGACAGCACAATAGAGGAGGAACAAAGATTTTTTTAATATGTTTCTATCCTGTGTCACAGTTTGAAATTGTCCTGGTTTATGTCCCTTTTGGCAAACTTACATAAAAGTGACCTTGTACTGTATTTTATGACCAGATGACTTTTTCCCCCCAGTGGCTAATTTGTATCAGGCCTCCATCTTAAAGAGACACAGAGTGAGTAGGAAGTCCAGCCTCTGTCTCCACGAGCTTTCATTGCATTCTTTCATTATTTTTGCTCGTTTTTTGCCACTGATGATCCATAAATTGTTGGAAATGAGTGATTAAGGAAGTGCTGCTTAGTGTTAGTGGCACATGCGCATATTTGGCCTGGTTCTGGTGGGTGAGAGGAAATCACAGACAAAAGGGAAGCCCCTGCTGGGAACCCTGCAAGGAAATTTAACTTGGGTCATGTTTTGATCTTAGTGTTTATTACAGAAAATGAAGCCATATCTCACTAACTATTGTTACGTGTTAATTTGATTTTCCCAACACCTTCAAGAAAAAAAATCATAGAGCAATTTATTAATAGAAATCCTCTACAATCCCCCAATTGAGAGCACTAGTTTTTACCTTAGAAATGGTTATGGATCAGAATGATTATTTTGAAAATACTCTATTCTGATAATGCTGTGATACTTCAGCTTCCTTTTGGAATTGTTTTACTGTAAAGGTGTGGTTATAACCATGTAAAGTGAGCATTTGAAACATCAAATCTGGGCGTATGGGAACTCAGAAAGAAATAGGAAAGTATTATTTTGAGGAAAAGAGTAAATACATTTATTTCATTTAAAAATCATTAGAGGTTATAAAAATTTTGAATTGAAAATCATTTAGTTCAGGAAATGACATTAATTTTGTCACTGTTCTTAATACAGTTGGATCTAGGAGGGCACTAAATTATGGCTTTATAGTATCTGTTACTGTTAAGTAACAGCTTTTTTTAAAAACATCACTCAGTTTCCATATACACTGTAATGGTATACTTTGAATTGAACCCTATATAGTATGTTCATCTTTGCCTCTCAGTATTGAAAAATGATAAATTTCTATACTTAAAGGCTAGATTGTCTCTTTATTTGCATAACAGTGGCAAAAAATGTGAACTTTGGAATTCAGAATACCTGGACTTCAATCTTCACTCTTCTTACTGACTGTGACTTAGGGCATATTTCATTGTGTCCACATTTATAAAATGAGTCTAACAGTACCTGTCTACCAGGGTTGCTGAGGGATTTAGTAGCCTCACCTAAAAGGTTGGTAAAGTACCCAAGACACATTTTAAATAGCAGTTATTATTAGGTGCTTAAATGCACCAACTATGTTAAAGCTGATGATGAAACATCAGGAGAACTTGTGTAGGATTACTTTTTATATCTAACAGCAAAGTGACATGAAAAATTACATTGGTATTGACATATTCAGCTTTTATTTTATTTTTTGAAATAGGATCTGTTTTAGAACAGTATAGGTTGTAAAAAAATAGGTATTTGTTTAATAGATAACTAAACTTCAAACCCTTTTATATGATGATTAAATTACTAACTAATGTCTCATAATGTTTGATAGTTCAGGCCTCTGTTTAAATGAAGAAAAGCTTTGGCAGAGAGGAAACAGAAAGTTACCAAGTACAGATTTTAAAGTAATTATACTTTAAATTAAACTGGCTGTAATACTACTCCAATACTCATGAAACAGTTTTATAGAAATAGTCATTGTTAATTAGAGTATCTTTTCTAAAAGTTTTTGGGGGGAATAGAAAACTACTCACCCTTGGTTGGAATAAACTTTATTTGAAAGGAAAATTAAATGTCAGATTTAGTGCTACTAGAGAGCTTCTTAAGTCATTAGGATACCACAGGCCTGCAGGACAAGAGCTCACCAGAGAGGCTAGGGGTTGAATTGTTACAATCTTAGATTTATTTGGCACTTAAGCTCATATTTATTCATGTATAAAATCATTTATTCAGTGGGTCACAATGTTGATCTTTGATCTATGAAACGTTTGTCAATATATAACTGAACCTTGGTACATTAATTTACAGTCCATTTATTTGTCATTTAGTATACCAGAAATAGAAGTTGTGTATTTATACACATCAAAGGCAGTAAGATTGTTTGATAGTTTGACGTTAGGTAATATTTTAGCCTGTGATAAATCTACTTTTCTTTAAAACTTAAGTCACTAACATGATACGACTTAAATATTTATTGGTTTGCACATTTTACGTTAAAGAAAGGAAATTCTCATCGAGAAAGACAAGGTTGTATTGTTCTGAAGTGACTGAATTCTAAAGCAACCGAAACATTAAAAAATATGTATGTGAATGTGTCTTCTTTTAGGGATTAAAAATAAGATCAGCAGGCAAAAACGGAAAAAATAAGGACACACTAACAGTAGAAAAAGTTAGGATTCAATATATTGAAATGATCAGTTTTATGGAAAACATTTATTCTATTCGTAGCACAGAGGAAGAAGAAATTTTAAGTTGTTTTATAATGCTAGATTTATTTATTTATTTATTTTTAGAGACAGAGTCCTGCTCTGTCACCCAGGCTGGAGTGCAATGGCGAGATCTTGGCTCGCTGCACCTCCATCTCCCGGGTTCAAGTGATTCTCCTGCCTCAGCCTTCCAAGTAGCTGGGATTACAGGTGCCCACCACCACGCCCGGCTAATTTTTGTATTTTTAATAGAGACGAGGTTTCACCATGTTGGCCAAGCTGCCCTTGAACTCCTGACCTCAGGTGATCCACCTGCCTTGGCCACCCAAAGTGCTGGGATTACAGGCGTGAGCCATTGTGCCCAGCCAATTTATACCAAATGATTCTCAGATCTCCTAGAAATTACAGAAGGTTTTCTGCAGTTTCATTCTGTAAATATACCTCGTACTATTTCTTATTTTTTTAAATAAAAATCAATATTATATATTTATGAGTATTTTTTTTTTCTTTAAAACAAGATATGTTGAGAGCCTGTGAATGTGGGGTTTGGTGAGTACGCCAGGTATTAGTAGAGGGCAGGGGAGAATGCTCATGATTTCAGTGCTTGACTCAGCTGAACTGGACAAGCCATAGGCGTGGTTTTGAGCTGTTTTCTATTTTAAAAAATTCCTAGTCATAGATTGCTTAACTAATGCCTATAATGGATAGTTGGTTAAGTATCATAAATAAAAGGTACACTGATGTTTAAATACAAGGTAACGAAGAGCATACTAATAGTAACAATACAGATAGTAAAGTTCTGTCCAAGTTAATCTTCACTAGATCCTGTATTTGGCTGATCAAAACTGTTTTTTTTCTTTTAAAGAAATGGGGTTTTGCTATGTTGCTCAGGCTGGTCTCCAACTCCTGGCCTCAAGCAGTCCGCCCACCTTGACTTCCCAAAATGCTGGGATTCCAGGCTTGAGCTACTGTACCCGGCCTTATGAAAACTTTCGTATAGCACATCAGGATGGCCCTAAAACCTTAAAATTAATGCCACACAGAGGAAATGGAGTACTAGGCCAGGTATGGTGGCTCACACCTATAATCCCAGCACTTTGGGAGGCCAAGGCAGGTGGATTACCTGAGGTCAGTTTGAGACCAGCCTGGGCAACATGGTGAAACACTGTCTCTACTAAAAATATAAAAATTAGCCAGGTGTGGTGGTGGGCACCTGTAATCCCAGCTACTCAGGAGGCTGAGGCAGGAGAATCGCTCGAACCTGGGAGGTGGAGGTTGCAGTGAGCCAAGATCGTGCTGTTGCACTCCAGCCTGGGCGACAGAGCGAGACTCCGTCTCTAAAAAATAAAAGAAAAAAAGATCCAGTTATATCTAGTTTGACTTTATTGAAAATAGACAACTTAGACATGGAATGTTACTTACTGAGAAATATTTATCACTTATTGGGAAATAACTCCTTGAAATGTTTTCTTATTTCAGCATGTAGAAATAACATGGAAATTATAAAAAATAAATCAGGGTTTTAGAAGTTCAGCAGATTAGAGTTTCAAAAATATTGTTAAATTGTCATGCAAAGAGAAATTTTGGTCTTTGTATTTTCTACATCAGGCTTTATTTGAGCCTGATTATATATGTTTGTTGTCACCTCATGAGTTTTTTTTACATAGTTGGTTTAAAGGAAGTTAAACAGCACATCCTATTGTAAAATAGGACCTTGTCAAAAATATAACTATATAACAAGCAGCCTGTATTATTAAGTACATAGATAAGTTCTCAAGAAAGCCAGAAAAATCTCTGAGTATTTGAAGAACAACAAACAGGAACAACAAAACCCCAAGAGTAAGTGAATAAGCCAGGCTATGGTTTCCTCAGCAGGGGAGAGAGGGTGGTCACAAGGTAACGTGGGACCTTTAGTTTGGGAAAAATGAGGTTAGAGGCACATAGAGACTAGGAGTCAGAACTGAGGCTCAGTAAGAAGCGCTCAGGCAAAGGGCAGATTTTAAAGCATGCGCACACCTTGCCCATTGATAGAGGAAGACTGTCAGCCTTAGCTCTGGGCAGAAGAAAGTCTCCCCTGCGAGCTCATCTGTAGGCGCTGACTTCCCAAGAGTTTGCGGCTAATATTACTATAGATACCTGTATTGTTGGAAAATCCTAAGCCAAGAAAATAGCATTAAAGTTGATTAAAAATGTTATGTATAATTTAATCATTTTAATCAAATATATATTAGGTAAATTTTGATTAGAAAGGGTATATATATAAAGATATAATTAAGGCTGGTTTTAGAAAGTTGATTTATTATAATTTAAGATTCATAATATATATGTTTGACTTGGTCCTACTTAACCATGTCACATGCTGTTTAATTTTCTTTAAATTAATTGTGTGAGAAAACTCAGGACTTGATAACAAACATTATATAAGCAGGCCCAAACAAAACCTGATTTTGTTTTCTGCTAGCTTTTCTACATTTTTACACTTCAACTAAACTCTTAGTAATTTGATAGTTGGTTTCACTCTTCAAGTGTTATCATTCCTTCAAAGTTGGGATGAATAATATAGTCTATTCTATTTTGGCTACTTTGTCCTTGAGTTTTGCAAAGATCTAATATTTTCGTCTACCTGTAGCTAATTTTGTGAGGTGGTTAAAAAGAGAAAATCTAAGTTATTTTCTCTCTGTATTACTATTCAGTTATTCTAGAGCAATTTATACAATAACGTTACCCTTACCTATGATTTCTTAATATTCTTACCTATTATTAAACGTATTTTTGAACTTCTTGACTATAAGCTTGTAGCACTGGGAATCACTGCTAACCTTTTTCTTCTTTTTTCCCCTCCCTCCTTCCTTCCTTCCCTCCTTCCCTTCCCTTCCTCCTTCCTCCTTCCTCCTTCCTCCTTCTCTTCCCTTCCTCCTTCCTTCCCTTCCCTTCCCTACCTCCTTCCTTTCCTCCCTCCTTCCTTCCTTCCTTCCCTCCCGGCCTCATTCCTTCTTTCCCTCCTTCACAGCCTCCCTCCTTCCCTCCCTCCCTGCCTCCCATCTATACCTTTCCTTGGACATTTTCCCATAGATTTGATCCCATTTATTTGCTGTCTTTTAGGAACTTCTCAATGTCACTAGTCTGCTGGTGCTTCTGTCCTCTGGCATAATTAAATCATTCAGTTAATATTTATTGGTGGCTTATTGCATGCTAGGTACTATTGTTAGTGTTAGGGACATGTAGATTGGTGATTTATTGTATATTTCTCTCATCTTTTATGCTAAAAAGTGTGTGTTGTGAGACCCATCATCTTGAACTAATGACTCCTCTTCTACCTGTTAGCTTTACTGACCTTTTATCTGGAACATAGTAGTAGTTCAGTTCTTTATTAACTTTTTTGCATTCTTTGGCCTTGTTTCCACCTCTGGGAAGATTCAGATTGTCTCTGCTTGAATCTGCTCAGATTTATTCTACAGGTATGGAGCCCAAGTCTTTTCTTCTGTCCTTTGCTCTGTAGCAAACAGGGCAAAGCTTTGTAGTTGTGTCAGTCTCTCCTGACCTTAAGGTTCTGTTGAAGGAAGATTTTTTTCCAAGGCAGCGTTCAGAAACTCCTTCTCAAGGTTGCAAGATGATTCCTATAAGTTTGCGAGCCACTGCTGAATACATCCGTATGTCAGGATTCTTAGTGTTTACCTCTCCTGGGTCTTATTTGGCTTGCGTGAAGCATATTACACTGATGGTTTTGGTTACTTTTACTGTTTAGCTTGCCTTCTATTGCATTTTCGTTAATATTCTAATTTTTACAATTTTATAGAACTCCAGTTAACCCCAAATCATATTGGGTTTTGTTTGTTTGTTTGTTTTTGTGTTTTTTGAGACAGAGTCTTGCTCTGTCATCCAGGCTGGAGTGCAGTGGTGCAATCTTGGCTCACTGTAGCCTCTGCCTCCCGGGCTCAAGTGATTCTCCTGCCTCAGCCTCCCAAGTAGCTGGGATTACAGGTGTATGCCACCGTGCCTGGCCCCAAATCATGTTTTGTATCATTCCAAAGTACCTGTCAACATTTGTACTTGGATTATTGTTTTACTGTAATTAGTGTGTACTTATATTTTATGTCCTTCTTACTTTAACAGTTCATCTTGTGTACATATATTTTTCTGGTGCCGGGAAAAATTGTCCAAGACTTGGAACTGGGCAAAAGAGATGCAGATGTCTGTTAGTGGAGTCCTGGATGGGCAAAAGAGATGCAGGTGTCTGTTAATGGAGTCCTGGGCATTGTGTGGTAGATCCTGGGGATTATCAGGTCCTGGAGGAGTATGTGCCTTTGACTGACTTTCCACTGCCTAGGCCCTTTTACATCTGTGTAGAGTTAGAGTTACCTTGGAGGAAGTAGAGAGCAATGCAGATGAATTTTATCTAATAGAGACACAATTGACTTCCCCCGTATAAAAGATAACCCTAACATTTCATTTTATTTTCCCATAGGATATTATGCAGTTTCACAGATTGATTTTAGGATTTTTGATTGTCTGCGCTCCTCAAGTTCTCCTTTGACCTGGCTTTAAGAGAATTAAAACCATGTGGCTCTGCTACTGAAGGACATAAGGGACAGACAGAAGCAGGGTGCTGAGAAGGGAGCTGCAGTCAGCAGGCAGTGTAGCATTTGCTTTGGGCTGAAGTAGTGAACGTGGGTACTGGTGATGTGAGAGTTCATGTTAATGCTCATAAAGGTCCACCAACATACAAGACAGCTCCCAGAATTAGTCCTGCCTGCCTCCGTCCACTCTCTAGATCTATTCACTAAATTCAGTATCATCAGAGGCAGGAGATGATAGGGAGAACAAGCAGGACAAGAGTTCTTAAATACGGAGATGAACAGAGAATTCAAAGACGAACAAACATTTGAGAAAAGCCAACACCGTGAGAGGCCCCAAACTCGGTGTATTACTCAAAGAGTTAGTAGACAAAAAATATTTCAAGGAGACTTTTAATATATTATCTAGGGGATTTTCTTTAACAGAAAAACTTAAGGATATCTAGTCCTCAGTATTGCCAGAAATGCATGCTGCTGAGTCATTCTACACCATTCAGAGCTGGTTACCACTTTTAGAAGCAAGCTAGTATTATAGTGTGATGCTGTAAAAAAAAAAAAAACAGAAAAAAACCCAAAATAACAAAAAATAAACAAAATACAACAAGAAGAGTGATAATTACGAAGGTATTATCTGACAAAAAAGACTTTCATTTCTGAAGCAAATTCTACACATACACTTTGATGATGAAGTTGATGAGCTGACATGGCCTGATCTCTTACACCATTGAAGGAGCTGTCTTCTTTCTTTCCTGTTATGGGTAAGAGCAGTGTCTAGAAGGGATAGGAATGTTTTCATGCACTACCTGTACATGAGTCCTAATGAAACTGCATAGCGGCAAATAAAACTAGAAAGTCAAGCTCAGCTGAATTTAAAAATAGATTATTCAAATAAAAAAATTTAACAAGGATGCTGGGTACAAGGATTAATATATTTAAAAAAATCAATAAATACCAGCAACAAACTGAAAATCAATTATAATAGCAAGACAGCCTAAGGTATGTTGAAATAAATCTAACGAATGATATTTAAAGCCTTTATGGAAACAATAATGGAAACAAAAAATCTTATTGAAAGATGTTGGTTGGACACAGTGGCTCATGCCTATAATCCCAGCACTTTGGGAGGCTGAGGTGGGAGAATCGCAGGAGGCCAGGAGTTCGAGACTAGCCTGGGCAACATAGCGAGGCCCTGTCTCTACAAAATACAAAATAAAAAAAATTAACTGAGCCTGGTTGGTGCATGCCTGTAGTCCCAGCTTCTCGGGAGGCAAAGGTGGGAGGATTGCTTGAGCCCAGGAGTTTGAAGCTGCAGTGAGCCATGATTGTACCACTGCACTTCACTTTTGGTGATAAAGGAAGACCCTGTCTCAAAAAAAGAAAGATGTTGAAGAAAACCTAAATAAATTGATAGATATTCTGTGTTCATAATTTTTAGAGTTTTTGCAATTCTAATAAAAATTCTGCAAAGTTTTCTTATAGAATGTGACAAGCAGGTAGTAAAAATTTAATGGAAGTGCAGAAAGCCAAGAATAGCCGGAGCAATTTTGAAGAACTAGGTGATGGAACTTCCTCTATCAAATATTACAAGATAGGCAAAGAAACTGAATAGACATCCAAAGTCTATCCAAAGAAGATACACAAATGGCCAATAAGCACATAAAAAGATTATCACCATCACTAATCACTAGGGAAATGCAGATCAAAACTACAATGAGGCTAGGCCCAGTGGCTCATTCCTGTAATCCCTCCATTTTGGGAAGCTGAGGCAGGAGGATCACTTGAGGCCAAGAGTTTGAGACCAGCCCGGCCAATATGGCAAAACCCTGTCTCTAGTAAAAATACAAAAATTAGCTGGGCATGGTGGCGTGTGCCTGTAATCCCAGCTACTTGGGTAGCTGAGGCGGGAGAATCGCTTGAACCTGGGAGGTGGAGGTTTCAGGGAGCCGAGATTGTACCACTGCACTCCAGCCTGGATGACAAAGTGAGACCCTGTTTCAAAAACAAACAAACAAACAAACAAACAAAACTGCAATGAGATACCTCCTAGTAGGATGACTACTAGCCAAACCCAGAAAACAGCAAGCATTGGTAAGGATGTGGAGGAATTGGGAATATTGTGCATTGTTGGTGGAAAGGTAAAACGGAAGAGCTGGTGTGGAAAACAATATGACGATTTGTTAAAAAATTAAAAATGGAATTACCATCTGATCCAGCAATTCCACTTCTGGATATACATCTAAAAGAATTGAAGGCAGGAACTCCAACACATACATGTACACCCATGTTCATAGCAGCATTATTCACAATACCTAAATGGTGGAAGCAATCCAACTGTGTATGATGAATAATGAGTAAACCACACGTGATATATCCATACAATGAAGTATTATTCAGCCCTAAAGAAGGAAATTATGACACATGCTACAACGTGGATGAACCTTGCTAAGTTAAACAGTCCAGTCACAAAAGGACAAATTCTATATGATTCTCCTTAAATGAGATACCTATAGCATTGTCAAAGTTGTAGAAACAGAAAGTAGCATAGTGGTTGCCAGGGATTGTGTATTGGGGGGGAAGTTATTGTTTAATGGGTACAGAGTTTCAGTTGGTGAATATGAAAAGCATTCTGGAGATGGGTGGTGGTGATGGTACCATAACAGTGTGAATGTAGTAATGCCACTGAACTGTACACTTAAAAATGGTTACGATGGTGAACTTTATGTTATGCATATTTCACCACAATTTTAAAAAACGCAAATGGATGATAAACATGGCAGTGTTTTGTGGTTACCTGTGGGTAGGTTGGTGCAGAAGGTTGACTTGGTTGGGAGGATGGTCATGGTAATGTTTGTTCTAGTTGGGTAGTATATCCATGGGTATTTAATAGACATGTAAAGCTAAATAGTAAACTTTTATTTTAAAATAGAAAGGGAAAAGGGTGATTTGTATCCCTTGATGATCAGCTCACATTAGCTAAACAGAGGCTGATACATAAAACCAAATGCCAACTTGCTGATTTTCAATGGAAAAATATATAAATATATTAATAAAATACTAATATGTATGTATGCATCTGCACTGATACCTGCCCACCCAAAGTAGCTATTATTTATTGAGAGATGCAGGAAATGTGGAAACCTGGGAGAGAAGGGCCCAAAGGAGCTAACGGGGGACTAGTCTGGAGTGAGAGCAGGAAGCCGGAAGCTTTCATGTACATCTTTCCTATTTTGTTCACTGTCATAAAGGATCTTCTGTGGTGTTTTGGAATTTCTAGTGCTTTTTGTGTAAAGTATTATTTGCCACATAAGCAATATGATGTTATTACCTAAATTGTCACGTGGCATTGCTTTTTATTATATTTTAAAACTTAATATCTTTTATGTTTCACTGTAATAATAAGTAATAATGCTAATGATCTTTCTTTTGTTGTATCTTTGTTGGAGTTTGTGCCTGAGTGTTTCATGAAATGAAAGTGGATATTGGCTAAGATGGTCTTCTGCATTACAGGTTTCTTACAAGACTGAGCATTTGACCTTAGTATGAGCTTGCTTTTATGGAACTGAAAACTAACGTTCCAGTAAAAGAAGCTTTTAGGTCCTTTACTAAAATCATAGGTTTGTCTTGTTTCTTTTAAGCATTCTCCCCCACTTCCTCATTTCCATGTGGTGTTGTCTTTTGTGACTTATTTCTGTCACTGGGGAGGTGGGGGTGAAGGGTGGAGGTGAAGGGTAGGGGTGGAAAGCACAGGGCCCTGAGGGCTGACAGACCTGAATTGAAAGTGAATTCTGGCATGCAGGCAAATTATTTCACTTTTGAGTGTGAACTTTGTTATGTGTAATCAAATTTACCTTTTAATATATTGCAAAGATTCAGTAAGCACGTATAAAGCAACTAGTAGGAGCTCTGCAAGTGTTAGTTCTCATTTCTTCTTTTCTATGAATTTTGAACTGAAGAATTATTAGAACAAAAATAGAAGAAAAGAGCCTTACTAGTGAACCAGTGAATTATTTGATGTGATTTGGTGTACTAAGAAATATTTTTTTCCCAAATTCAGAATTATGTGTAAAAATTTTGATATCTAGTTACCATAGTCTTTTTATAATTCAGTTCTTTCATTTACATATTGAAAACATGTATTAATTCATTTGTAATCTGGAGGATTTTTATTTGTCTAATATCATGGGGAATTTCTGCCTACAAATTTTAATGCAATGGAGATGTTAATTCAATGAACTGGCAATGTTGGTGTTTTTATTTTAGCTTACCCCAAGCACTTTCTTTTTGTCCAGCTTTAACAGCTTGAGCATCTTATAGTTTTAATTTTTTCATCTTGTATAGACCACATTAAGTATATTTGTGTATAAAATAGACTGCATAGCATATTAATATTAAAAAACATTTCACTGTTTTACTATAGACCTTAACAAAGCTTTTCACAAAGCCGTTTTCTCTGACGTGAGACCAAAGCTTTTTCGTGTATGCTCTTAATGATTACTTGGGAGCAAAGGGAGAAATGTTTGACACTCTCTAGAGATGCTTATTTGTAGTTTTTTCATGGCTTAAAATAAAATAATTAATACCTGCTTTTATTTTCTGTTCTTTATTAGTACTTCTACCGATCTTCCCCTGATGACTGTGTATATGTTTGGTGCAATCTTGATGCCATGCTGAGCAAACCTTATTTTAATGTTACTGAGAGACCCTTTTTGTTAAGTGAAAACAATAGCTTGATATTTATTTTAAATGTTCTGTGAATGTAGAAGTTTTCCCAGGCTTCCTAATGGGTAGAGACATAGTGTATGAAGTGGTTTTTACATCCCTTACAGGAGGGCAAGATGTCCAGGCAAAACCTTGTTTAAATGTTCATCACCATAGAAACATGACAGCTTCTCCATAGAGCTTTTGTAAGTACATTGTAATTTTCACTTCATTGATGTGAATTAAATGTATAATTGACCAGCACAAAAATTCCAAGAAGCAATTATATCATAACCATTTGAGTGTAGTAGACTATCCATTTAGTTCCCATTTAAATCTAAAAGAAATCTGTGTGTCTACAAGTGTTTAGTCTTTACTAATCTATTTCATCGAATTTAACCTTTTATAATATTGAGGTTGTTGTAATTTCAAAAAATGCTGGTATGAAATAACGTGATTAATTCTATAGCTTACTCAAAACAACTCATGTTTCATTGGCAGAAAAGTACTTAATTTCAGTGGTGTTTCTAATATACTGACTGCTTATTATACTGCAATTTTAATCAGAAGGAAGGAGTTTCGCTAAAGTAATTTAAACTTAACGGGTTTTTTTGTGGGGGATGGCAGGATAAGTGTTCATACTGGGAAATAAAAATATTGTGAAGTTCATGAAATCCTGGTGATATATGACATAATCTAAGCATTCAAAACTAGGTGAAGGAAGTACAGTTATTGATTAATAAATAGAAGTTCTTATAGTCCTGTGATCTTGTATTCAGGAGACTTTTTTCACTAGAGGAACAATGAAGACCTTCTTCCTTGTTTACAGTGTTTTGCCACTTTGTTGTTTGAAGCGCATTTTAATAAGTTATTCTGACATCTGGTACATCTTTTAGCTCAGTATATGCAAGAATGGAGTTGATAGGAAGCTTCCCCTCGGGGCTTTCTAGCTCCTGATTCTGACCCTTAATGGAAAAATGAGCAGTCGGCATATTTTTTGCTTATATGCTGTGCTGCTGGTGATTAATGGTGGTGATAAAAGTGCTCACAATGCTTTTCATTACTTTGTAGTCAGAATGGCATCCAAAAGTCTAACAATCTCACACATGGCATGCCATAAAGGCTGTGTTCTTGAAGCTTGGTAATATTTTTATGATCTCAAGAAAGATAGTGATAACAGCTTATAGATTTTGAGTACTTGTATATTTACTAGTGGAAGCTGAATTAACAAATGAAATTTCTGACTATAGTCTCATCATCTCTCTTCTCTCTAGCTCAAAGTTTTTGAAGGTAAAAAATTTGCCACCTTGCATTTAATGAACATATTTATCTTTTTAAAAGGTTTATGTAAAGCTCACGCATGTGGTATTTAATTGATTTTAAGTTGGACAGGTTTTGTCTCATTTAATCACAGAAAGAAAATAAAATTAACAAAAGGGAAAACTTAACTATCCTAGCCTCCCAGTGGATTAAGTCAGAATAACAGCTCTTTCTTACTATATCAGTTATCTTAATATTTCATAGGACAAGCATAATCATATTAAATAATTTTGATGGCTTGTACCGTGGCAGCCTTTTCTATTAGTATTGTTGATTTACTCTTGTAATGTAGATCGATAACTAGAAATGAGCAGATTTCTTTTTGTGAGTTATTTACTGACTTTCAAAAGAAATATTGACTAATTTGAAATAACTTTTTGAACAATTTATATGATTGACTACAGAGAGTTCTTTTGGCTAAATGTTTCTGAATGGACTGCTTAAACATGTGAGTATGTATTTCAGACAGTTCTTGTTATTATTTGTGTACCTATAATAGAAAAATCATCGTCTTGGATGGGTATGGTGGCAGTAGGAAAAGAAGGGATGAATTTGAGTTGTAATTACACAGTAGAATCAGAAGCACTTGGTGTTTGACTGGACCGAGGCTCAGGGTGTATGGTGGGGGTAGGGTATGGGGTTCAGCAGGAAAGGTAGGTGACAAGGGTGTTTCCAAAGTATCTGGCATAAACAACAAAGTGGGTAATGATGTCATGTTTTCAGGTATGTGATATTGAAGGAGGAGCAGAGATAGAGAATAAAATGATGAGTTTGGTCTTAGAATTAAGTTTAAGGTACTGGTGAGATGTCTAATGAAAGACGGCAGTTGGTGTATATGGTTCTTGGCCACAGCAGTAAGATTTGGACTAAAGATATAAACTTCAGAGTTGTTGGCTATTGGAAGAGGCAAGATCACTTAGGTAAAAACTGAGCAGTATATCTGTGAACCGTCTTCATCAGAATCAACTGAGTCACCACTTTGTGGTTGATGCTCAGGAACTGGCAGGCCCCTTGGTAATTATGATGCAGGTTGACATTTGAGAAGCACTGATATGACATGTGAGAAGATGAACATCTGAGATTGGGCCACAGGAGAAAAGGGATTCAAGGTATTTTCTTTTATAGAACGAAAGAATTAGAAATGGAAACAGTAGCTAAGGTGTAGAGGAGGGAAGGTGAGGGACTCACAGACCCCACTCAGCTGTGTCCTACTGAGGTAGAGGAAAGTCAATTGTAGTTGGAAGGAAGTAGAGGATGAGATTATAGATAAAAAAGAAAGGAAAACATTTTAAAAAATGTTGTGAAAGGCCAGGCGTGGTGACTGATGCCTGTAATCCCAGCACTTTGGGAGGCTGAGGTGGGCAGATCATGAGGTCAGGAGATCGAGACCATCCTGGTTAACACCGTGAAACCCCATCTCTACTAAAAATACAGAGATAATATTAGCTGGGCGTGGTGGCTGGCGCCTGTAGTCCCAACTACTCAGGAGGCTGAGGCGGGAGAGTGGCGTGAACCCAGGAAGCGGAGCTTGCGGTGAGCCGAGATCGTGCCACTGCGCTCCAGCCTGGGCGACAGGCGAGATTCCATCTCAAAACCAAAAAAAAAAAAAAAAGTTGTGAAAATTGCTAAAGTCAGCCAGAGATCAGTATAAAGATTGCCAAGTAGCATTGAAGGCCCACTTTGGAATGTCGTAGTAAAACTTTCTCATGATTGTATAATACAAAGTTTTTTTGACAGGGCTGGGAATCAAGGAGTAGGCGCCAGGGGATTGTTGAAGCTGGCCTGGTGGAAGCCAAAGGTTCAGGGAGCTCCAGAATATTGTTGATACTGGCTCATCATCAAAATTCACTAGTGAACCATGGGGTTGAGGCCAGGGAAGAGAAGACTGGTTGGAAGGATTAGGAGGGAACAAGGGAGTGAAGGTTCTGAGGATGTGGAGGCAGAGCTAGGCTAGGGCACTGAGGGGACAAGAAAAGACAGGAAATTGTGGACTAAGAGGGCAGTTTCAAAGTTGGAGTTCTTAGAGGTGATCCTGAGAGATGGTGGAATAGGATCAATGCATGTGTGGGTGGCTACTGTAGAATGGGAATGAATCTCACTGGAATTGAGGTGATGAGCTAGGATGTTACTTACGAGGGCAGGGGATGTGATAAGAAGTACTTGTGAACCAGGTGCTCATATCATGGAGAAAGATGGGACTGCTTCTTATAGGTTTGTAGATGGTCGGGAACAAAGTTGGGAAGAGAGTGATAGGATGGCATTAGAAGGTGGCATACATTTAATTTAGAAACACAAATGATATGTGAACTCCCAAGCCTTGGAAATTTCAGAGACAAAGGTAATAGTTTGAGTCATTATAGTGAACCATTACATTGTGTTTACTAAGAACCAGATATTGTCCTAAGCATATATATATATAAAATATATATAATTTACATATATAAAAATGTATAAAATATGTATAATTTACATATATAATATATATAACTCATATATATATAATACTCATTCGATCTTTATAACAACCCTATAAGGTAGGGGTGCTATTCATATCCTCATTTCACATGGGAGGAAACTGAGGCACAGCAAAGCTTAGTAATTCGCCCAAGGTTATACAGTAGTGGAAACAGGATTTGGACCCAAGCAATTTACTTCTGGCATTGGGGCTCTTAACCAGCCTAGTATGTCTCATAAACTGAAATCAGATCTATTTTTTAAAAGCTTTTTTGGGTTCCAGTCTCTTGGAAGTTACTTCTTAAGAAAAAATTAAAAATTAAAAAGAACATTAGTTGGTACTCTTACTACATAAGTCATACACACCCACTCTAAAAAATTCAGAAAAAAACAGAAAAGCATAAAGTATAATGGAAGAATTATTCCCTATAATTGTAGTTCTAGAGATAAGACTGTTAATTATCCATGTTCACATATTTTTTCTAAATGTATTTTTAAAAATAGGTCATACTGTTTATGCAGTGAGGTTATATTATGAACATTCACCATGATTTAAGATATAATGTCTTACGCTATGGAAGTATAATAATTCATTCATCTGTTTTTTTACAATTAGAGGTGGAGGTTGTTTAGTTTGTCAATGTATGTGTGCATGTGTGATCTTTTAAAATATTTGGTAAAATTATTTAGGAAGATCTTCATTTTTTATTTTTATTTTTGAGACATAGTCTCACTTCGTCGCCCAGGCTGGATTGCAGTGGCTTGACCTCGGCTCACTGCAACCTCCTCCTCCCAGGTTCAAGTGATTCTCCTGCCTCGGCCTCCTGAGTAGCTGGGATTACAGGCGTGTGCCACCACACCCAGCTAATTTTTGAATTTTCCGTAGAGATGGGGTTTCTCCATGTTGGCCAGGCTGGTCTTGAACTACTGACCTCAAGTGATCTGCCCACCCGGGCTTCCCAGAGTGCTGGGATTACAGGCGTGAGCCACCGTGCTTGTCTTCGTCACCCAGGTTGTAAGCATAGTACCTGATAGATAGGTAGATCCTTCCCCTTGTCCCACCGTCCACCTTCAAGTAGGCCCCAGTGTCTGTTGTTCCCTTCTTTTCGTCCATGTATACTCAATGTTTAGCTCCCACTTACAGGGGAGAACATGCACTGTTTGGATTTCTATCCCTGCATTAGTTCGCTTAGGACAATGGCCTCCAGCTCCATCCATGTTGCTGCAAAAGACATGATCTCATTCCTTTTTTTTGAGATGGAGTCTCGCTCTTGTCACCCAGGCTGGAATGCAGTGGCACAATCTTGGCTCACTGCAACCTTCACCTCCCAGGTTCAAGTGATTCTCCTGCCTCAGCCTCCTGAGTAGCTGGGACTACAGGTGCCCGCCACCACGCCCGGCTAATTTGTGTATTTTTAGTAGAGATGAGGTTTCACCATGTTAGCCAGGTTGGTCTTGAACTCCTGACCTCAGATGATCTGCCCACCTCAGCCTCCCAAAGTGCTGGGATTACAGGTGTGAGCTGTCTCACCCGGCTGATCTCATTTGTTTTTATTGCTGCATAGTATTCCATGGTGTATATGTACCACATTTTCTTCATTCAGTCTGCCCTTGATGAGCATATAGGTTATTCCATGCCT
The DNA here is from genome assembly GCF_000001405.40 of Homo sapiens. Lineage (NCBI taxonomy): Eukaryota > Metazoa > Chordata > Mammalia > Primates > Hominidae > Homo > Homo sapiens. The sequence continues at coordinate 156,774,446 of NC_000007.14, read as the reverse complement.
TTGCTATTGTGAATAGTGCTGCAGTGAACATATGAGTGCATATATCTTTATGTTAGAATCATTTATATTCCTTTGAGTATATACCCAATAATGGGATTGCTGGATTAAATGGTAGTTCTGTTTTAAGTTCTTTGAGAAGTCGCCACACTGCTTTCCACATGGCTGAACTAATTTATATTCCCACCAGCAGTACATGAGGATTCCCTTTTCTCTGCAACCTCACCAGCATCTGTTGTTTTTTTGACTTTTTAATAATAGCCATTCTGACTGGTATGAGGTGGTGTGTCATTGTGGTTTTTATTTGCATTTCTGTAATGATTAGTGTTGTTGCATTTTTTTCATGTGCTTCTTGGCCACATGTATTTCTTTTTTTGAAAAGTGTCTCTTCCTATTCTTTGCCCACTTTTTAGTGTGGTTTTTTTTTTGCTTATTAATGTGTTTAAGTTCCTTATAGATTCTGGACATTAGACCTTTGTCAGATGCATAGTTTGCAAATATTGTCTCCCATTCTTTAGCTTGTTGTTTACTCTGTTGGTTTGTTTGTTTGTTTGCTTGTTTCTTGCTGTGCAGAAGCTGTTTAGTTTAATTAGGTCCCATTTGTCGATTTTTGTTTCTGTTTTAGTTACTTTTGGTGTCTTCATCCTGAAATCTTTGCCAGGGCCTCTGTTTAGAATGGTATTTCCTAGGTTTTTTTTCCAGGGTTTTTAACGGTTTTAGGTTTTACATTTAAGTCTTTAATCCATCTTGAATCGATTTTTGTATATGGTGTAAGGAAGGGATCCAGTTTCAGTCTTCTGCATATGGCTAGCTAGTTATCCCAGTACCATTTATTGAAGAGGGAATCCTTTCCCCTTTGCTTGTTTTTGTCGACTTTGTTGACGTTCAGATGGTTGTAGGTGTGTGGCTTTATTTCTGGGCCCTCTATTGATCTATGTGTTCCATTGATCTATGTGTCTGTTTTTATACCAGTACCATGCTCGTTTGGTTACTGTAGCCTTGTAGTATAGTTTGAAGTTGGGTAGTGTGACACCTCCAGCTTTGTTCTTCTTGCTTAGGATTGCTTTGACTATATGGGCTCTTTTGGTTCCATATGAATTTTAGAGTAGTTTTTTTTAATTCTGTGAAGAATGTCATTGGTAGTTTGATAGGAATAGCATTGAATCTGTAAATTGCTTTGGGCAGTATGGCCATTTTAGCAATGATTCTTCCTATCCATGAACATGGAATGTTTTTGCATTTGTTTGTGTCATCTCTGATTTCCTTGAGCAGTGTTTTTTAATTCTTGTAGAGACCTTTCACCTCCCTGACTAGCTGTATTTCTAGGTTTTTATTTTATTTTATTTTATTTTGTTTCATTTTTTTGTGGCCATTCTTGGATGTTATTGGTCTATAGAAGTGCTACTGATTTTTGTACATGGATTTTATATCCTGAAACTTTGCTGGCATTGCTTATTAGATCCAGCAGCTTTTGAGCAGACACTATGGGATTTTCTAGATATGAAATTATATCATCTGCAAACAGAGATAATTTGACTTCCTCTTCCTATATGAATGCCTCTCCTCTCCCCTCCCTTCCCCTCCCCTCCCCTCCTCTCCTCTCTTCTCTTTTCGTTTTTTGTCGTCCAGGCCGAAGTGCAGTGGCACAATCTCGGCTTGCTGCAACCTCTGCCTCCCGGGTTCAAGCTATTCTCCTGCCTCAGTCTCCCTAGTAGTTGGGACTACAGGTGCCTGCCACCACGCCCAGCTAATTTTTTTATTTTTAGTAGATGCAGGATTTCACTGTGTTGGTCAGGCTGGTCTCAAATGCCTGACCTCAGGTGATCCACCCAGCTCGGCCTCCCAAAGTGTTGGGATTACAGGTGCGAGCCACCACACCCAGCCTTTTATTTCTTTCTCTTGCCAGATTGCTCTGGCCAGGACTTCCCAGTAATATGCTGAATAGGAGTGGTGAGAATGGGCATCCTTGTCTTGTTACGGTTCTCAAGGGGCTATGCTTCCAGCTTTTGCCTGTTCCATATGATGTTGGCTGTGGGTTTGTCAAAGATGGCTCTTATTATTTTCACATATGTTCCTTCAAAGCCTAGTTTGTTGAGAGTTTTTAACATGAAGGGATGTTGAATTTTATAGAAAGCTTTTTCTGCATCCGTTGAGATGATCATGTGGTTTTCTTTTTGAGATGGAGTCTCGCTCTGTCACCCAGGCTGGAGTGCAGTGGTACGATCTTGGCTCACTGCAACCTCTGCCTCCCAGGTTCAAGTGATTCTCCTGCCTCAGCCTTCTGAGTAGCTGGGATTACAGGCTTGCGCTACCATGCCTGGCTAATTTTTGTATTTTTAGTAGAGACGGGGTTTCACCATGTTGGTCAGGCTGGTCTTGAACCCCTGACCTCATGATCCACCTGCCTCAGCCTCCCAAAGTGCTGGGATTACAGACATGAGCCACCACGCCTGGCTGATCATGTGGTTTTTGTTTTTAGTTTTGTTTATTTGATGAATCACATTTATTGATTTGAGTGTGTTGAACCAACCTTCCATCCCAGGGATAAAGCCTACTTGATCATGGTGGATTAGCTTTTTGATGTGCTGCTGGATTTGGTTTGCTAGTATTTTGTTGAGGATTTTGCATCTGTGTTTATCAAGAATATTGGTGTGAAGTTTTCTTTTTCTTTTTGTGTCTTAGCCAGGTTTTGGTATCAGAATGATGCTGGCCTCATAGAATGAGTTAGGGAGGTGTCCTTTATTTTTAAATTTTTGGAATAGTTTCAGTAGGAATGGTACCAGCTGTTCTTTAAATATTTGATAGGATTCGGTCATGAATTTATCTGATCCTGAGCGTTTTCTAGTCAGTTGGCTTTTTATTACAGACTCGGTTTCAGAACTCATTATTCATCTGTTCAGGGTTTGAATTTCTTCCTGGTTCAGTCTTGGGAGGCTGTATGTTTCCCGGAATGTTTGTATGTTTATCCATTTCTGCTAAGTTTTCTAGTTTGTATGCATGAAAGTGTTCATAATAGTCCCTGATGGTTTTTTGTATTTCTGTGGGGTCAGTGGTAATGCCGTCTTTGTCACTTCTGATTGTGATTATTTGGATCTTCTTTTTATCTTTATTAGTCTAGCTAGCAGTCTATCTACCTTATTTTTTCTTTCAAAGAATCAACTCCTGGTTTCATTGATCTTTCATATGGTTTTTCGTGTCTCTATTTCATTCAGAACAGCTCTGATTTTGGTTATTTCTTGTCTTCTGGTAGCTTTGGGGTTGGTTTGCTCTTGTTTTTCTAGTTCCTCAAGTCGTTTGTTTTCCCATTTATTGACAGTTATACTTGGTATTCTTTTTAAAATCTTATGTCTTGATTACATTTTTTTCATATTTCTAATGTGTTTTTGCTACTTTATTTTGTTGATTTTTCTAGCCAGACATTTATCAGAATTCTTTTGAATTCTGAATTCTTCGATTTATTTTTTCCTACTTTTTTGCTCTTTTTTATTATACTTACTTTAATTTCCTGTTGTATTTTGTTTTATTTATTTGTTTCTGAGACAGGATTTCACTCTGTTGCCCAGGTTAGAGTGCACTAGCGCGATCATAGCTCACTGTAACCTCAAACTCCTGGGCTCAAGTGATCTTCCCACTTCAGCCTCCCAAGTAGCTGGGACTACAGGTGTGTGCTTCCATGCCCATCTCATTTTAAAATTTTTGTTAGAGATAAGGTCTTGCTATGTTGCCCAGGCTGGTCTTGAACTTCTGGGCTCAAATGATCCTCCTGCCTCCCCCTTTAAAAGTACTAGGATTACAAGCATGAGCCATCGTGCCTGGCCTATTTCTTCCTGTATTGTGGTTTGCTAGGATTTATTTTGTTGTTCCTTTTACAAATTCTTGAGTTGAGTGCTTCATTTTTATTTTTATTTTTTCTTTCATAATAAAACTCATTTATTTGAGCATCTGAATACAGATTTTCTACACTTTATGTTTTTATAAAGTATTCTTGTTTTGTTACTTTTTAGTTGGCCTATGATTGCATTAGTGTATTTTAATTTAAGCTTTGTTGTTAATTTTTTGCATTCAGATATTTTGACTTATTCTCTGTTGTTAATGCAGTAGTTCTGATGCAGTTTAGAACTTGATATATTTTGTTGGGCAGGGTGGTGCGCACTTGTAATCCCAGCTACTCAGGGGGCTGAGATGGGAGGATCACTTGAGCCTAGGAGTTAGAGACCAGCCTGGGAAACATAGTGAGATCTCATCTTAAAAAAAAAGATAGACATACTTTTTGTAGTTTAATTTCAAATTCATTTTTGTAAATTTTCCTTTAGTGATTGAAATAGAGGTATATTCCCTATAAGGGATTACTTTAGGTTTATTAAGTCAACCTTGTTATTATTTTTCAGATTCTGTGTATCATTGTTAATATTTTTTCATTCTTGGGCAGTCACAGACTGATAGAGTGGTGTGTCAGGAGAGGCGGTCTGCATGGGCCGTAAGCATTCCTGCGTTTTCTTTCTGGGTGTGCCAAGACTGTGAGGTCTTGACTGCTCTTTACCTGGGCCATTTGTTAGGGTTGTGTTTCTTCTGAGCAAACTTGAGGGATGAAGTGATGGCTCCCTCTGGGCCACAGAGCAGCCTGGCTTATTACCACGTGCTGTGAAAACAGTGGATTCCCCACGCTCACTGTTCTTTAGCTGCTGCACAGATCTGTCGCATATGCAACATCCATCCATAAGACTTGGGAGCAGGGGAAATGACCTGCTGGCACTCATGCCTCTTGCTGTACCGGAGTAATAAAATCCTTTGCTTCTGATCCAGGAGTCTTGTGTCTCCTGCCAGCATCCATGTAACAGCAACAGGCTAACTTATTAATTTGTAAGGATAGAACCAGACCCCAGACCTGACAGTTTTGGCAATGAGATTGGATGGTGCAGAGAAAGAACAAGGACCTTGTATTCCAGGTTTAGTGATATGAAAAGACCTTCAGATCTGGTGGTGGATGTGCTCAACTCAGTGGTGAGAGGGAGGCGGAGGAGGAAGGGCCCCTGGTAATTACATTACTCCTACCTGTAATGAGTCTGAATGGTGCTTTGGCTGTCGTTCATTCCTCTCCTGTTGTAAGACGAAGGAATGTTGGTATGACACCAGGGCAGTAAGCCCCCAGCTCCAGTCAGAAGGCATTATGGGTGTGGCTGCTGAGTCAAGGAGTCTCAGTCCTGAAATGAGTGGTGCCTCAGCTTCCTGAAGCACTGGGATTACAGGTGTGAGCTACTGAGCCTGGCATCAGGTGACTTTTTGAGTAGGGTGTTTGGGCTTATTCCATCTGTGATGTAGCTTGCACTGCTGACTCTATATTAAATTGGTATTCGTGTTTTACATGATCATACTATGCAAGCTTGGCCTCAGGGACTGTGCCTTCCCTTTGGCCCAATATAAACAGTATAGGGCCCCAGGAGGAGAAGCGAATATCTCAGCTTTTGTGAGAGACTTAATAGCTCACAAATACTCCAGGAGGCCATTTCCTAAAATAGCAGGTGCCTCTCCTGCCTGCCACTGCCTCCGAGTGGACTCCTGAGAAAGGACAGCTGTGAATCTGCTGCTCAGCTCTTGTTGAAATGGATTACCCAACCTGTGGGGCCATGTGACTCTCTAGCCTGGCATCCCTCTTCTGGGGTGGAACAATTTAGATTCCATGTCCAGTAAAATGGAAGAAGCTTAACAGGCCTCCTAGCCAAATAAAAATGGTCTCTTCCAGAGCTCAACCTGCCTGGCGCTACCTGGTATCAAGGTTTCATGTGAAAAAGTGGCAGATACCTCCTGGGGGAAACCCTATTTCCTAATCCACTGCTGAAGCCAAACCACCCAGTTAGGCCCTCAATCCCCTGAGCCCTCCTAATGTCGAGGCTGGGCTCTCTGACCTTTGGCTGCATCAGAAGCTGATGGTATTCACTGAGTGGTGGCAGCCCATCACAATGGAGGCATACTTAGGAATTTTTTATTTTTAAAATTCTAAATGAATTTCTTATCAAATTTGCATAAACATGCTAAATATAATGAATAAAGGTTTTCTGTTGTATTTATTTATTTACTTTTTTGTTTTTTTTTGAGACCGAGTCACTCTGTTGCCCAGGCTAGAGTGTAGTGGTGCAGTCTTGGCTCACTGCAACGCAACCTCCGCCTCCCAGGTTCAAGCGATTCTCCTGCCTCAGCCTCCCAAGTAGCTGGGATTACAGCTAATCTTTGTGTTTTTAGTAGAGACGGGCTTTCACCATGCTGGTCTTGAACTCCTGACCTCAAGGGATCCATCCCCCTTGGCCTCCTAAAGTGCTGGGATTACAGGTGTGAGCCACTGTGCCCAGCCTCGTTTTCTGTTTATTTAAATATTGTATAAAGAATAATAACAATGAAGCGCTATGTACTCACCAGTTAATCTAAAGAAATAGAACATAATAATATAGTGGATAGTAAATTTCTTCAATATGAAATGTCCTACTTTATCCCATTTAATGTTTTTTGTTTTGCATTCTTCTGTATTTAAACCAGACTCCTGTACATTTTTAAAAAATTAAACAATAATTTTTAATCATTTTCACTTTTTTTAGTATCACTTTCGTTTTGATAGGTCTTAGACAGTTAATTGTGTTTTTTGACCTAATTTGCATATATAGTTATAGTAGATATATTTGGTTTTTATCATTTCCTGTTTTCGTATTTTATATATTTTGTTATGTTTATATTTTGCTAAACTTGATTTTCTGTTTTTTACTATATTAACTATTACATTTTTGTTCTGTTTTCTAGTATCTTAGTAATATTACTTTTGATACTAGTTACTATTACTGTTACTAGTTTTATTATTTTGATACTAGTAAGATTAGTGGTAACCTTAAGTTTTTAGTAGCATTATTTAACTTTAATTTCTCTGCTGTCAGTAAAAAGTGAAATATTATCGTTTTAAATGACCCCTATTTAAAATGGAATTTTTTCTTTAACTCTTTTTTTCTCATCTGAATGTCACTTCTTAATGTATAAGATAATAAAAAATTATTAAATGATTTATCTTTCAAAAATATTTTTTGGCATTGCATTTTAGTTTATAACTATATATATCGTTATTTATATTTCTCTTTATTTAGAAAAAATTTGTCATTGTTCACCAACAATTCCGTGCAGTCACTTCACAGTCCTTTGTGAAGGACCAGGTAGGATGGTGACGTGGGCTCCTGTACTCAGCAGAGCCGTGAGTTTGAGTCCGTCTGCTTCCTAAAGTTCCCCTGCATGCTCAGGGGGGTCTGTACGGCTTTTACACCCCTGAAGGACAGGGAGACCCCCACTTTACCCCATCATCTTTTTTCCTAAGCATCTGAGGTCAGAATTGGGGGAGGACAGTTGAATGAGCATGGCAAAAGCGACTGGCCCACACCGTTAAGCAAGGCGCGTTTCATTTTGAGTGGCTAGTGGCTACTCATGGCTCAACCAAATTTGTAATGACATCAGTTTAGGCATTGGTCTACAGCCTCATTCCTGACGCTGTTTATTCAGCTTTGGGACTCCTTGAAATAGCAGCTGTACCCACAGGACCTTTTACCTGGTGTTGCATGGCTCACAGTTCACACCATCATGATGACATTCCTTCATGCTTCCGCTCAGAGGAGAGGGAGTGACAACCTAGCCAGCAGTGGGCTCAGCCTCACTGCTTACCTCAGCCTGCAGACTGTCACCAGCAGCTAGGACTGCTTGGGGTCCCTGCTCCTCCTGCTTGCCCACCACTTGGGTGAGCACACTCACTGCTATTAATAGATCCCAGGAGTCTTCTCATATCCCTTAAGCCAATCTGCATGGGCCCCTCCTCTTTCTTTTCCAGAAAGCCATCTATTAGTCCCCTATCCTTGTTGCCAAAAACCGTCAAGAACTGTGAAAAGTCTGAGATTTTATTCTGCTTGCAAACTAACAAGTTAGTCTCCGAGTTTCATGGATGCTAGTTGTAAACCTGAGATGTCTGGGTCAGAGACAAAGGACTTGGTTATGCACAGCACATAACCGAGTGCACAAGCTTCCTTTTGGTGCCAGTTGCCCTTGAACCCAAGCCCCACAGTGGGCCTGTATCACAGCTGGGGAACCCACCATATTTATATCGGGCTGCAAGCAACCCTGTCTAACCTTTGCTTGGAGGTGAACATTGTGCTACCAGACAGTAAACAAACCTCTCCTTTGCTTCAGAGATACACTATCTCTAAATCCCAAGGCCATCTGCTGTACGACCTTAAGAAGACAGTTCCAAATAAGGTCTGTCCCTGCCTCTGCTTGTGAGATGTACAGAAATGTGAGAGCGCCGTGGAGATTGTCTCCCAGCACCCAGGCACATACCTGAAGAAAACAAGTTTAATTACTAAGAAATAGTTCTTACCAGAATATCAAAGGAAGTCTAAATTTTATGGTGATTGATTTCCCAACACTGATTATCATCCTAAAAATTATTGTTACAGTGTTATAATTATTTAACATTACAATGACAACTTCTTTTGGACAGTGGGTTTTAAATGGTTCCAAGGAGCTGACACTGTGTAGTTCATATATTGTAACACTTCAGACACTATTAACACTGTTTAGCTCATGTATATTACAGGTATAATGCATGTGTTATTTGTTTTGGGAGCCCTACTCTTTAGTTCATATATTTCTTAGGGGCTGGTTGGAGGCAGGGAAAGACAGGATTGAGAGAGTGTAACACAAACGCTAGAACAAATCTGCATAAACGTGCAAGATATAATTTTATCTCCTTTTGTCTGTTTATTGATAGACTTTCCATAAAATATTTAGTGTGTAATAAAAAGGATTTTAGAAAGAGAGAAAAGGAGGGGAGGAGGAAGAAAGGAAGAGAGAAGTCATTGTTAAAGGTGGTAGATTATGTTTTGGTATCTGTATTAGTCTGTTTTCTGTCTCACACTGCTATGAAGAAATACCTGAGACTGGGTAATTTATAAAGTAAAGAGGTTTAATTCACTCTCAGTTCCACATGGCTTGGGGTGCCTCAGGAAACTTACAATCATGGCAGAAGGCACCTCTTCACAGGGTGGCAGGAGAGAGAATGAGTGCCAGCGGGGGACATGCCAGACGCTTATAAAACCATCAGATCTCATGAGAACTCACTCAATATCATGAGAACAGCATGGGGGAAACCACCCCTATGATTCAGTTACCTCCCACTGGGTCCTTCCCACGACACATGGGGATTATGGGAATTACAATTCGAGATGAGATTTGGGTGGGGACACAGGCAAACCATATCAGCATCTTAAATAGTTTGAAAGTTGTGAAGTGGAAGTTCAAAGGACTCTTCAGTAAAGTAGTAGTGTGTTTTGTGACTATTCACATTTCATCTCCTGTGATTAATAGCTACTTACTATGAGATCTCATGTGTTAAAATACAAGCCTAATTCATTCTGGTTCACTGGCCTCCCATGCTATGAACACTTAAGGTGAGCTGACTCTCAGATTTGAGGAAGTGTTTTAAACTTGCCAAATGCAGCCTTGTGGTAAGTCTGCGATATTGTTGAAGGACTAGTAAGAAAAAGTCACTTCACCTCAGAGGTTATCATTTAGGGCTAGGTATACCTCTCCATGCTTTTAGGACGTTTTCTTTCCTTTCTATTGAATTTGAAGAACTGGGGTGCCGTGATTTTAATGCATCCTATTCCTGCAATTCAGAAACTAGAAAGTAATACTTAGGACAAAATTGAAATAAGTGTATGTTTTGGAATTTTATAACTCATATTTTTATGTTAAATGTGGAATGAGATAACATAATTTATTGAGAAATATGGATGTATTTATAATTTTGTTGGTTGTGTTAGATAATTGTAGGTTAGTGCATTGCAGTACAAAATATCAATATGATGCTTTAACTTATAGGTGCAGATTCAATCATTGGGTGATTTTTTGGGGAGTAAAAGCGGTTTCTTTTTTTGTCTTATCCTGCAGTTTTTAAGTTTTAAAAGTCTGGCCTTTAGTTTGGTCCTGAAGTCAGAATTTGTTTTACATTTAAAACAAAGTTGTGCATAATGATTATATTATTATATTCTTGTCTCATGGATTAATGAAAATTCTATATAATGTGAAGAAAAGCATCATATAGAACTGATAAAAGCAGTATCTCTATAGTTTATAATGCTGGATTACAATGGACAGTTCTTCAGCGGCACAGTAGAGGGCTCCGGAGGCTGTGAGGAGCACCAGAGTCCATGCTAGAGAGAGCCGGCGCTCTCCAGCAGCTCGGAGCATTGTGGCGCACCAAGTTCAGTGCTCACTGAACTGTTTGGCTCTGTGCCATAATTAGCCTTCTATTCCCTTGATTAGAATCACGGATAGAAATTCATTAATCTGCTTTGTTAGTGGAAAGTGTTAGGAAAGTAATTGTTAAAAATGGCTCTGCAGATGTTTTTTATGAAGAATTTTTTTTGTGTTTTATCCAAGCTTAATAATATTTTCCATAATTTGAAAAGTCAGTCTAAACATTGTAAACCATAAGTACCTAGTGTTTTTTTCCTTTTAATAAATATAAATTTCCTCTCCTTCCAAGGGATTATTTTATGCTTTCATATAGGCAGAAACCTTATTGTTCATGAAATGAAGTAAAATACTAAAATTATATTTCTACTCTATTTTTCAGGGAATCCGAGCCCGCATTTTAGAGACTTTGGTCATGCTTCTTCTTCTTGCGTTACTCATTCTTGGGATAGTGTGGGTAGCTTCAGCACTCATTGACAACGATGCCGCAAGCATGGAATCTTTATATGGTATGGATTTCCTTGTTTTAACCAGTTTCCTTACTGGAAACTGTAGTTTGGGATATAATTACACACTCAATTTTAAAAACATTTAAATCTTTGTGTAGTTAACAAAGATGTTTGATGTTAATTTACAGAATTAAGAAATCTTTAGATATTTTTATCTAAAAATGAAGTTTTATTTATTTTATATGTGAAGAACAAGTAAGCAGCTTTTCAGATTTTTTTTTTTTGTTTTTGTTAATTGGTTTCTGTTCTTCAAATTCCGTGGAGACATTTTTTCTCCCTCCAGACAGGTTTTGCTAAAGGGTTACTTCTTGGTTTTCTATTTTAGATCTTTTTATTGTACAATTTAGAAATTATATGGCTTAATAAACTAAAATAGGCAATTACAATGTTTACATGAGGTACAGTCAGCCTCTATCTTATCGTAAGATAGACTGACTATCTTAATGTGCAGTATTTTGGATTTATTAAAATATATTTACTTTTTTTTAATAGATCTCTGGGAGTTCTATCTACCCTATTTATATTCCTGTATATCATTGATGGGATGTTTGTTACTTCTCTGTAAGTATTTTTCAGACTTGATATTAAGAGAAAAGTAGAGTTGTCCTTATTCTGGAAAATTCAGGGAAGTTTTCTGATGAGATTTCTTAACTATTTGGATTTTTTTTGAGTTCGCCTTAACTATTTTTATTCAAAATAAATTTTGATAAATGGAAACTTTGAAATAATAAGATGCTTTTATTGTTCTCTAAGGAAAGCTTCTTCTACTGGGTTGTAGAGTGAGACAGACGGACAGACACACACACACACACACACACACACTCACACTCACACACTTTCACACACTCATATACAGTCATACTTACATACACTGACACACAAACCATGTGCACACTCATACACACATGCTATAGCCTCACCCCCATACCTGTCATAATGCTAGATTCTACTTTTAAATGGAAATGGTAGAATTATGTATGATAAGTTTGTGGTTTTTTAAAAGTTTGTTTTGTTTTACTTGAAGCATCACAGCCTATCTCAGGGATAAGTAGATAAATGTAGTTTAAAGGACTTAAGACTATGGTTGTCACCTTTAGATATTCTTGTTTGTTTCTCAGTCCTATTAATACTTGAAATTTAACCTGTTCTTTGCTAATTTTTCTTTATTTTAAGCAAAAGTATTTATTATTATTCAACTGCTAGAATCTTGAATATTATTCTAAGCCTTTTTTTGTTGTCACATATCTTTCATAACTAATTACACCTATCCTGCTCACATGGCCCCTCTAGCTTCTTTATTGATGATGGTGAAGAGTTCTCTGACAAAACACTGACAATCTCAGTTGGAGAGAAGAATGTTCTTAAAATGATAATCCTTGAATTTCCCTTATTTTTACAGTCTAGTTGTTTATCTCTTTCTCCAAGCTCTATAATGTCGCTTTCTGTCTTTTGGTGATCTTATTTCTGCAGTGTGTACACCAGTTGGCCTTTCTCGTATGTTCACAGTGATGGGTCAGTTGCTAGTGAAGCCAACAGTAAGTATTTAATTATAAATCATTTTGTTTATTAAATAAATGTGTTTACATTTGATTGTCTTTGATATTGTGAGCTAGCATTTAGAAATAGAAGAAGAATATGTTTTGTATGTTTATCACTCAAATTGTTGTTTTATTAAGTTTTTTTTTTTTTTTTGAGACAGAGTCTTGCTCTGTCGCCCAGGCTGGAGTGCAGTGGTGCGATCTCGGCTCACTGCAGGCTCCGCCCCCTGGGTTCACACCTTTCTCCTGCCTCAGCCTCCCGAGTAGCTGGGACTACAGGCCCCTGCCACCTTGCCCGGCTAATTTTTTTGTATTTTTAGTAGAGACGGGGTTTCACTGTGTTAGGCAGGGTGGTCTCAATCTCCTGACCTCGTTATCTGCCCACCTCGGCCTCCCAAAGTGCTGGGATTACAGGCGTGAGCCACCGCACTTGGCCTATTAAGTTTTTTGTTTAATAGAACTTTGGTTAAATTTCCAGTCTTTGGAAACCAAATTTGGTTTTGCTTTTAAAATACTAACTATAGGTGCATAGGTAAAAATTCCTCTAGCAAATTTTAGGACAAAATTTACAAATATTTACAGGTATTTTAGGTGTCCATTGCCTAATATCAAAAAGTACCTCTATTATGTTTCAAAATTTACATGTATGCTTTAATTTACAAAATGGTTATATTTCTGAAAATTTGTCTGCATATTGTGTCTCGATTAATTGAAGCATACTTTACCTTTCATCTTAGAAACACTATATATTAGTTTTTAAATGATTTTCAGTTGATTGTAATTCTAATGATTTGTCGCTTTCTTTGGTCTCTATTTTGTCAGATATTTAATTATATAAAAACGATTTCTTAGCTGCCCCTAGGAAATCTGTCACTTATTTTCATGGATCCTCACTGCCTATGAACTCAAGAGTAAACTACTTACATGTTACAAAGCCTTTCACAGCCTGGTCCACACTCAGTTTTCCTCTAGCTGTCCCTGTGTTTACTGTCACTCTAGCTCATGAGCGAACTTGCTGTGCTCTGAATAGGCTCTATGCATTCTGTCTCCAGGACTGTCTCTTTCCCTTCAAGGCCTCTTACCTGCTCCAGCTACCTAGCAGCCTCCTACGGCCTAGCTCAAATATCAGCTCCACTGTCTACATAGCTTTGAACGTTGCCTTGCTTCTTCAAGGACAAAGAATTAAAGTCCTTTCTTTGCATTTCTCATATTCCCTTTTGTTTCTGTCTCACTAGTAATACTTATTAAATCGTTATAGTTATGTGTTTGTCTTCCTTGTCATGATTCATTTAGGGAAAATACTGAGGAAGTGTTATAGGGGCTATACTTTTAGTAAATGCTTGCTTAATTTTGAAAATCATAATATTTTTATATTTTAAAGATGAAGTTTAATTTTTTATTTTTAAAAAATGCGTAAATACATTTTACAAAAAGTATGTAAATGTTGTATACACACTTGTGTACCACACACATGCTGCCAAGTCTTGAAATTCCTTTCCCTTGTAAAGAGGTTTTGGGACATTGAATTCATTTAGTTTCTTCCTACATTTGTTGTTGTTTGTTTGTTTGTTTGGTCTTCTTTCTCCTTTTCTGCTTCCTGACCCCTAACTATAGGCAAATGTTTAAAGTTCCATCATTGGTCTAAATTTCTATTAATGCTCTGCTCCTAAACCATCTCTGCCATTTCCACATCACTTTTAAATGCCTAATTCTAATGAGGAAAAGACAATGGAAACAAATTCCAGTACATTTTAAGTGCTATAATTGAATACCCCATGGAGCTGAAAACTCAACGTATATAAAACGAAACTACTTACTTAGCTCCCTTCCCCAAGCTAATTTTTCTCCTTAACTTGTCTCTTATTAATGTTAAATATAGTGAACCCCAAGTTTTTCCTCAAAGAATCAGTATGTCAGTGTGTTCAGCTCTCTTCTTCTTCGATTCTCCATTTTAAAGTTTAACTTCCTGGTTCTCTTCTCCCCCTTGCCTCTGGTTTCAGTAAACAACTTTCCCACCAGTCCTAATCAGTATTTCACATCTGTTCGCTGGTCACCTGCTCCATCCTGACTCACCCCTGGTCACCTTCTTTGACCTGAGTCACCCCTGGTCACCTGCTTTGACCTAAGTCATCTTTAGTTACCTGTTCCTAACTGTCCTTCCTGCTAGACTAGTCACCCTGCCACTCTGGCTCATATGCCTGCTCCCTTTAAAATAGCCAGTCGGAATTAGCTTAGACTGTGTGGTCCAACCATTGTCAATAGGGGAACGACACACTAGTAGGGCCCTGTGTCAGAAATAAGAACTCCTTCCCCTCCCCTGTGCAGGTGTGCTCTCTCCATTACTCCATTTGCCAGTCGCACCCTTCTATAGAAGTAAAAATTGCCTTGCTGAGAAAATTAAATTTATGTTCGAGTGCTATTTCTTTGCAGCACCAGGGAACGAGCATTTTGCATTTCTAACATTAACAGTATCCTCAAAGTCTTGTCTTTGTTTCTTTTCTTGTTGGTAACATTCAGTAATAAAGATTATTTATTGAGTAATTGAGTGTATTATATATGCTAGCAATAAACACTATATTTTACACACATAATTTCATTTTATCCTGATGACAAACCTATAAGTTAGATAGTAGTATTCTTATTTTATGGCTAAACTAATGTCATTTCAGGAAGATTAAGTAGCTTGTACAAGATCAGAGATCTATGAGGGGGCAGAGTGTGAACCCAAGAGGCTGGTTTCATACCAGAAGCTGGTCTGCCATTCTATTTTGCTGTAAGCTCCAGAGCTGTAAAACCGATTTGTTTGCTGAGTGGACTTTACCCCTCCACTTCTGTGTTCTGCTTACAGTTTCCTCTAATTGAAATGCCTTTCTTTTGGTAATTTAAGCTGTCAGATAAGATGCTACTATGCTACTACCATCAAAAACACTGGTCGAAACTTTTGTCTCCCCATCTGGGAATAATTTTTCTTCCTTTGAACTTTTGTAATGTTTTATTTAAGCCACGGTTATGACTTTAACAAATCTTCTAATTATTTTTTAAATTCATCTGCTCTCTTCTGCTACACTAGAATATCAGCTGTTTGAGGTCAAGGACTATGTCTTACCCATATTTAAGCCCCCATTAGCCCATAGTAGTTGAGTATAGGGTTTGAAGGCACGTAACATTTCTTTGGTAACCCTGCTTCTTGGAATATAAAATGGAGATGAGAACAGTCTGTTTTTCGTAGGATTGTTGTAGAAATCAAGGAGGATGGTGCTCATAAGAACTTAACACAAATATATGTGTGTTATTTACATTGTCACTGCATTAGTCTATTATGCATTGGTATAAACCTGAGGCTGAGTAATTTATAAAGAAGAGAGGTTTATTTGGCTTATGGTTCTGCAGGCTGTACAAGAAGCATGGCACTGGGACCTGCCTCTGGCTAGTGCTTCAGGAAGTTTCCAGTCATGGCGAGAGGCAAACGAGGAGCATTTGTGTCACAGGGCAAGAGAGGGAGCAGGCGAGAGAGAGGTCCATACTCTTTTAAACAACCTGCTGTCATGTGAACAAATAGAGCAAGAACTCAGTTATTACTGTGTGGACAGCACCAAATCGGTTATTCATGAGAGATCCACCCCCATGACCCAAATACTTCCTACAGGGTCCCACCTCCAATACTGGGGATCAGATTTCAACATGAGGTTCTGAAGGGACAAATATCCAAACTACATCAGTCACTCATTCACACTAAGACATACCCGTGGTGATAAGTAATTCTTGGACAATTTGCATAAGAAAGATAAAAATCCTTTTGTATGCCTTAGACCTTATGTAAAAACTGTCAATTCTGATCCAGATAGTAGAAAGTGAAAAGAAGTGTTGATGGGAAAGGAACTTTGGATCAAGGCCCCCAAGGACCTGGTCCCAGACATGTGGGTTTTCTCTGGGATTCCTCTCCCCTAACCCACTGCATCCAGGAGATCCTCTCCGTGTACCACTCTTTCTCCTCGGGAGTAGCTCACATTCCAGCACTTGCCACTCATTTCAGCCTAAATGTTCCCTCTTTGGAGAGGGCTTGCTGGCTGGCCATTTAGGTATCTCTTCCCCTTTTCTTCCTATTCCTTTCTTCCTCATAGGATGGTCATTCTTTGTCATTATTTGTTTGTATATTTATTTGTTTATTACTGTTGATTATTATTTTAGTATTTGTTTTTTCTCACCTTCCAAGTCAGGCTTCTCAAGGATCGAGTTGGTATGTGTGCCAGTGATGAGTTCAGTGCTAGGTCATAGGGGACCGTAAAGATTTGTTGAAAGGCTGGGAATTATTGGATTGCTTCAAATAAATTTCACATCAGCTGTATAAATTGGACATCTGACAGGGATTGCATGATTTGAAAATCTGTTTTCTGAAAATACTTTAAAGTCTGAAAGGAGATGTATATATGGTTTCTGTCTTTTTGTCCATTAGCTCCTCACAATTTATTTTTTTTGCTGAGTGTGAGTAGTTTGGATGTGAGGATATGGAACACTGATATCAGCTCTAGACTTCTTTGAGATTTGCCCTACAGCTACGAAGATAATAAGGATCCTCTCAGAAGGATAGCTATGTTAACAAAACTAGAATTAAATCAATTTTAGGATTTTTAACAGTGCAGACAATATCCCATACAATTGGTAAATTATTAGTATGGTTTTTTCTTTTGAACTACTGTTGTTTGACTTGGTTTGTATGTAAACATACCACTTCTCTAGATTTTGGTCTATTGGATGATTTTGATAATACCAATCTTTAATATTCATGGAGTGTTTTTAGTACATAAAGATGATATAAATGGAAAGTGTTGCATGTTACTGATGTAGTTTATGGATTTCTTGTTTTAGACATTATGTAGGTAAATGTAAATGAGAAAACAAATGTTGGACTGGGTGTCTGTTCCTTCTATCTCTAAAATATTGGCTTGGGCCTATATTTACTGTAGTTATTTACCGTAGTTAGCTTTTTGGCTGTTTAAAATTGGTACATGTAGGCTGGGCGGGTGTGGTGGCTCACTTCTATAATCCCAGCACTTTGGGAGGCTGAGGCAGGCGGATCACCTGAGGTCAGGAGTTCAAGACCAGCTTGGTCAACACGGTGAAACCCGTCTCTACTAAAAATACAAAAATTAGCTGGGCATGGTTGTGTGTGCCTGTAGTTCCAGCTACTAGGGAGGTTGAGGTGGGAGGATCGCTTGACCCCGGGAGGCAGAGGTTGCAGTGAGCTGAGATTATCGTACCACTGCACTCCAGCCTGGGCATCAGAGTGAGACTGTCTCAAACAAACAAACAAACAATAATAAAAAAATTCATACATGTAGCCCACATCTCAGAATGTCACTAAAAAACCCCAAAATTCATACATTTGTTGGCCATTGAGAAGAGTTCCTTAGTTTAATCCCTTAAACTTTAAAAATATCCAATTTAAATGTATATAGGGTTTGTGATAACTTTTGATGTGTTTGGTTATATACTAAAGTATTTGTACTTAATTTATAAATAACATAGTTGGAGTTTTTTTGTTTTGTGTTCTTAGAAATTTGAATGAATACGTTACCTAAAATAAATTGACCAAATAGCCTAAATGGTCTCATAAGCATTCGTTTTATAACGTTGAATTATTGAATAGTTTTATCTTTAAATTTAGATTCTTGAAGACCTGGATGAACAAATTTATATCATTACCTTAGAGGAAGAAGCACTCCAGAGACGACTAAATGGTATGTTTATATTACATATTTAGACGGGGATAAAAAAATCTTTTTAATTTCAAAAAGATAGATAATTGAAGAGAAAAAATATAAACCTCTCTGAATCTTGTGCTGCTACAAGAGGAGAACACTTTAGAGTAATAAAAGAACTTCCCTGGTGAAGAGAGGGTTATTGCAGACCCTGGCTGAGATGAGCTGTAACCTAGCAGGACCCATTCTTTATGAGACTTTGGCCACTAAGGGACTAGACACCTCTCTACTGCCAACTGTGTTTATGTTTTAAGCATATGACTTTAAAATTTAATTTTTAATTACTGATGGTTTTTGAAGAACCAATGAAGAAAAGAGTAATGATATAGTTTAACAGATAGTATAGGTAAATTTTCTTTAATTTTACTTAAGTAGTTTTCAAATGTTGAAAAGCCAGTCTCCCGCCAACAAGATCAGATAATTAATAACGAACTGCATTTCAGAATCATGATTCAAGAGTAGGTATAAAATAGAAGGTTAGTTTATGAAATGCTGAGAAACAGGTATCTACCTACTTTCTTCAGTTACAAATAGTGAATTTAAATCATCACCCCAAAAATGTTCATAATATTTTAGAGCTTTTTCCTTCGATCCAGGAATTTCAGTTTGTATCTGTTCTAGAGGATTCTTGTCAGTAACATTATATAATTCGATACAGATAAACTTTTAGACTGGAACTACATATGTCTTTTATTCTTCTAACTTACTTAAAACTAATGTTTAAACCTGTTTAATTTCAGAGTTATAAACTTTAGTCAACAATGTCAGCTTTATAAAGTTTCCTTAAAGCAGTAAATATTATAATAAATTTGTCTTATTTGGATAATCATGCTACTGTGCAATAAACATGCCTGAGTTGTAAAGAGTATGTGTCAAGCTGCTCCCTGCAGTGTAGGATTGTTTCAGCCTCAGGTAGCCACCATTTCTGTTTCACAGATAAGGAGGCTGACATCCAGGAAGGGTAAAATGTAGTGCCCCATGAATTGAAGAATTTTGAATTGACTTTAATCAAAACAAAACAAAATCCAAAAATACAGCCTTTCTCACTTTCCCCTTCCACAGTAGGAAAAGTAAAAAAGGTCTTTCTAGAATCTTTATAAATCCTTTGGCTCCTCAAATTTAAAAGTGGCTGATTATATGTAAAGAAGTTGAAAAGGAAACCCTTGCTAGATGGCTAAATGTATTATAAAATGAAGCCAAGCCAAAATCAGTAAAAACACCTCACTGGCATAGAAATGTTACAGAGAAGAGATGGATTGGACCTGGAGAGGATGGAGGATGTTATGATAACTAATGCTAAGTATAATTTTTTTACATACCATTTTGGTAGGCCATGCACTGTTTATCATCCGTTTGGTAGATTGTCTAAAATCTTTTCAGTGAAACTCTTTAAGTGATGTGTTAGGATAATTATGATTTTGCTGTTTGCTGCTGGTTAGCCACTGTGGACTGTTTCAGGTGGAAAATAAAGAGCTAAATGATTTATGTTTATAACATAAATGGTTCTATGGCAAAATGGACATTTTGACTAATACAGATTAAGAATTGTGAGCTTCAGTAGGGTATGCTTAGAAATATGTGTAGGAAGGCAAGACTGAAAAAATCACGACTTACCATTTCTTCAGAAAATAGAAATAGGAGGTAAGAGAAACCATCCCCTGGATTTTATTTAATCTAGTATTATGACTAGTGTGTTTTGTTGTAACAGTTACTTTCTATTTTAATTTATAAAACAAAAGTAAAGAGTTTATTGTTTTACTCTTGCTATTAAAAAGAATTCCAGAATAATGAGACTAAAAGACTTTTTAAAAAATACAAATTCCATTGCTGATTGATCACAGAGTTGCTGGCGGCGCTTTCTTAGTGTGTGTTGGGATGTGTGGTGTGCATTGCAGAAATCTTTGGGGTGTCAGTGTGGCTTACTCTGAGCTCAGTTGTACCGTTAATGCAAAAAAACATGACAGCCAGCACCAAGAAGTGCTTTGCTGTAGAAATAACAGTATTTTTTTTAAAAAGTAACGTTGAGTTATTGTGGTAGTTATGATATTACTAGAGTTGAATTTTCATACTTGGTTTTAAAAATAATCAGTATCAGTTTGTTTTGGAATGCCTGACTGTGACTTCTCAATTTGTTTATTTGATGGTGCTGTAGGCATAAAGCTATTGGGAGGTTTTGTTCTTGTTAATATTGTTTCATGGAATGTTAATAAAGTAAAGCAAAGCTGTGTGCTGTGATAATGTTAATTGGTATCCTGAATAAGCCATCTTGTTATCAGCTGCTCTCTACCCTTTCTTCTTTCCTTTTTTGCTTATTACGGATCTTAATTAAGCACTAGATATTGTGTAGATGAATTAAGACGCTGAGTCTCGAGATCATAGGCTAGTTGCCTGAAGAAGAAGAGAAAAAAGGACAAGAATTTGTAAGTTTTCATCTAGTGCTTAACTACTTGAAAAAAAGGAATAGAGAGGAAGGAGTTCTGTGTTTCTGAGACAGGAGGGAGCCCCAGAGCACCTGTCGTTTGGCTAAGACAGCGCCTCCCTCATGTCCCTGTTGTCATGGCAGGAGTAGAGAGATGTCCACAGAGCTCACTGTGATCTCGGCAGGCGGCCTTCCCCTTCCCCACAGCACACAGCCTCCCCTCTGCCGTCTGCTTTGGGACTGTCAGGACTAATGGGTACATTGTGTCCATCACTCCTCTTTATCATGGTCAGCACATGGAGCCCAGAACATCCAGGTTCCTTGCGCCCTGTGTCTCTATACATCCCATTTCTGACCTGATTTTCCACTTTCCTCTAGCTTCTGAAACTTTCTGCTTGTGCCATTTGGAACTGAGAATTAACTCATGAACAAAACCCCTGTATCTTCAACTGCCACTTTCTTGCTCAAAGAAACTTGGCACACATTCCTGCCACCCGCTCATGTGATGGCTCGCTTCTACCCACATCCCTCATTTGGCTGGTCCTGGAGTTTGAGTAGGTGCCCTCCTGTTCCCTTTTACTACTCTCCAGCACTTTGGATCTCATGTCATCAGACCATGACCTAGTCCTGTCATTTGCTCACCTCCCAGGCCTTTTCTGCTCCCTTCTGGAGGATTTTTGCTCCTCGTTTCTAATCCTTCTCTGATTCTGTGCCTTTTTCGTGGTGATTTGGTGTCTGTGTGCATGTCCTTCCCATCACTCCAGGACACTCCTTGCCTGTCCCTGTGGTTGTCTGCCTCACCCGCTCGTGCCTGTGACATAACCCATCCAAGTTCTTTTGCATAATCTTACAATCAAGCATCCTACTCTCCACCTACCACTTCTCCTTTTTCCAGTTCACTTCTTCTAGCACTCCCATTTCCTACAATTCCTCAGTATGGAGATTTAACATACCCTGATCCTAACACCTTTTTCTCACCCCCCATCATTTCCCCATCCCCCTACTTCCTTGCACAGTTTACATTCCTGGACTGTTGTTAGAATCAGTCCCCTGCGTACACTCTTAGCTCCCTTTTGTGGTCTCACTGGATTGTGCTGAAACCCGAGCCTTCATTCTGCTAGCCTCTCCCTGTTCTGTGCTCTCACTCCTAGCTGGCTGACTGACCCTCTTGCCTGGCCTTCCTTTATATATGTGACCAATATCCTAAATTAACTTTACATTCTCCTGGATGACTTTATTCTGTCTTTTCTTCCCTCAGATCTTCACCTTACTCTCCACTGGTGACCTTGTTTTCTATTTTCTTAAGAAAACAGAAGCAATCATAAGAGAATTTTCACAAGCTTTTTCCTTCATGCCAACCCTCCTCCCTGCAGCTCCCCTCACAGCTGCCTTTTCCTTCGATGCTGTGGCTGAATTGTCTGTGTGCCTGGCTAATGCCAGCGCTCCCCTAGTGCCCTGGATTCCATCTCTTCTCACTGATTCAAGGACACGATCTAGCAATTCTCCTCTTTCTGACTCTCTGTCTCTGTCATGATCCAGTTTTTCCCCAACTGTATCCTTTCCATCAGCATAAAGATATGCTATAATTTTCCCAGAAAGAGACAGAAGAAGGAATCTGCCTTGACCCCATATCCCCTCCAGGTCACCACCCATTCCTTTGGTCTTTATGGCAAAGCTCACAAGAGTTGTGTGCTCATGGGTTTCACATTTTGTTTTGAAACTCACTCTTGCTTCCACTGTTCTATGAAATGCCATGGTCAGGTTGGTCTGTGACTTCGTAGTCCTTATCTTCCTCTCTTTCCTCCTCGAAATGTCTTTTATTCCACTTGGTTTTCAGTTCACCATACTTTCCTGTTCCTTTTATTTAACGGGCTGCTTTTTCTCAATCCACTTTTCTGGCTTTTCTGTGTCTATAACTTCTTCACCTGGAAAGTCTCATGCCTCCGTCTTTAAAATTCTCTATTTGCTTTTACTCCCTTATTAGTTCATCTGGTTTCATGGCTTTAAATACCACCTATAAGCTGCGACCTCTACTCTGAGCTTTGAACTTAAAGATCTAACTGTCTAGTGGAAATTTCCATTTGGATGTCCAATAGGCATCTTAAACATATGTCCAAAGTAAACTCAAGATCTTTACTTCTAGATTTTGCTGCTTTTGCCATCGGCCCTTCTCTACAGGTGACAAATCATTCTTCCAGCTACTCAGGCCAAATCCTTGGAGTCTCTTTCTCTTAATTCCCATATGGATTCCTTCTGCAAAGCTGTTGGCTCCAGCTTCAGAGTAGCTCCAGAATCTGACTGTGCCTCACCACCTGTGCTACCACCACCCCTTGGAGAGGTTTTTGCGGTAGCTTCCTAATGGCTTCCGTGCGTATCTGTCTTGGGCCTAGTGAGTCAGAGAGAGTCTCTGACAATATGAGTCAGATCTTCCCACTTATTTGCTCCAAGTCCTCAGATGATGGTTTCTGTTTCAGTCTGGATAACAGCAAGAGTCCTTGCAGTGGCTGCTCACTCCTGCCCCATGTCTGATGCCTGCTGTCTCTTTGCTCTTCCCCCACTGAGCCCCTTCCCTTGGGGCATTTTTATTGTGTTTTCCTCCACCTTCTCTCTTCCAGGTCTTTACCTAAATACCCTTTCGTGGAGCTTTCCCCCACTCTGGAGTGAGCCTTGTGGATATCGATTGTATCACTAAGCCCTACCTCTGCTCTACGCTTCCCCTTTCCTGCATTATTTTTTTCTATAGCATTTTTTACTGTCTCACATGTTAAGTCTTTTAGTATATTGCCTGTCTCTCCACACTAGAACATGAACTCCAGGGATTTATTTATTTAATTATATTTATTGAGACAAGGTCTCACTCTGTCACCCAGGCTGGAGTGCAGTGACACAATCACGGCTCACTGTGGCCTCAACCTCCCGGGCTCAGGTGATCGTTCCCCTTTAGCCTCTTGAGTAGCTAAGACTACAGGCGCCCACCACCATACCCGGCTAATTTTTGTGTTTTTTGTAGAGACAAGGTTTTGCCATATTGCCCAGGCTGGTCTCAAACTCCTGGGCTTAAGCGATCTGCCAGCCTTGGCCTCCCATAGTGTTAAAATTACAGGTGTGAGCCACTGCACCTAACTGGGGCAGGGATTTTTGTAAATTACAGGTGGGAGCCACCGCACCTTATTGGGGCAGCGATTTTTGTTAGTTTTCTTTCCCTCTGTACCCTGATTCTATAATGTTGCTAGACACATGGTGGATATGTGGTAAACATTTGTCCCATAAGTAAATTAATAGATGAAAAACGCACATGATGGAGAGTTGTCATTTTACCATAGAAGTGAAAAAGGAAGAGGAAGTAAAATTTGGTGACAAGACCGGACAGAATCACTTGGAGAGATTTCTTAGGAAGGCCCATAGTGGAGACTGCCAAGGACACACCAACGTTGAGAGGCAGGAAGACCACGTGCACTGGAGTGTTAGTGAAGAGGCCGAAATAAGGCAGTTTTCCCCTTACTGTTATGGCCATGGAATATGAGTAATCAAGAACCATTTCTACTCCAAGACTCCTAAAGAGTAGCCCAACAGAAAGTCCCATTACATTAATTGTGGTAGAAAATCTTTTGTAATTCCTTCCTAGCATTAAGAGGATACACACACACACACACACGTACACACACACACGCACACTTAACATGTTTAAATGTTTAAGTAATGCAACGGCATTAATTGAAATAATCAGCTTTTGTGTGTGTATAGCCTATGGGTGTACTGGGTAACTTTGGAAGTAGTACCATAATGAAGAGAAATTATTTTTTGTTGTTTAAGTTCAAAACCTCCGGAGTTCTTTTAATTTATTTTAAAATATCATAGTCTTTGAACTTAATAATTCAACTCAGTTTCTTTAGATACGATTTTCATCTTCATGATAAAAAGTTAGTGTATCATTTCTTATGGCAGTTACTTTCCTGCTTGATTCTCATCTTTTCAGTGGTTCACACCTGTAATCCCAGCACTTTGGGAGGCCGAGGCAGGCAGATCACCTGAGGTTGGGAGTTCAAGACCCACCTGGCCAGCATGGTGAAACCCGGTCTCTATTAAAAATACAAAAATTAGGGGGTGTGGTGGCAGGTGCCTGTAATCCCAGCTACTTGGGAAGCTGGGGCAGGAGAATCGCTTGAACCTGGGAGGGGGAGGTTGCAGTGAGCCGAGATCACGCCATTGCACCCCAGCCTGGGCAACAGAGCGAGACTCCATCTAAAAAAAACGAAAAAGTCCTTGCCATTGAAGCTTGTATTAATTATTTATTCTTAAAAGCACAGATTATATTGTTGTTTCATTTTTGCTGGGTGTCAGATTGGAATACCTTTTTATCCTAAAAAATAAAAATAAAGGGATTGAAAAAAAACAAGACATGTCTTATACAAGCTTTTTGTAGAATTTGTGACCTGTCAGAAGCACTTAGTGTCATCATCAGTCCTTGAATTTTGCTGTTTATAACCAAGTTGAATTTGCCAGGGAATTTTATGAAGGTGCCAAGGTTTAGGGTGGCATTTATGGTTGCTTTTTTAGAGCAGTTGCTTCTTTAGACTATCTCAGAGTAGTAGTCTGTCAGAGACATTTTCAGTTATCATTGGCAAGGTGATTTGCTAATTTGGTCATTACATTCTTTCATATAACACACTTGATATATGGAAGCTCATGCCAGATTCTCTTCTGTCCTCTAAATTACTTTCATCTTGGCTTTCTCTAGGCATTCTTCTAGGTTCTGGCAATGACAATCCTACAAATACTATTTGCTGTTAGTTACGTCACTGAAGGGAGAATATTTTGAATTTATCAGACTCTGGGCCACTTTGAGAAATGTCTGGTATTAGCGTGAAAGTGATCAAATATAATCAAAAAACATTTGTGTCCAAGGATCTGAAATGGTCAGAAATTCCTTGTTATAATTTATTCAGCTTCTTGGGCCGTTATTCACAATTTATGACAATAAAATGTGGCCCATAGAAATTATTTTTTTGCAAGATGAAATGAGGTGACTGCCAGAGATATATGCTAATATAAAATCAGTAAATGAGGAATGCTTAGGAATAATGAACTATAGAATGAGTTAAATATCATATATTTTATGAAATATATATATAGAGAGAGTTATTCTATAAAAATGATCCAAATTGGCTGGGTGCAGTGGCTCACGCCTGTAATCCCAACACTTTGGGAGGCTGAGGTGGGCAGATCACCTGAGGTAAGGAGTTCAAGACCAGCCTGGCCAACATGGTGAAACACCGTCTCTACTAAAAATACAAAAATTAGCTGGGCGTGGTGGCATGCGCATGTAATCCCAGCTACTCGGGAGGCTGAGGCAGGAGAATCACTTGAACCTGGGCAGCAGAGGTCGCAATGAGCCGAGATCATGCCAGTGCACTACAGCCTGGGCAACAGAGCAAGACTCCGCCTCAATAAAGAAAAAAAAATCCAAATTTGTGTAGTAGAAGATGAATTTAATATACCCGAGCTACTTTCTCAACTACAACTTAGATAGGTGATGGTATTCCCAATAGTAGCTTATATAAACATAAAAGTTTAAAAATTATCTTAACATCTTATCTAGTTTAGATCTAGTAGCTTATATCTAAAGTAGAAAAAAGCCAAACCATTGTTTTAATTGTACCTAGCATTATATAATGTTCCTAAAGTTGATTATTTAACAATTTCTATCTTGCAGTCATTAGTAATGAAAGCATATTTGCATTTTCACAGTTTTGTTGGATCTCAAAAGTCTCACATTACTAGGTCAATAGCCATATTTTTGTGGATATGTCAGAAGTAAAAAGAAACTATTATTTTAATAATTATTAGCATTGCAAGTGGAATAGACATAGATACAGAGTTTTCGAGTATATGGGCTGACTCTCTCCTTTGTAGATAGTAACAGTGTTAGTTCATGCTGAAATAGATACATTAGAGATTTGAATGTCCTGGCTTCAGTTTTCAAATGCTTTCTGGAGTTTGCCTAATCAGCATTGGCTCTGTGGTGTACAGTAAGTAGTGTTTGCTTAGAGAGATGGAAACTGTTTGCTCTGTGAATTATTAGGAGATTTGGGCTTTAACAACAAAGTTGTTTGCCTAAGTGATTAGAAATAATTTATAGTATTTGAGTGACCTCACATTCTTTGTGATAGAGATCACTTTGGTCAAATTTAAAGTAATAAGTATAATCAAATTTTTAAAGAGCTTCTTGGATAATATTTTCTAATCAAACTTTTTTTTGGTTATATGGTAAATTAAAAGTTAAATGTAACATCAATCTGTTTATGTTAGAGGTATCTACTTCCAAATAGTACTCATTATGAGACTAAGTTTAGGACACTGAATTGTTTAGGGAGATAATTGTATTTCATCAATTATTTGAAGGGCTTGCAGATCTAATTGGAAATTTGTATTTGTTTTTAAAAATACATTTTATATTTTAAGTTAAATACTTAGTACCTCTCCTTTTATATATGAAGGCTGTCTTATATATTAAGAAAGTTGTAAGGACAGCTTAGTTATTGAATAAATACTGGACTTTGGGAAATTCTGTTATCTTGGAAGCAAAATATTTTTAATACCACACTAGTTTTTCAGCTTAAGAATAAAGCTGGGAAAAGTTGCCTTCAGCTATTAGTTTTCCTGAATCCAAAGAGACGGGTGGGGCAGGATCAAAAATACTTACTTGATCAAAGTTATTGGCTCTGAAGTTATTCTTACCTATGTAAGAAAGATGAAAGGTGTTGTTTTTATTGCATGTTAGTTAACAGTGTAATTTTGAACTAATTGGTGTTGAACTGCCAATCACCTAAGGGGAATGCAAATAGATACTCTTACAATTTCCTTTGAGGTAGTGAAATCTTATGTTGGGGCTGGAAGAAAAACAGAATAATACCATTAAATTGACCTTAAATGAGCTGCTTTGTGGTTTTCTTGGAGAATCCCTTTTTATTTCTTGTGACTTGTCTAAACAGGTTTTGTCTACCAGTTTGACTTATTGACTAGACAATGCTGACACTGGACATTTTAGATTCATTTGGAAATAAAGTAATGATAATGCAGTTCCTCGGGATATTTTAAATTTTTGGTATAACTTAAATCCACATAATGCCTCAGTATTTGTTTGCAGTATGTCATAATTTCTTACGATAGTCATTGTTTCCTTCTGGTCATTTATAATGAAATATTTACTCAAAAAAGCTTACATTTCTCCCTTAGGTATTGCTCTATTATAATAAAGAGTGGTCTTGTCCTTGAATAATGTGTCATCTCAGATGAATCTAGTCATTTAATAAAAGTATGATTTATTTGAGGACAACAAGAATGTAGTTTTGATTTTTATATGCAAGTCAGTCAGTATTTATTAATTACCTATTGTGTGCCTAGTGTTATATCACCTGCAAATAGAAGCACAGCATTTCAGAAATGCCATTTTAGTTATTTTCCTTTGAAGAATCATACATTGAGTGGTCTAGACATTTGTATTGAGCTCTGTAAACATACCCACAAAGTAGGCATTTTTGTCTTTTCACTTAATTTCAAATTGGCATCAGGAATACTTTCTATTCTGATGTCCATTCTCTTTTGAAATTCTAAATACTCATGAGCTTATTTTTTCTACCCTTCAGCTGGTTACCAGAATAATAAATCTTTGCATGAATGGGGAATGAATGTAGTTTGGAATTGTATTTCCAGTCAATGAGATATACAAGTTAAATGAGCATTAATTACAGATACACAGTTTAATTGATAAAGAATGGAGATAAAAGTAAAATATATTTATTACTAAGACTATTATGTAGTTTAAACTTTGATTCAAAGACACCTGAAAACCTTACAGAGCTGTGCTGTCTTTCTGTAAATCACATTATATGGAAATACTCATTCGTTATGTAACTTAATTGCTTCCCCCTTTGCTGTGGCTGCCAGAAACTCAAAACTAACTTTGTAATCAAAGTTTAGTAGCTTGTGTCACATTACCTGAATATTTCTGTACTAGCTTTATCCCTCCTCTCATAAATATATCAATTATATATTAACAAGTAAAGTGATAAAACTCATGAACTCTGAAAACACTATAAAACGTTTCAGTGGATTTGAGATCTCAGGTTCTTTGAAAGAGAGGGTATTCGATTGCTGTCTCTTCAGTGATGGGCAGAAGTGAGCAAGGAGCTGCAAAGGGAATGGGATTTACTTCTCCTAGAAACCTGGGATAAGACTGGAATTTTGTGATTCCCCAAAGGGGCTTAGAAAAAGAGGCCTCTGAATTCCCTTAGTGAGATTGCATTTGCCCCTGTGTTGCAAAGGTTTGTCTGATCTTGCTGGCCTTGCGTTGTTGTTCTGAATCCTCCTTTCAGTCTCTCCCTTTGAGAAAGGACCACTCTTTGCACCTAGAGAGACCCAGCGAGGTTTCCTCCTCCTAAATCAGTTTTTCTGGCCAGTTGGTCCCTAGCCCCTAGGAACATAATTGAATTGCTGTACCTTTTAGCTGGTTTGTCACTGTTTGAGGGAGTGTCTGACCTGATTAGAGATGAAGGGAACAACAGAGGTGGATAGAGAAAAATTACCAGTTGTTTAAGGTTCAGTGAAGAAGACCAAGATAGATATCTAGAACAAGTGGTTCCCACTTGAGTTAACAATTAATGGGAGAGACAAATAAGAATTCATACCTAATCCTCAAAAGTAGTAAGAATGTCCAAGGAAATGTCATTAGAACAGAAAAAGACTGATGCTGAGAACTTGAAAAAAATAAAAAGCTTAATAGACAAACAAAAAAAGAAATAGTCTTTGTGGTAGTCAGAATAATGGTTTCCTAAAGATGTCCAAGTCCTAATCCCCAGACCTTGTGAATATGTTACCTTACATGGCAAAGGTGACTTTGCATATGGGATGAAGTAAAGGATCTTGAGATTATTCTGGATTATGTAGTGGGCCCACTGTACTCACAAGAGTTGGTATAAGTGAAGGCTGAGATGGTCAGAGAAGGAGACATTGGTAATGGAAGAAGAGGTCGGAGTGACTCAAGGAAGGGACCATGAGCCAAAGAATGCAGGTGGCCCTCAAGGGCTAGAAAAGACAAGGAAATGATTTCTCCCCTAGAGTCTCCAGAAGGATTATAGTCCTGCTAACACTTTGATTTTAGGACTTCTCACTTCCAGAGCTGTAAGACAATAAATTTATGTTGTTTTAAGCCAGAAACTTTATGATAATTTGTAGCAGCAGCAGCAGCAATAGCATACTAATATAGTCCTTCAAAAATTGAATTAATCATCTTGCAGAATCAAGGGGAAGAACTATTTTGTGTCACACACCAAAAGTACAAAAAGAAGGAAAGTATTAATGAAAAATAGACGTGAAGTGCAGAGCTAAGATACTGAATGTAAATAATAGGCATCTAAAAGGAGAGAAAAGAACAAGTAGGAAAAGTAGGTAAATAAAAAATAGAAGAAAATATCAATGAGCTTAAGAAAGACTTGAGTTCAGGTTAAAAGGCCACACACTCCTAGGCAAGATTATTCAATAGAAAATCAAAAAGATTTGGATTTAGTTTGTAAGATTCCTGAATTCCAAGAACAATGGAAAAAAAAAAAAGCCCTTACAAACTTTCACATAGAAAAATTCCAGACAAAGAAGAGAGAGATCAACATCAAGCTTCCCATTTGCAACCTGCTACTGGTTGCTGAATAGTACCCATAGTTGTAAGGGAGGAATAAAGACTGCAGTTGAAAACTCAGCTGAGTGTGGCGGCACGCACCTGTAGTCCCAGCTACTCGGGAGGTGGGAGTATACGCTCGAGCCCAGAAGTTCGAGTCCAGCCTGGGCAGTAATATAAAGTGAGACCCTGTCTCTTAAAAAAAAAATTCATATATTCCCAAAGATGTCATTCATCTGTTATGCATTCCCTCATTTGTTCGTTTTATATCTGTATATTGAGCACCTAATTTGTGCCAAGCACTATTCTAACTTCCATATTGAAAGAAACATTTGGTAACAGTCTTGAACTAAATATTGTTAAAACTGTCGCAGCAAGATCCAGGAGTTGGGGGCATGGGTGGGCAGCAGTGAGAGAATGATTAAAGCGTTGTGAGAGCTTCACTTTGGTGTGGGGTAAGTTACTCAGAAAAGCATCCCTGTAGGGCTAGGACTGTGTGATGCTGATATTATAATGAAAAGTATATCTAAGTATGAGTATTAAAAATGTGAAAGTAACCATTGAACTGCCAAATTAACATGGGCAAAAAGGATAAACTAAAGTTTCACTAGCTGGGAAAGAAGAAAATGAAGAAATAAAGAACAAATATAATGAGCAGAAATTACAGAGTTACATAAAAAGAGAAAGAGCACCAGTCTTCCTGTCAACTTGAGGATGGCAGTACTTTTAGTCCCTTGATGTCACTGTTGAGCTGCTGGAAAATCCTCTTTGAAGTTTGCTCTGTGTCTAAACTTCTCATTATATGAAATTATTTCCTCATTTTTAAGCTACTTTGAGTTTAGTTTTCTGATTCAGTATATAGTGTCCTAATAGATACACCCCCTTTTACGGATGAAAACACTGAGGTTCAGAGAGGCATAAACCTAAAAAGATGAGAAGTTGAGAGGAGAAAATCACAATAAAATTTTGGAATTTAGAAGACCTGAGAAAATTTAGCGGACTTAAGTAACCAGTTTCACAGACCCAAGGAAGCTAAATCGTAAGTCATTTGTGCTTGATTTATAAATTTATACCCCAGAATCCCCAAAAGTCCCAAAAAGTGGCACCACCAGACGAAGTAGAGTGAGCTACTTCATAAGAGAATTGATTGGAAATCCTGTTTATATAATGGTTTGATTGCCACATCTTTTCGCTCCATCCAAGGTACCAATTTTCTAAAGGTTTGTATCATGAAGGGATGTTGAATTTTATCAAATGCTTTTCAGTATCAAATGAAATGATCATATGGTTTTTGTCCTTCATTCCATTGATATGATGTATCACATTGGTTGATTTGAATATGTTGAACCACCCTTGCATCTCGGATAAATCCAACTTCATCATGAATGATCTTTTTAATGTGTTGTTGAATTCGGTTTGCTAGTATTTTGTTGAGGACTTTTGCATCAATATTCATCAGAGATGTTGGTCTGTAGTTTGCTTTCTTTGATGTGTCTTGGTATCAGGGTATTACTGGCCCCTTAACAAGAGTTTGGAAGTATTTCCTCCTCCTCTGTTTTTCAGAGTAGTTTGAATAGGATTGGTATTAGTTCTTTTTTAAATGTTTGGTAGACTT
Source organism: Homo sapiens (assembly GCF_000001405.40). Classification (NCBI taxonomy): domain Eukaryota; kingdom Metazoa; phylum Chordata; class Mammalia; order Primates; family Hominidae; genus Homo; species Homo sapiens. Next base: position 156,742,667 of record NC_000007.14, on the reverse strand, counting down.
CAGCAGTGAAGCCACCAGGTCCTGAGGTTTTCTTTATTGGGAAACTTTTTATTACAGGTTTGATCTCGTTACTTATTAATGGTCTGTTTAGGTTTTAGATTTCTTCGTGGTTCAATCTTGGTAGGTTGTATGTGTCTAGAAATTTGTCCATTTTTTTCTAGATTTTCCAGTGTATTGACATGTAATTACTCACAGTAACTACTAACCATCCTTTGAATTTCTGTGATGTCAGTTGTAATGTCTTCTTTTTCATCTCTGATTTTATTTGGATCTTCTCTTTTTTTTCTTGGTCTGGCTAAAGTTTTGTCAACTTTTCAAAACAACTTTTTGTTTCATTGATCTTTTGTATTCCTCATTTCAATTTTATTTATTTCTGCTTTGATCTTTATTATTTCTTTTATTAATTTTGGGTTTGGTTTAATCTTGCTTTTCTAATTCTTTAAGATGCATCATTAGATTATTTGAAGTTTTTTCTCTTTTTTTATATAGACACCTGTAGCTATAAACTTCCCTCTTAGTACTGCTTTTGCTGCATCCTGTAGGTTTTGGTATGTTGTGCTTCCATTATCATTTGTTTCAATAAAGTTTTCAATTTACCCCTTAATTTCTTCATTGACCCACTGGTGATTCAGGAGCATTTTGTTTAATTTCCATGTGTTTGTATAGTTTTGAAAATTCCTCTTGTTGATTTTTTGTTTTATTCCATTATGGCCAGAGAAGATACTTGACATTATTTCAATTTTTTGAATGTTTTAAGACTTCTGTTGTGACCTAACATATGGTCTGTCCTTGAGAATGATCCTTGTGCTGAGGAGAAGGATGTTTATTCTGATATCCATTAGATGAAATGTTCTGTAAATATCTATTAGGTCCATTTGTTGTACAGTACAGATTAAGTTTGATGTTTCTTTTTGATTTTCTGTTATTGGAAGATCTATCCAATGCTGAAAGTGGGGTGTTGAAGTCTCTAGCTGTTATTGTATTGAGGTATTTCTCTTTAGCTTTAATAATATTTGCTTTATATATCTGGATGCTCCATTGGTGCATATATCTTTACAATTGTTATACCCTTTTGCAGAATTGACCCCTTTATCATCATGTAGTGACCTTCTGTGTCTCTTCTTACATTTCTTGTCTTGAAATCTATTTTGTCTGATATAAGTATAGCTACTCCTGTACTTTTCTTGTTTGCATTAGCATGGAATATCTTTTTCTATGCCTTTATTTTCAATCTATTCGTATCTGTATAGGTAACGTGTATTTCTTTTAGGCAACAGATAATTGGGTTTTGCTTTTTTATCCATTGAATCACTATGTCTTTTGATTGGAGAGTTTAGTTCATTTACGATCAGTGTTATTATTGATAAGTAAGGACTTCCTCCTGCCATTTTGTTACTTCTTTTCTGGTTGTTTTGTATAGTCTTCTCTTCTTTCCTTCCTGTCTTCCTTTTAGTGAAAGTTATTTTCTCTGGTTGTAGGATTTAATTTCTTGCTTTTTATTTTTTGAGTATCCATTGTATGTTCTTCAATTTGATGTTATCATGAGGCATGCAAATACTATCCTATAACCCATATTTTAAACTGAGGGCAACTTAACACATTGCAAAAACAAACAAGCAAAAAGAAAACTAATACAGACTCTACACTTTAACTTCGTCCCCACACTTTTAAACTTTTTGTTGTTTCTTTTTATGTCTTACTGTACTGTCTATGTCTTGAAAAGTTGTTGTAGTTATTATTTTTGATTGGTTCGTCATTTAATCTTTCTACTTACGATAAGAGTAGTTTACACACCGTAATTACAGTGTTATAATATTCTGTGTTTTTCTGTGTTTACTTATATTACCAGTGAGTTTGTGTATCTTCAGGTGATTTCTTATGGCTCATTAACATTCTTTTCTTTCCTATTGAAGAACTCCCTTTAGCATTTCTTGTAGGACAAGTCTAGTGTTGATGAAATGCCTCAGCTTTTGTTTGTCTGGGAAAGTCTTTATTTCTCCTTCATGCTTGAAGGATATTTTCACCAGATATACTATTCTAGGGTGTAAGTGTTTTTCCCTCAGCACTTTATACATGTCATGCCACTCTCTCCTGGCCTGCAAGGTTTCCACTGAAAAGTCTGCTGCCAGGTGGATTGGAGCGCCATTGGATGTTACTTGTTTCTTTTCTCTTGCTGCTTTTGGGATCCTTTCTTTATCCTTGACCTTTGAGAGTTTGATTATTTGAGGTAGTTGTCTTTGAGTTAAATCTACTTGGTGTTCTATAACCTTCTTGTTCTTAAATGTTGATATCTTTCTGTAGGTTTGGGAAGTTCTCTAATATTCTCCCTTTGAATAAACTTCCTACCTCTCTCTCTTTCTCTGCCTCCTCTTTGCTGCCAATAACTCTTAGATTTGCTCCTTTTAGGCTATTTTCTAGCTATCGTAGGCATGCTTCATTCTTTTTGATTCTTTTTTCTTTTGTCTCCACTATGTATTTTCAAACAGCCTGTCTTCAAGCTCACCAGTTCTTTCTTCTGCTTGATCAGTTCTGCTATTAAGAGACTGATGCATTCTTCAGTTTGTCAGTTGCATTTTTCAACTCTACAATTTCTGCTTGATTCTTTTTTATTATTTCAATCTCTTTGTTAAATTTATCTGATAAAATTCTGAATTTCTTCTCTGTATTATCTTGAATTTCTTTGAGTTTCCTCAAAACAGCCATTTTGAATTCTGTCTGAAAGGTTATATATTTCTCTTTCTCCAGGATTGGTCCCTGGTGCCTCATTTAGTTTGTTTGGTGAGGTCATGTTTTCCTGGATGGTCTTGACGCTTGTGGATATTCGTCAGTGTCTGGGCATTGAAGAGTTAAGTATTTATTGTAGTCTTCACAGTCTGGGCTTGTATGTGCCTGTCTTTCTTGGGAAGGCTTTCCGGATATTCAAAGGAACTCGGCCCTCAAGCCCAATAATGCTGTGGTTCTTGCAGACGAATGCCTCAGTGGGTTTAGATAAGATCCAGAAGAATTCTCTGGATTACCAGGAAGAGACTCTTGTTTTCTTCCCTTACTTTCTCCAAACAAATGGCATCTCTGTGTGCTGAGCTTCCTAGAGCTGAGTTGGGGTGATGCAAGCACTCCTGTGGCCACCAACACTGGGACTACGCTGGGTGAGACCTGAGGCCAGCACGGCACTACGTCTCACTCAAAGCCCACTGTAAACACTGCTTGGCTACTGCCTGTGTTCTCTCAAGGCCCTAGGGCTCTACGATTAGTAGTGGGGGAAGCCAGCCAGGTTTGTGTCCTAACCTTCAGGGTGAAAAGTTCCCTCAGACCCAGGGCAGGTCCAGAGATGCTGTCTGGGAGGCAGAGTTTGAAGTCAGAAACTTTAGAAATCTAGTTGGTGTTCTGTTTTACTGCAGCTAAACTGACCCTCAAACCATAAGACAAAGACCTTCCTATTCTTCCCTGCTCCTGCCACTGCCAGCCCATGGGGAGTTCTGCCAGGCCACTGCCAGTGGTCACTTAATGTCCAGAGGCTCTGCAGTCAGCTTGTAGTGAATGTTGCCAGGCCTGGGACTCACCCTACAGGGTAGTGGGCTCCCCTCTGTCCCAGGGCAGGTCTAGAAATGCTGTTCAATAGCCTAGGCCTGGTTTCGGGGGCCCCAAGAGCCCACCTGATACTCTACCCCACTGTGGCCAAGCTAGTACCTAAGCTGCAAGACAAAGTACTCTTTACTTTTCCTTCTGCTTTTCTCAAGCAGAAGGAGTCTTTCAGTGTAGCCACCACAGCTGGGAATATGCTGCATCAGACCTGAAGCCAGCATGTCTCAGAGTCTTCCCAAGCAAGGCCCATGGCATACTAGCTATATGTCACTCCTGGATCTTTGGGGCCCAAGGGCTCTTTAGTCAGTAGGTGATGGATCCTCCCAGAACTGAGTCCCCCACTTCAAGGTAGCAGGTTCCCTTCTGGCCCAGGGTGTGTCTAGAAATGTCATCCAGAAGCTAGGGCCTAGAATGGGGCCCTCATGACTGTGCCCAGTACCCTATTGTACTGTGGCTGAGCTGGTATCCAAAATGCAAGACAAAGTTCTCTTTACTTTCCTCTCTTCGAGCAGAAGGAAGGAGTCACTTTCCTTGCTGTGAGCTCTGCTGCCTGGGGTTGGTGGAGAGGTGGTGCAACCTCTCCCTTAGCCACTGTGTCTGGTACATGCTGCCCTAGTCCACTGGCTCTAAGCCCAGCCCAGCAGCAGGACTTGCCTAGGAATTGCAGTTCTTGTGTCCTAGACTGCTTTTCAAGTTTACTTAGGACCCCAGAGCACTGTAGCCCGTTGTGGTGAGGCTTGCTGAGAAGCTCAAGTTTTGACCACTGGGATGGGGAATTTCTTTCTGGCTAGGGCTGGTCCACATGCTCCTTCTGTGGGCATGCAGTGGTTGAGCCCAGCACAGCTTTACTGTCTGCTGTGACAGGGCAGCATTGGTGCAATTCTATGTCCCCCATTTGTTGTGCTCTCCCTCCCCCAAGTACACAGATTCTCTCTCCACACTACACGGCCGCTGCTGGGGGATGGAAGAGGGGTTGGCATCGGCAGTTCAAGGCTGTCTTTTCTACCCTCTTCAGTGCCTCTTTCAGGTGTATGAAGTTAAAACCAGGTACTGTGAGTGCTCACCTGGTTTTTAGTTCTCATGACAGTGCTATTTTGTATGTAGTTGTTAAAATTTGGTGCTTCTGCAGCAGGGACAATCGGTAGAGGCTTCTATTTGGTCATCTTGCTCCGCCCTCCTACTGCTTCAGTCTTAAATATGAGCAGACAACTAAGGCTCACCACATATCCAAGGAAAGCCTCCCATATGCATCAAACAGGAGAGCTTGGAGGAGATGAAATATGCATGGGAGAAGAATGTCTCAAAACAAATCCGTCAATATCCTGGCAGAGATAGAGATGACATTCATGAGAAAGACCAGGTTCCATAAAAATGGGATATTCAGTGAGCAGAAAAGGATCCTTGAAATTTAGAAATAACATAGCAAAAAGATTAGAAGATAAAGAACTTTTACAGAAGATAGGTCAAAATGGCAAAAATAGGTAAAATAGGAGAGAATAGTTAAGAATATTAGAGAACCAGCTCAGGAGATCCAGTGTCCAACTTAGAGGAGTTCCAAATTGAGGAGAGAAAATGTGGTGGAGGAAATGACAAAATGAAGATTTCCCAGATCTAAAGGACATGAATTTGGAGATTGAAAGGGATCATCTAGTGCCCAACACAGTACATGAAAATGGACTCTCATCAAGAACACTGGGGACAAAGATCCTACATAGTTTAAAAGGGAAATGACAAGCAGCTCACATTCAAAAAGACAGGAATAAGAATAGCTTCAGACTTCTCAAAAGCAAATCTAGAAGCAGGAAGACAATGAAGCAATGCCTTCAGAATTCTGAAGGAGAATTAGTTTTGACCTTGATTTTTTATACTTAATCAAACTATAATGTAAGAGCAAAGGTACAGTATTCAGACTTGTATAGTCTTTAAAAATTTACCTCACATTCACCTTTTCTTAGCAAGCCACTGGAGGATACACACCATCGAAGCAAGGGAGTAAATCAAGAAAAGATACGGGCTGCGTAGGAAACAAGAGATGCTCCACAGGAGACGCGGGCAGGCAGTCCCGGGGTGAAAGGGTGCAGGAGGCACAGAGGGCAGTCCATCTGGGGTGGGCAGGTCTAAAGACACTGGGGGAAATTTCTTCAAGAGAGTGAAGTTGATAGTATAACTGAGGAATAGAAAAACCAGGAGAAAATAAAGACCTTTGGCAGGATGTTTTGGGTTTGAATTTGTGTTAAGTACATAGAAAATTAAGTAAAAGAAAAATTATTGCTAATTCTAGGGGTGGGAAGAATGTTAAGGAAAGAAGGAAAGCTGGTCATAGTTTGCTATGTGGATAGGCATTTTGGTTGTTATAATAATGTAGACATTGAATATCAATCTAGCTAAAATGAGCATTATGGCCATATTGAGAGAAAGGGAGGAGTGAAGAGGTGTGTGGCTCAGACACTTGTGTCCTCACCTGCCACAGTGGGAATGCTTTGTGCGGGAAATCCAGAAGTTGCAACAGGAAGACAAGTGCCAGAAGAACAAGCTGGACAGCTACTTTTGGGAAAATGGATTCAGGAGGGAGGAGACATGATAGCAAACCCACGTATGTGTTTGACACTTTGAGCTATGTGCATGCTTCATCTTGATAAAGATAAAACCTTTAAAAAAATCACTTAAGTAGTATAGAAAGTATAAAATAAAGTTTATCAGCTATTATACTAAATAATGAATGCAAGCTCTATATTTTACTAAGTGTAAATGGGCTGAATTTGACTGTTAAAGAACAGTTTATCAGATTGGATTATTCAACCTGTATTTATCATTTTTGCTACAAGCATCTATTGCCCTTTCTTCTAGTAAAGTACCTGATTTGGATTTGCGGATTTCCCCGGTTAGATGAGATTGGCAGAACTGCTCATCAAAGTTCACGGCTCTCCAAGAAACTGACATGTGACTCTAAGCTATGCCATTAGGACGTCTGCTTCCTAGACTTTTATTCTTCCTCATAGTGACATACAGACTGGGAGTACTCGGGACTGAGTCATCCCAGCTATTACAATATGAGGAAACTGTCCATCTGTTCTGCCACCTGGACCTCTTCGCTACCCATTTGCTCTACTTTCTTTACTGGAAAATTTTCCTACTGGTTCTATCTTACGAATTCCTTTTCTGTTTTAACTAGTGAGTCTATTTCAGTTGCCTATAGCCAATGAACTCTAACTGATACAGTTGAAACCTCCAATAAGATTCAGCTGGATAAGAGAAAAAGAAAGATTAAAATGAAAGGTGTGTGTATAAATGTATGTAAGTAAGCAAGCAAGATAGGTAAAAACAAAAAGAAAGCAGAACTTAAAATCCACAAAACAGAATTTAAGTTGAAAGGCATTAGAAACAAACAGGGTCATTATGAAATGATAAAATATATGATTCATAAGGAAGATGTAACAGTCTAGGATGAAAAACAAAAACAAAAACAAAAAAACCCTAGCAAACAGAACCTCCCAGTCTCAGCAGTCAAATACAATTGCATAATGAAAAAAAAAAAAACACCACTCTTAAAAACTGAGAGAACTTAAAGTACAGTTGTAGTGGGTATTTTAATTTCTCTGTTTCAGAATTTAACAGGTAAAATATAAAGAATACGAAGATCCACCATTAGAGAAACAAGCAGAAAACAGGAATAGGGAAAATTCAGGTGATAAATGCATAGAAATATGTCCAACCACATTTAGGGAAATGCATGTTAAAGTAACAGGAAGAAAACATTTTCCACCCATCACATTGGTAGAATTCAAGAGTTATAACATCCAGTGCTGAAGACGATACTGGAAAATAGATACTTTCAAAGCTATTGATAGAAATGTAAATTATTACAATAGTTTAAGTTATTACAATATTTGGGGGAAGTAACCTTCTATAAATGTTCATACCCTACTCAGCAATCTAAGTTTTGGGAATCTGTCTTACAGAAATAATTAGAACCAAAATGTACTGGATGGGCATACAAGAATGTTTATTGCAACACTGTTTCTAGTGGCAAAAAGTTGAAAACTTGAATATGTGTAAAGGGAATAAAGTTGTAGTACATCTGTACTATGGAATGTTATTCAGCTGTCAACTTGGACATATAATTGACTAGGAAAGCAAATGGTAAAGTAATAGGTCTGACCCCATTCGTGTAAAACATGTAATAAAAACCATGCATATGATACATATGTATGTGTGAATGTGCTTCTGAATGTGAAGAAAGGTATGGAAGCATCAGCCAAGCTGTTCACAATTGTCATTTTAAGGAGGTGAGATAGAGAAGAGAAGATCTTGATTTTTTTCACTTTCTATAGTAAGCCCAAGTTGCTTTTGTAATTAAGAAAAGATTATTAATAGATCAAATTAGAACTTTACCACGTTAAGAAATTTTCTAGGAAACATGTAGCATTTATTTTTAATATTCTTATTTCAATAGGTTTTGTGGTACTGGTGGTTTTGGGTTACATGGATGTATAGTGGTGTGATCTGAGATTTTAATGTACCCATCACTGGAGTAGCATACGTTGTACCCAATATGTCGTTTTTTATCCCTTGCCTCCATCCCAACCCTCTCCCTTCTGACTCTCCATAGTCCATTATATCACTCTGTGGAAACGTGTAGTGTTTAATCAGCAAGAAGTTTTAATTGGTAAATATATGGATGTGCTTTCCTCTGAATCACAGCAACATTTCTTGTTATTTTTGATTAGCAGGATTTGCCATGTGTTATTTTAGATTTTAATTAAAGGGCTACCTGTTCTATAGTGTTAGGGGTTCTGTTTTACTTCTAAATATTTTTTGCTTTGAACAGGGCTGTCTTCATCGGTGGAATACAACATAATGGAGTTGGAACAAGAACTTGAAAATGTAAAGACTCTTAAGACAAAATTAGGTATTGTACTTTTTTTTTCTTGACTTGTGTATTGGCCTTGGTTTCTTATTAAAGACTTTACTGTAGTCTGAAATATTAGAAAATTTATGAAATCTTTATGTTAAAACTTTTGACCTGCCCAAAATCATTAATAAAGACTATCTTACAGTTTGGGGAGAGGATAAGTTTACATTTATTCACTTTTTTTGGTTTTATATATATACAAAATGACTTTTCAAAGGTTCACAGGTTCAAAGATGTTGCTCCATTGCCTTCTCACTTGCATTATTTCCAACAAGTCATCTGTCATACTTATCTTTTAATGTGTCTTTTTTCTGTATCTGCTTTTAAGATGTCTTTATTGTTGATTTTGAACAATTTGATTGTGATACGCCTCAGAGTAGTTTTCTTCATGCTTCTTAGAGCTAGGAGGTTATAGTTTTCAACTAATTTGGAAATTTTTTGACCATTACTTCTCCAAATATTTTTTCTTTTCCCCTCATGCTTCCCTTTTCAGGGACTCCAGTTACATGTATTTTAGGCTATAGCTGAAGGATGTTCCTTTATTTTTCAGTTTTTTTCTTGCTGTATTTCATTTTGATTAGCGTCTATAGCTGTGTCTTCACTTTCACCAATCTTGTGCATGTCTAATCTGCCTTTAATCTCATCTAGTGGTTTTTGCTTTTTTTTTGTTTTTCTACCATCTGCAGTTTTCATCTCTGGGGGCCTGTTTGGGCCTGTTTTGTATCTTCTATTATGTCTCTAACACGTTCAATCTGTGTCCTCCCTCTTTGTGAAAATATAGAATATAGTTATGACAACACTTACAATGTTTTTGTCTGCTACTTCTAACATTTGTGTTAGTTCTTGATATGTTTTGATTGATTGATTTTTTTACCTCATAATCACTGGTATTTTCGTGCTTCTTTGCATGCCTGGAAACTTTTGATTAGAAAATAGGTATTTTGAATTTTACCTTGTCAGGTGAGATTTTACCCTTGTTGGGTGCCTCACTTATAGTATTTCTTTTTGTTTTGTTTTGTTTTGTTTTTTAAGACAGAGTCTCACTCTGTCGCCCAGGCTAGAGTGCAATGGTGCGATCTCAACTCACTGCAACCTCCGCCTCCCCGGCTCATGTGATCCTCCCACTTCAGCCTCCTGAGTAGCTGGGACCACAGGTGCATGCCACCACAGCTTGCTAATTTTTTGTGTTTTTGGTAGAGTTGGGGTTTTGCCATGTTGGCCATGCTGATCTCAAACTCCTGGGCTCAAGTGTTCTGCCCACGTCAGCCTCCCAAAGTACTGGGATTACAGGCATGAGCCACGATGCCTGGCCACTTATAGTAGCTGTGTAAGTGAGGAACTTTGTTCTGAAATGTAGTTAAGTTACTTGGAAACAGTTTGATATTATTGTATCTTGTTCTGAAGACTTTTTAGGCTGGACCAGGGGATCATTGCCTCTAGGGTTAAGTATTCCCCACTGCTCAGGCAAGACCCTTCCACAGATTCTATCCAATGTCCTGTGATTGATGACATTCTGTACTGTCTTGTGGAAGAAGCAACTATTTTTGGCCTTTTGTGATTGTTGAGTGCTGTTTCTTTTCATATTTTGGGGTGGTTCTTTCTTTAGCCCTGGGTTGTTTCTTCACATGCCTGAGCCGATATACTTGAGAATTTTTTATGAATTCTTTACTGAATACTCAAGGGTGACTCTTTGCAGATCCTTGGAGTTCTTTTTCTGTGCTTCAGTCTCCTGTCTGGCACTTTGCTGCACAGACTCCAGCTGACATAGTCTCCCCAGATTCCCATTTCATGCTCTCAACTCAAGGGATGAGCTGGGCTCAGCTTGTGTTCCTCCTTCCTGCATCACGGCCTGGAAACTCTCAAGACAGTAAGCTGGGTCAGAAAGGGCTTGTGTGGTTTGTTTCCTGTGTCTCAGGCATCATTGTTCTTCCACGATCAGATGTCCAGTGTCTTGAAAACTGTTGTTTCATTATCTGTGTACTTTTTGGTTTCTTAATTGTTTCAAGCTGGATGACACACCTGGTCCCTGTTGTTGCCGCAGCTTCAGAAGTGGAAGTCCAGTGTTATGTTCTTGAAAATCAAATACGATGTTCATTTATTTTCATTTCTGTTAATAATATTTCCTGAAGTTACTTCAGTCATCCTGCTGTTGGTGGATATTAGATTTGCTTCTAGTTTTTTGCTGTTACAAATAATGTTGTTATAATCATTCTGGTATGTAACTCTTGGTATATATGTTTTTTCAGGGTACATACTAGATATGGAATTACAAGATCATTGTATATGTGCCTGTGCAACTTTTGTAGATAAAGCCAAATAGTTTTCTCACATAGTTGTATTAGTTTGCATTCCTGCTGGGCATGAGTATTATACTTGACAATGTTGGACTTTAAAATTTTTACTGACTTAGTGGATGTGAAGTGGTGTTTCTTTGGTATTCTAATTCATATGTTCCTGATTTGTATTTTTATTTTTACATTTCTAATGTTCATTTAGCTTCTGTTTGAAAAACACAGGTTTGCTGGCAATAGATTCTGTCAGTTTTTGTTTATTGGAAAACATACTAAAAATTTTTGTTTGGTAGCTATCAGCATTGGAAAGATGTTGTTCTACTGTCTTCTGGTTTCTTGTTAAAAGTCATGTTGTTGCTCTTTCAAAGGGCTTTAAAGATTTTCCTTTTGTCTTTGTTTAGCAATTTTACTCTGATATGCTTAGATTTGGTTTTCTTTGTATTTATCTTTCTTGAAATCTATGTGTCACTTCATGATACTGTGGCTTGATGTCTTTTATCTATTTGGGAAAATCTTGGCCATTGTCTTATCAGATATTGCTTCTGCTCCATTCTCTCTTATTTCCTTAGGCTGCAGTTACACACATGCTAGGCTTTTTCATTCTTATATTCTTTTCTGTATTTATCTCCTTTTTATCTTCATGCTTCAGTCTGATATTTTCTCCTGGTCTGTCTTCCATTTTGCTTTCTTTCAGCTATGTCATAACTATTGTTAAAACTATTGAATTCTTCACTTTAGTTACATTATTTTTCAGTTCTAGATTTTCTGTTTATTTTTTATAGATTTAAATTTACTTGCAAAATTTTCCATTTATCACTTATTTTATTGAATATGTTAATCATTTATTTTAAAGCATCTTTCTGATAAATCCAATACATGGATCACCTGGAGGTCTGTTTCCATTGTCTTTTTTTTTCCCTCTTTTTCCATTTATTTATTTATTTATGAAATGGAGTTTCGCTCTTGTTGCCCAGGCTGGAGTGCAGTGGCCTGATCTCAGTCCACTGCAACCTCCACCTCATGGTTCAAGTGATTCTCTTGCCTCAGCCTCCCGAGTAACTGGGATTACAGGTGCATGCCACCATGCCTGGCTAATTTTTTGTATTTTTAGTAGAGACGGGGTTTTACCATGTTGGCCAGGCTGGTCTCAAACTCTTGACCTCGTGATTGGCCTGCCTTGGCCTTCCAAGTCCTGGGATTACAGGCGTGAGCCACCGTGCCTGGCCTCTTTTTCCCATATCTGGTAATGTTTAATTGAATGCCAGATATTTCTTATACAAAACTATAGAAACTCTGCATGGTGTTTTCTTCTTTTTGGGAGGATGTACTTTTGCTTCTGGTAGACAGTTACGGTAGGGACGTATCAGTCTAATCCATTAGGCTTGAGATCATTCAAGGCCAGGCTTCAGTCTTTATGACGACCGGTCCATTTCCACTTTGTCCTTCCTTCATACTAGGATATAGCTTTTCATTGGTCCTAATTGAAAGCCTAGTTCATTAGTTATTGACTATGACCTCATTTTCTTAATGAATTTTAGTTTTTACCTCTCAAGAAACATGAGCCTGACAGAAGCTTTGCTTGGCTTCTCAGCCTCATAGTTGCATCTTTCTGTTGTTCTTCTTGGCCTCTTAGCCACTGGTGTCTTGAAGGGAAAGTGGCACTGTCTGCCAGGTTCACTTCTTTGCCCTTTTCTTTTCTGTATGATCATAGCCTCTCAAGTTTTGACTGCATTGGTAGCCCCAAATGCCAATGTCTGTCCTCTTGGCTCTGTTGAGTTTGCTGAAAGGTTTGCTTTAGAATCATTGCCTTTTACCCATTGATTTCTCACCCTCTTGGGTCCATGCCATTTATATATTGGGAAATGTCTTGCAGAAGAAGGTGTAGTACAAATTGGAGGTCTTAGCTCAGTTTACTTCACAGAATATTGGCCCCTCAATTTTCATTGTCTTGATAGCTCTCTGATACGTTCATACAGATTTTTTAAAAATTAAGTTTGATTTATCTTTTCTTCTTGTTCTTAGCATGAGGATTGGTGTTATAGGTAAAAGTAGAAGTTTGCTTCCAGCCTTTAGAAAACTAGAAGTGCTTATCTTTGGGAAAATAGAAGGGGGCTGGGCGCAGTGGCTCACGCCTGTAATCCCAGCCCTTTGGGAGGCCGAGGTGGGTGGATCACGAGGTCAGGAGATCGGGACCATCCTGGCTAACATGGTGAAACCCTGTCTCTACTAAAAATACAAAAAATTAGCCGGGCTTGGTGGCATGTGCCTGTAGTCCCAGCTACTTGGGAGGCTGAGGCAGGAGAATCACTTGAACCCGGCAGGCAGACGTTGCAGTGAGCCGAGATTGTGCCACTGCACTCCAGCCTGGGAGACAGAGCGAGACTCCATCTCAAAAAAAAAAAAAAAAGAATAGAAGGGATTTTTATTCATATAACTTTATTCATTCAGATATATATATATATATCAATATGTAGATCTATATGAAATACAAATATAGCCCTCAGTATTCGTGGGGGACTGGTTTCAGAACCCCCATGGGTACCAAAATCCACATATGGTAGAAAATTATTGCAGAACCTGTGGCTATAGAAGGCCTACTGTATGTCTGTATTTTCAGAGTCAGCTGTATATCAACAATATATTTCCTTAATGATTGAGATGTCTTCACAGAGCTGAAATTTACGCATCACAGGATTGAGGTGTTTAATGTAGCAAACTGGTTTTAAAACTCTGATTTTTGTCTGGGTATCGTAGTTCGTGCCTGTAATCTCACCATGTTAGGAAGCTGAGCGGGGAGGATCGTTTGAGCCCAGGAGTTCAAGACCAGCCTGGGCAACATAGCAAGAACCTGTCTCCACAAAAAATAAATAAAAAAATTAGCCAGGCATGGTGGCATGTATCTGTAGTCCCAGCTACTTGGGTGGTTGAGATGGGAGGATCACTTGAGCCTAGGAGGTTGCAGTGAGCTGCGGCTATACCATTGTGCTCTAGCCTGGGTGACAGAGCAAGGCCCTATCTGTAGTTTTTTTAGTTTATGGAGGAAAATTAAAAGTAATTTATGTTTTTTAAAAAGAAATTATGTATAAAACAGATTATAGCATTATGGAAGGAAAATGTTAATTTGGAGAAAACTTTGTTTTATTTTGTTTTTCCTTTTAATAGAGAGGCGAAAAAAGGCTTCAGCATGGGAAAGAAATTTGGTGTATCCCGCTGTTATGGTTCTCCTTCTTATTGAGACAGTAAGAATTTATTTGCCTAGTTAAATAAAAGCAAATTATATTTTATTTACTTCAGCATTTGAGTATGGCAGCTCCCTCAGCTAAATGGTTTTTCATAAACTAGTTTTCTATCAACAGGATTAAAATCCATCTATGCCTTTATTTATGAAAATCCAATAAAGCAAAAATGGAAATTAATGGCAATTTAAAAAAAATTCTGAAGATTATCTGTTTCTTCATGAAAGCAGGAAATTCAGTCTTTGTTTTCATTGAAAATTAAGAAAACAAGGTGTTGCAGATAACCTGCTTTAAATTCTGTGATAAAATATGAAAATTACATTATGAAGTTAGTTCTGATAATATTTTACCACTTTTTTAAGTCTGTGGAGTTGTGTGTTTCCAATTGGTGAGATCACTTAGTAAAAGGATCTATATACTACCAGCTTTTGTCACAAGCTTTGAAATGACAATAACTTGCAGAATCTTTTAGAATTTCTTCAGTTCTTGTTTGTAGTCTGATTACTTTAGTTTTATATATAGCGTTTTGGTCTTGACTGCTTTCCCTCTATTCTGAAACGTGTATTTGGTTACCTAGATTTTAATATTTTGTATTGGTGAAAAATCTTGAGAGCTGACAGTTTGCTGTTTGTCTTGTAGTCCATCTCGGTCCTCTTGGTGGCTTGTAATATTCTTTGCCTATTGGTTGATGAAACAGCAATGCCAAAAGGAACAAGGGTAAAGTAAAATCCTTTAAAATGTCTTTCTTTTGCAAAAGTATTCTATGTCTATACCCTGAGTATTTCAAGTAAGCAAATGAAAACATTCACCTTTGTGCATGTATATACTTCAAGTTGTATGAATTTCTTTATGCAAAGAGCCTTTAAAATATAAACTGTGATTTTTGTTTCTAATTTTTTACTTTGGATTGACAGGGCCTTTTTTCAAGTGTTGGAATTTCCTTTTAGATTTCTTATCAGAGTTTATCTTGATTTTACTGAAATTCATTTAGCTATATGAAATTCCTTTAGCCATAGTCTTGATTCAGATCCCCCCACCTGAGTCTTTCCAGGACCTTGTGCCATCTGTTATTGCCATTGTTGTATTCACTTACAGCCTCTTCTCCATGAGTACAAGCCCACCATCATGCTCCAGGTGCCTCATCCTACAGACAGACAAGAAACTACCCTTTGCCATGTACAGTCTTATCTTTTTCTTTAGTTTTATACCCAAACCCACTGATAGAACAGGAAGTCGCTTACTATACTGACTTCCTAGTCACTTTTAACCCATTTTACTATACCAACAAAACAAGTCCCAAGCCCTATAGTATATTTTTGTACCCATCCCCCTTAGTGCTTAGTGGAGAATGACTTGTACGTCATAGGAGATCCCTGTATAATTGTGTAAAAAAATTAGATACTCTTAATCCTTCCTACATGGCTTCTCTTGAGATAGCATAATTCCAAAGTATTATCTCTGTTGATCAATAAGCTTCTGTAGGGGAGAAGAAGTAATACCTTTTTCTAACCTATTGGAAGGTTCATGGCTGAGATGCCTATA
The DNA here is from genome assembly GCF_000001405.40 of Homo sapiens. Classification (NCBI taxonomy): domain Eukaryota; kingdom Metazoa; phylum Chordata; class Mammalia; order Primates; family Hominidae; genus Homo; species Homo sapiens. Next base: position 156,727,104 of record NC_000007.14, on the reverse strand, counting down.
ACAAAAGATTAATAAGAGAAAAGCTGACAAACTTATTTAAGATAAGTTTTACATATCACAGGGGTCTTCAGAAATAAAGAAGACCAAAGAAACAGAAAAAGCTGTGTACTTTTATGCTCTGGTTTGTTGAAGAGTGGACAGTAGTGGGAAGTATGATTGGAAGACAGGGGTGTGATCTAATGATTATAAACCGGGGGGATTTAGCAAGGCCTGTTCATATTCTTCTCGGTGTCCTCGTGTCTCCGGAGATAAACATGTGCTTCTCCTCTGGGTGGGTTGCGGGGGGCACCCTTGGATGGGGGTCTTATGGCCTGCTTCGCAGGAGAAGGAGACAGATCAGTGTGTGACCTTCCTAGGTTTTCTCAAATACCAGGTCCCAAATTTTGGAGTAGTGTGTCTTGAACCCCATCACTTTCTACCAGCATCATTTATTTCTTCTTCAAAAGATTGTCAAAAAGTTATTTTTTATTGGGCTGACTGTAGATTCTTAATTATCCCTGGTGTTTCTATTAGATGTAATCTGTGCTGACTAGTAAAACATTCAGATAGTTTCTTTTATTAGTAATCTTTGAAAATACTTCAGTAGGGAATGATTTTTTCAGATCTAATTATAAAAATAGTAACTTTTTTGTGTTTTTTTTTTAAGTTCTAGGTAAAGATAGTTTTTGAGATAGGGATAATTGTTTAGGAAAAAATTTATAGCATTACTTTTTTAAAAATCTATGTTAACAGTTACATCCTTTGTAACTCTGAATTCCCAAGGAAAATTTGGGCAAAGGAAACTTTCAGGTATGGGAACAGGATATGCACATTTACTCTCTTTCTACTCTTAGCTTAATTTTGACATACTTGAATTGTGTAATCTTTGTATATTGTGTAAGCATTCAGATAGCTATGTATCCTATTCTTATTTTTCTATTGTGTTTTTAAAAACTCTTTCCCAAAACTATTCAGGATTTTTTTCCTCAAGTGGCAAGTTGCCCCATTTTATAACAGTAAGCATAATCATGTCATCTTGACAAGTAACTTAAATTACATTTGAGATAAGTAATTTTTCTTGAGCTTATTAAAATTGTTAACATGGTGCCTGAATTTGTTGATGAAATCAGTCTAATGTCATGTCTTGTTGGCCTTTGAAAGTCTAGATGTTATTTCAAAGTAGTAAACATTCATAATTTCAACTGTCTTATTTTATGAAACAGCTGTTTTAGGGAAACCAATATAATGGTGTCATCAAATTCTGAAAAGTGTCTTTCTCCCACCCCAGGGGCCTGGAATAGGAAATGCCTCTCTTTCTACGTTTGGTTTTGTGGGAGCTGCGCTTGAAATCATTTTGATTTTGTATCCTTTCTTTAACTGAACGTTCAGCCTATCCACAAATTTTATACCAAGTTTTCTGGGGCAGTAGTTATTTACTAAGACACTTGTCTAGAAGAGAAAACAACAGGTTAGTCTTCCTCAAGCACTTAAAGCGGCTTTTTGTTTTGCTTTTCCTATGGGCCTTAAGACTTTTTGGAGACTGCCGAGAACTTAGGAAACTTGCATTCTGTTGGAGAGTTTTTTTCCTTGATTCTCACAGCTATCTTATGGTGTCCTCTGTTGTCGGCTTCTATAGCCTTCGATTTTTTGGAAACTTTACTCCCAAGAAAGATGACACAACTATGACAAAGGTAAGGTAGAATCTTAGGTGACTGTGGCCTCTCGTTTGCCTTCCCTGACAGACTGCTTTATTTAATAGTCATTCTGAATGGTTCATTTGCAGTGATAGGTATTTGTTTGTAAGTTGCGTAAACACAAACTGGAAGATTTTCAAAATGCTGAGTGAGTGGGAAAGGGATGTACCCTGTTTAATTTGGATGGCGTCCATTCACTGTAAATGCGGAGAACTGCAGAGCTTGTTAACTAGCTATAGAAGGCTCCTGAAAGGACTCTTTTTCCTCTAAAGAAAACGTATTGCTAATGAGTAACTTGGATTGTGCTAACTGTACTTCAGGGAGCTTGTTTGAAGTCTGAAGAACTTAGTTGCTACAAGTAGTAGGGACAAAGTATTTCAAATTTGAATAATTAAAGTAAGACGGAAGAGTTCTATTCAGAAACATTTTGTAGTCTGAGGCTAATTTGACTTTTTCCACAACATGTCATTGGGTTCAGAATAAAAAGGCTGTTGCCGTATATAGTGACTGAATCTTTATAAAATATTCCCGTAGGCTGACAAAGAAGAATAACTAATAAGAGCTGAAAGCTTGTTTTGTTTTTATTTTATATTTTTAGCCTACTTAAAGGGGAGAAGTTATTTTACACACACACACACACACACACACACACACACACACACACACAGCTATTTCTTTAAACTTAATAAGTAGTTGAGATATTTAGTATCTAGTTTAAGTGATCATAAATATTAATTGATATTTTCAACTCCTCTTATTTACTATGGAAGAATAAACATGGGATGCATTATTACAAAAGTTTAGAGGTTTTGGATTTCTGGTGCTTTTTAAATCTTACAATTAACATTAGAAATAGATGTGATAAAAGAGATCTTAAGCAATAATCTGGCCTTAAAAATGTAGTCAGAAGTATCCAATATGTTAATTATTTTTTGCTTGACAGGCAGAGCCTTTTGAAAGTAACAGCTGCAATCAGTAATGTAAAGTGCATTATCTAGGTGTCAAGTAATTTAAGTATTCTATAACTATATCTGTGCTAGGTACTGTAAACATCTTCTAGAACTTACAGATATAACTTTATTTATTTTAAAAGTGTGTTATTCTTTGAAAATTCTGTACTGAATAGTATCATTAAGAAATCGGCAAAGTACACTAGGTAACTAGAATGCACAATCATTTCTCAGAATGTTACTGGGTTTGATTGTCATCCTGCTGTTTAACTGCCCAATATTCTTTCTCGTTTCTCATAACAGATCATTGGAAATTGTGTGTCCATCTTGGTTTTGAGCTCTGCTCTGCCTGTGATGTCGAGAACACTGGGTAAGTTTCAGTGAGAAATTTTCACTTAAAGATCCATGTTTTTAAAAACTGTCTTTACTGAACTTATTTAACATTTACTCATAAAGATTACCTTTGAAATACAGTGTTTCTTCCTACATTATTTTACACTTTTACTTCTATACTTTATGTATAGGGGCATACCAAGACAAATACTTTTATCAAATAATGACTACTTATTTTTTAAACACTTAAAAGCATTCTTTCTCCAAACAACGGGCTGGTTTTTGTTGTATTTTGTTTTTACTGACACATCTATAAGTTAGGCTTTCGAGTCCTCTAGTGAGGAAACTGCATTAAACTAATTTTTCTATTTAAAAGCTTTTGAGCGTTTATAATTTAGTATGGTTTAAAAAATTGAAAATTTGTAAATTATTTTAAGCTGCTTTGTGTCCACAAAATAGAGGTGAACGCAGTGTAATCTCTGAGAACACACTCTGATTCAAAGGACACCCTTGAGAGTTCCTACTTGCCTGTCATTCATTTCTGTCATTTTCTTATTGTTTCAGTTTACGGAGAATTTGATAATCTTTTAAAAGAAAAACAGATTTTTGCTTTGTCATTGAAATAGTTGAGTAAGTCTTCCCTTAGTTGTCTTTTATAAAATGCTATTGTAGACCATATTCTGAGTTCTTCACTAAATATTATTTCAGACAAAAGTTTCCATTAAGCATTTCTATCTAATTCTCTAGACTTAGGTTTTGACTTAAGAGTGCACACGAATGATTGGAAAATTTTGATCATTAAATTTTAGCTACTTGCTCATAACAAAAATTGCTGGTAACTTTGAGTTGCTTTTGCATTAGCTCTCATATTGCCTCCATTATTTATTGAAGACTTACAGATACCAGGGATGCAGGCTGTGCAAAGAAAGTAGAAGCTTTGTAGTTATCTTCATAATTCTTACAAAGGATTTCATGTTTGTAATAGAAAACAAAAAGTATAAATGTAAAGGGACCACTGTTCCATAAGCTAATAAAAAACTGGTGTGTGTAATAGTCTTATTTCTTTTGTGTTTGCTTTATAGGACTTGTAATTGTTTTGACATCTGCTTATGTGAATCTTGAAAATGCCAAAAGTATGCTCTTTAGCAACCTGATTTGATGTTAAATGTTATCATTTATATTATGACAGTCTATTAAATAATTTCTGTTATATTTCAGCCAACCTATCATTTTAATACTTAGGAAACTCATTCACTGTACTATTATTTAAGATTGATTGCTAATCATTAATATATACCGATTTTATGGAAGAAAATTACATGCTGAGTATAGTTTTAACACAAAGAAAACAAACTAATGGTAAAATTTACTTTTTGAAGGCCAACAAATTAAATTCCAGAGTAGTTTGCCATAGAGATAAATAAAAAGAAAAAAAAGAAAGATGGAACAATTAAAATGCAGCTAACAAATGCCTGGACCCAGCTGTCCAAACAGGATTAATGGAGTGCATTAGGGTACAGTGAGTCATGTGGTGCTTTGCAAAATATCAACACGCACTGCATTACATGTTATGCCCAGTGGCATTGAATAGATGAAAAGAAATAAATACGTTAAACAGATTCATAGAGGCTTTTCACAGTATTAAAAAAGCAAATTTCTAGACTAAAAGAAAAAGCTTTATTTTAGCATTATGGGAAATGCAAACTAGAGAGTTACTTTGTAATTCCTCTATTAACCCTTTAGAATTGAGTCTTTGATTTTAAGAAGATAAAATATAGGGAATTGTCATGAATATTATCCTAGTGTATAACAGGATTTTGATTTACCAGCTGAAAAGCTTATAAGACTAGAATAGAGGATGTATTTAAGCAATCAGATTCCAAGCTGTGACATTTTTCAGTCTTTCTTGTCGCCTCTCTCAAGGAAACCCTGACCTTAGTGTGGTCTCCTTTGCTCCTGTGAAATCAGCCAGCAGCGTCCCATCACTTACAATGGAATGAGAAATGCAGTAACAAGAAAAATCATATTTTATCTCTATATATGTAATTTCTCTATTATTTCAACAGTTTTTTTAGTGAAGAATATAAATTTGATTATAACTTGAAATACATCGAATCTAGTATAAAAGAAATGATGATGTTTTTGCTTCAAAAATGAAAGTGTTCAATGGACATGTTTCTTTTTTAAACATTTGCCCACTATTATTGTTGATGCATCGCAGGCTTTAGATTTAAGTACATGGTGTGATATGACATATTTATTAAATAATTCCTTTTAAATAGCTTGTTATATTTGAATGAAAAATTTTGTACTAACTGAAAAATCACCACTAAGTAAATTTTATAAGCATATTTCTTGCCACAAAGAATTAAGTTGTGAGAAAAATTTTGACCATGTATTCTTGGTTAAGTAGAATTAGTATAAATGATGGTTTTATTTTTCATAGGAAACACAAAGAATCTGTAGTTAAAATTTTTTATTAGAACCCTGAAAAAGTAATGCTATGTAAATGAATATATTTTTCAAAACATTGTTTTGCTGCCTGTTTATATTTAAGTTTTCAGAATCCAAAATTTGGGGAGATTTGATGTCTGTATTTTTAGTAAACAGTTTACTGTGTAGTTTAATAGACTCTCAGGGTGATAAAAGGAGATGTTTGCAAACAAGGTGAAAATAGAACAAGATCAAACTAATTATCTATAGATGTCCAAAATTCTATGCAATAAAATATTTTGAATGTTGCAGTGAATTTTAGAAGAATAGATTCTGTGTGATTGCTGATATGTTCTTTATTATGCTTAATCATGAAACAATTAAGACGTTGATTTTTTGTGTTATTCTTTATTTGAATTCTCCTTTAAAGAGGAAAATTTTTCTCAAATGCAAATGATAGTCTTTGAAATGCTTTTAATAATTTCTATATTGTAATTATTTTTACAGTTATTTTTCATCTTGGAAGCTCTTTCTATAATTTGTAAGTTATTTAGTGTCCAAATACAATTTGTTTTTAATGTACTTATGGTAGTAAAACAAAAACACTTACTCTTTCAAATCAGCTTGAATTTATTTTCAGTATTTTCACATATTTCTCATTTGGGTCCCATATAGTCTATTATCTTACAGGAGTTAAAGTAGATTATTCCTTTTTGCTTCTTGATGAAGGGACCTTGTTTTATAACGGGTCTTTTTTGGAGAGGTCTTTATTTGGGGTTTTGGTAATCCCTATTTATCTGTACCCTGGGCTTTCTCTAGCTCTTGTTGTGAAACAGAAATAAACAATGCTTTCACAGAGGCTTAGCAATGACAAATGTGAAATGGAAGTATAAGTCATATATTCCTAATTATGACATTGATATAAAAATAATTTCAAACCCTATATTGAAAATTTCTCACCAAAAAGTATATATGATTTTATTATATTCAGATATATTATAGAAAATAATAAATGAATAATATGACTTATTATTATTAACTTTATTATTTAACTTTATTAAAGTTATTTATTAACTTATAGTAATTAACTTTTGGTTGATTACTAATGTTCTTATATCTGAGCAATAAGCTTATATATACAGTTGAGATCTTTAAGAATAAAGAATTCTTAAAAATGTTTTGTGCCAAATGTCTAAAACAGTTAAGAGAGCAACTCATGATACCACCATAAAAACTCATATTCCTGATATCTACGAAATGTGTTTCCTGACACTACACTTCTTTCAGGGCAAACAGCCCTGTCTGAGAAAATGTCTGTGGGTCACACATACCTAAATTTAGTCACCTGTTGATATTCAGCTACTTTAAATTTACTTTATTATAATTTTCATGCGGAAAATAATTTCCTTTAGGACCATTTAGCTGGAGGGAACCTTAAGAGGTAATTTGTTTTTTTCTTGTAAATTTGTTTGAGTTCATTGTAGATTCTGGATATTAGCCCTTTGTCAGATGAGTAGGTTGCGAAAATTTTCTCCCATTTTGTAGGTTGCCTGTTCACTCTGATGGTAGTTTCTTTTGCTGTGCAGAAGCTCTTTAGTTTAATTAGATCCCATTTGTCAATTTTGGCTTTTGTTGCCATTGCTTTTGGTGTTTTAGACATGAAGTCCTTGCCCATGCCTGTGTCCTGAATGGTAATGCCTAGGTTTTCTTCTAGGGTTTTTATGGTTTTAGGTCTAACGTTTAAGTCTTTAATCCATCTTGAATTAATTTTTGTATAAGGTGTAAGGAAGGGATCCAGTTTCAGCTTTCTACATATGGCTAGCCAGTTTTCCCAGCACCATCTATTAAATAGGGAATCCTTTCCCCATTTCTTGTTTTTGTCAGGTTTGTCAAAGATCAGATAGTTGTAGATAATGCGGCATTATTTCTGAGGGCTCTGTTCTATTCCATTGATCTATATCTCTGTTTTGGTACCAGTACCATGCTGTTTTGGTTACTGTAGCCTTGTAGTATAGTTTGAAGTCAGGTAGCATGATGCCTCCAGCTTTGTTCTTTTGGCTTAGGATTGACTTGGCGATGCGGGCTCTTTTTTGGTTCCATATGAACTTTAAAGTAGTTTTTTCCAATTCTATGAAGAAAGTCATTGGTAGCTTGATGGGGATGGCATTGAATCTATAAATTACCTGGGGCAGTATGGCCATTTTCATGATATTGATTCTTCCTACCCATGAGCATGGAATGTTTTTCCATTTGTTTGTAACCTCTTTTATTTCAATGTTTATTGCGGCACTATTCACAATAGCAAAGACTTGGAACCAATCCAAATGTCCAACAATGATAGACTGGATTAAGAAAATGTGGCACATATACACCATGGAATACTATGCAGCCATAAGAAATGATGAGTTCATGTCCTTTGTAGGGACATGGATGAAATTGGAAATCATCATTCTCAGTAAACTATCGCAGGGACAAAAAACCAAACACCACATGTTCTCACTCATAGGTGGGAATTGAACAATGAGAACACATGGACAGAGGAAGGGGAACATCACACTCTGGGGACTGTTGTGGGGTGGGGGGAGGGGGGGGATAGCATTAGGAGATATACCTAATGCTAAATGACGAGTTAATGGGTGCAGCACACCAGCATGGCTCATGTATACATATGTAACTAACCTGCACATTGTACACATGTACCCTAAAACTTAAAGTATAATAATAATAAAAAAATCATTGCCCAGACCACCATTGAGAAGTTTTTCCCTGTTTTCTTCTAGTAGTTTTACAGTTTCAGGTCTTACCTTTCAGTTTTTAATCCAATTAAATTGATTTTTATGTAAAAAAAAAAAAGTAACTTGAAAAACGTTACAGTTAAAATGTTACAATTAAAACTAGACAAATGATCGTAAGGGTCTAATTTGTCCTAAGAATAAAGACCTCTAGCTATCTGAGTATTCTGTTTGTTTTCTTTTTTCTGAAACAGATCCTCATTCTGTTACCCAAGCTGGAGTGCAGTGGCACCATCATAGCTCACTGCAGCCTCAACTTCCTGGGCTCAAGCAGTCCTCCCACCTCAGCCTCCCGAGTAGCTGGGACTACTGGCAGCTACTTACACCACACCACCACACCTGGCTAATTTTTTGTATTTTTTTGTAGAGACGGGGTTTTGCCATGTTGCCAAGGCTTGCCTCAAATTCCTAGGCTCAAGTGATCCACCTGCCTTGGCCTCCTAAAGTGCTGAGATTTCAGGCGGGAGCCACGTGCCTGTCCTTGCTGAGTATTTTTTTTTTTCTTTTTCCTTCTTTTTTTTTTTGAGATGGATTCTCACTCTGTTGCTCAGGTTGAAGTGCAGTGGCACAATCTCGGCTCACTGTAACCTCTGCCTCCTGGGTTCAAGTGATTCTCCTGCCTCAGCCTCGCAAGTACCTGGGATTACAGGCGCCTGCCACCATGCCCAGCTAATTTTTGTATTTTTAGTAGAGACGGGGTTATGCCATATTGCCCAGGCTGGTCTGAAACTCCTGACCTCAAGTGATTTGCCCGCCTTGGCCTCCCAAAGTGCTGGGATTACAGGTGTGAGCCACCGTGCCTAGCCAGGCTGAGTATTCTTAATAATACATATGCACAGTCATTTCTGAGATAGATGAACAAATTATTTCATTTGTAGGAAATTGTGTTTTTAGTTTTTAATCATATAAGTGAATGCATAAATAAATAGTCCTGATAAAGAATACTAAAAATTAGAGATCCGGCCGCCACTTCTAATTCCAGTCTCCTCTTCCAAGTTTCCAGAAATGTCTTTGGTTTACAGCTTTTCAGACCTTTTCCTGTGCATATGTATACATGTGTTTGTGTGTATATATGTGTACTTTGTAGAAAATTTTAAAATCTCACCTGAGTATTACTTTGTTTCTAATTGTTTTGTTGGCATTCTCCTTCTTTCTGATGACTCTTAACTTCCTATGCTGCCTAGAGAGAGTTAAAAGAAGAAAATGTTTTGAAATAATTTCCTTTATCAGATCTCAGTCACCTGAACATTAATTTCAAACCAAAAGAGAGTTACAGAAAGAGATAATTAAATGTTTGCCAGTGACTTGTAATTGCCTCATTCTATGGATTCTGTTTTTAATTTCTCTGTGGTGTTTACTGTTTGTAATTTCACCCCCCACATCTTGTCTGTCTTCATTTCTGGTCACTGCTCCTCTCTTTTTCCCTCTGCTTCTCTGGCCATTCCTTAGCTGTGTCTTTTACTGCTCTTCAACTACCACCCATTCACTTGCCCCCAAATCGAGACCTCCAAACCACCACCCACCCTAAGCTAAAACAGAGAAATCTAGCTCTGTGCTACTTACGGGTGTCCTCCTGCCACCTCACACTGGTCATTTCTAAAACAGAACCTGTCATTTCTCTCTCTCCTGTATTTCCCTTCAGTCTCTGGGACACTTTCTATCCAAGTGGTCAAACCAGAAACTTGAGACGTATGGTAAATGCTTCCACCTTCTGTGCCAGTACCTCATGGCAGTACTTGCTTTCATCTTGGTAATATTTCTCACATCTACCTCTTTTTTCTGAAACAAGATTTAGCTCTGTTGTCCAGGCTGGAGTGCATTGGCACAATCATTCACAGCTCACTGCAGCCTCCACCTTCTGGGCTCAAGTGATCCTCCCACCCCAGCCTCCCGAGTAGCTGGGAAAACAGCTGCCCACCACCACACCCAGCTAAACTTTTTAATTTTTTGTAGAGATGGGGTCTCACTCTACTACCTGGGCTTTCTCACTTGGAAAATTGAACTCCTTGAACTCCTGGGCTCAAGTGATCCTCCCTCTAGGCCTCCCAAAGCGTTGGGATTACAGATGTGAACCACCGCACCTGGCCTCACATCTACCTCTTGCTTCTCATTTTCCTTTTTAAAAGTGAGAAGAGTCAGACTTGTATAGCATAAAAAGCAGAGAGCTGAGTATATGATTTTAGTATTTTATTGTGAGAGTAGTGTTTGTGAAGTAGATTCTAAGCGGATGTCCTTTTATTTGAGAAGGATAGAGAAAGAAGACATCAAACCAAACCAAAAGAAATAAGGACATATTTAATTTTCCAAGTGAGAAAGTTTGACTGAGCCATACCATGGAGACCTGTCTCTGGAGAACTTTCCTCAGGAAGATCGCAGCCAGTTACCATCCATGCTGGAGGGCTTAGGCGTGCACTTCTTTGAAAATTAGCACATAAGGTTCTTTCCTGGACTCTAATTATAATTCTCTTTCATTGGATTTTAGTCTGTCTTCAAGTTCACATACTCTAGTTCTGGACGACTAAATTTAATTTGCCTCCAGATTAGAACAAAATGAAATTGTTGCACGTAAATCCTCATGACTAAAATTGATTCGATATTTGCAAATACAGTTTTCCATCTCTAAGCTTTGGTTCCCATTGTTCCCACAGTCTTCTCCCATTCACCTTTCTCTATCTATCCAAATCTTTTTTATTCTCTGAGGCAGAGTCAAATCCTGCATCACACGTGAAGGTGTCTCAGAGTCTTGCACTTTCAACCTTGTATTATACGTACCTGTCTGTATTGACTTTCTCATGAAACTTTATGTTCCTTAAAGGACAAGACTTGTTTTCTGCATCTTTTTATTTTTCACAGCATCTAGTTAATAAGTATTTTTGATGTTAATAAGTATTTTGATGTCAGTGGGTGCCACCATGTTGAGTGTATATTGTGTTCTAGAATAGATGAACTAAGATACTCCATTTGTCTTGCTTTTGCCCTGGTGGTCTTTATTTCCATATTCTAAGCTTTTCTGACCAAATATTTTGGTTTGCTATTAATATTTTAAAAGACCATTACAACAGTAGCCAAGAGGTGGAAACAATCAAAGTGTCCATCGTTGGATGAATGGATGATCAGATTTTGGTACATAAACAATAATGGAATATTCAGGTAAAAGAAGGAAGGACATTTAAGTGAAATAAGCCAGTCTCAAAAAGGCACCTCTTTATAAGTGTGATTCCACTTATAAGAGGTATCTAGAGTAGTTCATTTCATGAGTTGCCAGGAACTAGGGTGAGGAGGAATGGGAGTTCTTGTTTAATGAGTATAGATTATTCATTTTTTAGGATGAAGAGAATTCTGGGGATGGGTAGTACCAATGGCGAATATACTTCCTATCACTGAACTGTACACTTAAAAATGGTTAAATTGGTCCATTTCATGTTATATGTATTTTATCACAATTAAAAAAGAAAAAAGAGTAACTAAATGGGTACATACTACAACATGAATGGACCTTGAAAACATTATGTTGTTATATTGTACGATTCCATTTCCATGAAATGTCCAGAATAGGAAAATCCATAGACAGAAAGTGGATTTTTTTTGGAATATATCCAAAGCCCTTGAACTGTTTATTTTTAAATAGTTAATTTTATGTTATGTGAATTTCACTTCAATAAGTTATTTTTTGGCTGGGTGTGGTGGCTTACACCTGTAATCCCAGCACTTTGGGAGGCCGAAGCGGGCAGGTCACTTGATGCCAGTAGTTCCAGACCAGCCTGGCCAACATCGTGAAACCCCATCTCTACTAAAAATATAAAAATTAGCCAAGTGTGGTAGCGTGCGCCTGTAATCCCAGCTACTTGGAAGGATGAGGCAGGAGAATCACTTGAACCCAGGCAGCAGAGGCTACAGTGACCTGAGATCGTGCCACTGCACTCCAGCCTGGGTGACAGAGCGAGACTCTGTCTCAAAAAAAAAAAAAAAGAAAAAAGTATTTTTTTATAAGTCTTTTACTCAGTAGATACTCAGTAAATATTTGTCCTCTTCTCCGTTTCCTTGGCGTGGCAGTCTAATGCCAGGGCCTAATTGTTTTTAGTAAGTCAGTCTTTATGTGTTTGCATTTGCCTTCTTAGTGCCAGGCACTTGATAAGGGGAGGCAGGTGGAAGGACTTTTGAAAGTCGCCTTTCTGGTGTATAGAGTCCTAACCTGGGGCACCTCCTTTGTCCCTTCTTTCCATTCAGAGTCTACTTGTTATTTAAGGGCTAGTTCAATCCCCACCACACACACACATGCACAGTGGAAGTGTGATCTTGTCATTTCCCTGCTCCAAATGCTGCAAAGACGTTTGCCATTCAAATACTGTACAGTTTCCTTAAGGTAACACATACGATCTATACCTGACCCCGTCTGTGTCTCGTGCCATTCCAAACCTCACATTCTGAGCCATTAGTAATAAAGACATAATCTTCAGGTGTGTTAGAAACAAAGTACATCTGCTATGCCTTCTATGCCTTTGAACACATTGCTTTGTTTACTGCGAGTAATTTTCTTCACCAGCCGTTCTCCGGCAAAACCTAACATGTCATTCAAGACTCAGCTCAGCCATGAACTCCACAAATCAAGTTTGCCATGAGGTATCTCCCGTGCACTCTCATATAACACTTGGTGCAGTTTTCCGTTTATCTACCAGGTCACTTATCACATTCTATCCAATGGCTTTTCTTTTCCTCCATAAAGCTCTACGCTCCTTGAAGAAAGGGATGGCCTGCCACACAACATTTAGCACACATATGCGGTGGGAGGTTTACACACTCTCACTTCCCAGTTCACTTAACTGTTTGTATATAGACATTTGGCCATACTGGAAATATTGCATTGTTTAAAAAGTCTTGTCTTCCTAGGAAGGCTATCAATACCGTGAAGGGAATAAATGTCTTACATACTTACTTTGTAGCTTCTGTAGTACATGCACAGTACAATGTAGGAATATGGTAGGGACTCAAAAATTCTTTAAAAATTTAACTTATAACACAAAAACAAATACAGAAAATATAGAGTTTCTAAATAAATGTAATTGGTACAGCCATACATTAATATATTAATGCATGATATTGGGTATATAGTCTGAAGTCTAATAAATGCATTTTAACAGCTTTATTGAGGTATAATTGACATACAATAAACTGCACATGTTTAAAGTGACAATTTTATAAGTTTTGACTTATACAAACACCTGTAGGACCACCACTGCCATCAAGATAGTGAACATATTCATCACCCCCAAACATTTCTCCCCTCAGACTCCGCTCGTGTTCCCCTATCCACCATCAGCTCCAGGCAGCCACTCATTTGCCTTTTGTTTTTTTTTTCCAGACAGATTTTTTAGAGCAGTTTTAGGTTCACAGCTAAATTGAGGGAAAAGTGCAGAGATAGCACACGTACCTCCTGTCCCCCACATGCAGAGCCTTCCCCACTGCCAACATCTCCCACCAGAGTGGCACATTGGTTACAGTTGATGAACCTGCACTGACACATTATCACCCAGAGTCCAGAGTTTACGTTAGGGTTCATTCCTGGTGTTGTACATTCTATGGGTTTGGGCAAATGTATAATGTCCCATATCCACTGTTATGGCATCATGCAGAGTAGTTTCACTGCCCTAAAAATCCTCCGTGCCCTGTCTATTTATCCCTCTCTCTCTCTCTCACCCCCGGCAGCCACTAATCTTCTTACTGTCTCAGTAGTTTCACCTTTCCCAGAATGTCATATAGTTGGAATCACACAGTATATAACCTTTTCAGATAGGTTTCTTTCATTTAACGTATATTTAGGGTTCCTCCATATCTTTTCATGGCTTGATAGCTCATATCTTTTTAACGTGGAATAAGATTCCATTGTCTGGATATACCACAGTTTAATTTATTTTTGTATAAATTTACAGGGGTACAAGTGCAATTTTGTTGCATGCATAGATTGTGTAATGGTGTAGTCAGGGCTTGTAGGGTGTCTGTCACTTGAATAATGTACACTATGCCCATTAAATAATTTCTCATCGTCCAGCCTCCCCCCTGCCCTGTTGCCTTTTTCAGTCTTCATTTTCTATCATTCTGCACCCTACATCCATGTGAATGCATTATTTGGCTCCCATCTATAATTGAGAACATACAGCATTTGTCTTTCTGTATCTGACTTGTTTCACTTAAGATGATGATTCCACCCATGTTGTTGTGAAATACATGATTTCATTCTTTGCTCTGGCTGAATTGTATTCCATTGTGTTTTTATACCACATTTTCTTTATCCAGTTGTCCATTGATTGGCGCTTAGGTTGATTCCATATCTTTGCTATTGTGATCAGTGCTGCTATAAACATATGAGTGCAGGCATCTTTTTGATATAATGATTTCTTTTCCTTTGGGTAGATACCCAGTACTGGGATTGCTGGATCAGATGGTAGTTCTATTTTCAGTTCTTTGAGAAATCTCCATACTGTTTTTCCATAGAGGTTGTAATAATTTACATTCCCACCAACCGTATAGAAGTGTTCCCTTTTTTCTGCATCCTCTCCAACATTTGTTGTTTTTTTTTACTTTTTAATAGTAGCCATTCTGACTGATGTAAGATAATATCACATTGTGTTCTTAATTTGCATTTCTCTGATTAGTGATGTGGAGCATTTTTTCATATGCTAGTTGGCCATTTGTATGACCTCTTTTGAAGTCTGTCTTTTGCCCACTTTTTGAAGTGTGTCCTTTGCTCACTTTTTAATGAAGTCATTTTTGTTATTGTTGTTGAGTTGTTTGCATTCCTTGTAAATTCTGGATATCAGTCTGCTGTTGGATGCATCATTTGCAAACTTTTTCTCCCATTCTGCAGGTTATCTGTTCACTCTGTTGATATTTTGCTGTGCAGAAGCTTTTTAGTTTAATTAAGTTCCATTTGTTTATTTTTGCTTTAGTCGTCTGTGCTTTCGAGGTCTTAAGTCATGAATTCTTTTCCTAGACCAATGTCCAGAAGAGTTTTCCTAGGTTTTCTTCTAGTATTTTTATAATTTCAGGTCTTACATTTCAGTCTTTAATCCATCTTGAGTTGATTTTTATATATGGCGAGAGATAGGGGTCCAGTTTCTTTTATCTGCATATGGCAATCCAATTTTACCAGCACCTTTTATTGAAAAGGGTATCCTTTTTTCATTGTATGTTTTTGTCAGTTTTGTCAAAGATCAGCTGGCTGTAAATACGTGGCTTTATTTTTGGGTTCTCCATTCTGTTCCATTGATCTGTGTCTGTTTTTATACTAGTACCATACTCTTATGGTTACTGTATCCTTGTTGTATAATTTGAAGTTAGGTAAGTTGATGCCTCCAGTTTTGTTCTTTTTCCTTAGGATTGCTTTGGCTATTCATGCTCTTTTTTGGTTCCGTATACATTTTAGGGTAGTTTTTTTAATTACGTGAAAAATAACATTGGTATTTTGGTAGGGATTGCATTGAATCTATAGATTGTTTGCAGTAGTGTGGTCATTTTAACAATATTAATACTTCTGATTCATGAGCATGGGATGTTTTTCCATTTGTTTGTGTTATCCACAATTTCTTTCATTAGTGTTTTTTGTAGTTTGTTTGTTTGAGACAGAGTCTCGCTCTGTCGCCCAGGCTGGAGTGCAGTGGCGTAATCTTGGCTCACTGCAAACCTCCATCTCCCAGGTTCAAGCGATTCTCCTGCCTCAGCCTCCCAAGTAGCTGGGACCACAGGTGTGCGCCACCACACACAGCTAATTTTTTGTATTTTTAGTAGAGATAGGGTTTCACCATGTTAGCTAGGATGGTCTCGATCTCCTGACCTTGTGATCTGCCCACCTTGGCCTCCCAAATTGCTGAGATTACAGGCGTGAGCCACTGTATCCAGCCTGTAGTTTATTTTATTTATTTATTTTTTTCTTAAAGATATCTTTCACCTCCTTGGCTAAATATTCTCCTAGATATTTCTTTATTTTTCTTCTTCATTTGTGAAGCTTAGTTTTGCTGGATACAAAATGCTTGACTGACAATTATTTTGTTTCAGGGGACTACAGGTAAGGACCCCAATCCTTTCTGGCTTTTAAGGTTTCTGCTGAAAAATTTACGGTTAATCTGATAGATTTTCCTTTATAGATTACCTGATGCTTTTGTTTCATACCTTTTAAGATTCTTTCCTTCGTTTTGACTTTAGATAACCTGATGACTACGTGTTTGTGTGATGATCATTTTGTGATGAATTTCCCAAGTGTTCTTTGAGCTTTTTGTATTTGGACATTTGCATATCTAGCAAGGAAGTTTTCCTCAGTTATTCCCTCAAATAAGTTTTCCAAACTTTTAGATTTCTCTTCTTCCTCAGGAACACTAATTATTCTTAGTTTTGACCATTTAGCATAATCCCAAATTTCTTGGAGGCTTTGTTCGTGTTTTTAAATTCTTTTTTCTTTGTCTTTGTCCAGTTGGGTTAATTTGAAAGCCTTGTTTTTGAGCTCTGAAGTTCTTTCTTTTACTTGTCCAGTCTATCGTTGAAACTTTCCAGTGCATTTGGTATTTCTCTAAGTGTGTTTTTCATTTCCAGAAGTTGTGATTGCTTTTTCTTTATGATATCTATTTCTCTGAAGAATTTTTCATCCATATCCTATATTGTTAACATTTCTTTAAATTGGTTTTCACCTTTCTCTTGTATCTCCTTGAGTAGCTTAATAATCAACCTTCTGGGCCGGGCACGGTGGCTCATGCCTGTAATCCCAGCACTTTGGGAGGCCAAGGCAGGCAGATCACGAGGTCGGGAGATCGAGAGCATCCTGGCTGACATGGTGAAACCCCGTCTCTACTAAAAAATACACAAAATTAGCCGGGCATGGTGGCGGGCGCCTGTAGTCCCAGCTACTCAGGAGATTGAGGCAGGAGAATGGCGTGAACCCGGGAGGTGGAGCTTGCAGTGAGCCAAGATCGCGCCACTGCACTCCAGCCTGGGTGACAGAGTGAGACTCCATCTCAAAAAAAAAAAAAAAAAAAAAAAAAATCAACCTTCTGAATTCTTTAACTGGCAATTCAGAGATTTCTTCTTGGTTTGGATCCATTGCTAGGGAGCTAGTGTGATCTTCTGGGAGTGTTATAGAACCCGGTTTTTTATATTGCCAGAATTACTTTTCTGGTTCCTTTTCATTTGGGTAGACTAGTTCATTGGGAAGGTCTGGAACCCAAGGCCTGCTGTTCAGATTCTTTTGTTCCACTGGGTGATCCCTTGATACAGTGTTCTCCCCCTTCACCTAGGGATGGGGCTTCCTGAGAGCCAGCCTGCAGTGATTGTTATTGTTCTTCTGGGCTTAACCACCCAGCAGGGCTACCAGGCTCTGGGATGGTGCGGGGGAATGCCTGCAAAGAGTCTTGTGATGTGGTCTGTCTTCGGGTCTCCCAGCTGTGGATACCAGCATCTGCTTTGGTGGAGTTGGCAGGGGAGTGATGGAGACTCTGTGAGAGTTCCTGGTTGTAGGTATGTTTAGTATGCTGGCTTTCTCAAATGCTGGTTATGCCAGGAGTGAAAGTGTCATGTGGACAGACTCAGGACCTCTGGTTAGCCAGGATGTTGCAGGCAGTGGAATTAGCTTTTGTTTTCTCCTTCCTGGGAGCAGGGTTATTCTGTCATGAGTTGCTGTAATGGCCTGATGTGGTTGGCCAGTTGGTTGGCCTCACTTTCAAGAGAGTTCCAGCTGCCATAGTAGTAGAGGTATCTAAGCTTGCCCCAAGTTGGCCAAGGTAAGTATTCTGGTTTCTCAGGTGATGGGTGGGGCCATAAAGCTCCCTAGACTTTATGTCTTTTGTGTTCAGCTGCCAGGGTAGGTAGAGAAATACCATCAGCTGGGGGCAAGGTCAGGTGGGTCTGGGTTCTGATTCTCCCTGGGCAGGGCTTGCTGCAGCCACCGTGGTTGTTGGGGGGTGGTTCTCAGGCCAATGGGGTTTTGTTCCAGAGGGGATCTTGGCCACCTGTGCTGTGTTATATAGTTTGCCAGGGAAGTTGGGGAGAGCCAGTAGTGAAAGGCCTCATCCAGCTCCCACACAGTTGGCAAGGCTGGTCTCTCTTCTGCAGTCCCTGCCGCAGACCTTGTCCCAGGCCGTAAGCTTCCCCGCTGAGAAAGCAAGCATGGCTTTCAGGCTTTGCCCTTCCCCATCTGCCCACACTGTCCGTGGTGGCTTCTGTGCTCTTATCTGCAGCAGTTCCCATTTGCACCCTGCCCCCCTACCAGATTCTGCTCAAGAAAATTTGCTCAAGAAATTCTGCTCAAGAAAATTTGTGCCCAAAGTTATTACAAATTTCAGTTGGAAGCTTCTTTCATCCTGTAACCCCACCCTAATTCCACTGGCTGCCTTCCCCAAGGTCCCCTGTGAGATATAGTCAGGGATGGCTTCCCTGGGCTTGAGCTGGAGACTGGGAGAGCCTACAGGGCTCTTCCTGCCACTGATGCTGCTTTTATTTTTTGTGTGGCTCCCTGAATCTATTTCAACTCTAAGTAAGGTTAAATCCTTTTCCCATTATCTGGATTTTCAGCTACCACAGTGAGGATGTGTGTTCAGAGGAAGGTTTTCCCCACCTCACACACTGGGAACTCAGTTTTTTGCCTGTGTCTCATGGAATTTGCAATGATATGCTGCTTCTTTCAAAGGATTCGTGAATTCTTTGTTTTCCTGGTACATCCTACAATGGTTCTTGGAGCAAAAGTTGATGGTGTGAGTCTCCGCGCACTGTTCTGTCCTTCCAAGTGGGAACTGCACATTAGTCCTGCCTCCTGTCTGCCGTCTTCCTCCAATTTTTTTTTTCTGGCTATTGTAAATGGGATTGCCTTCTTGATTTCCTTCTCAGCTAGATAGTAGTTTTTTTTTTTTTTTATATAGAAATGCAACTGGTTTTTGTACATTGATTTTGTATTCTGAAACTTTACTGAATTTATCAAATCCAAGAGCTTTTTTGTGGGGGGATCCATTAGGTTTTTCTAGAGATAAGATCATATCATGAACGAACAGGGATAACTTAACCTCCTCTTTACCAATTTGGGTGCCTTTTGTTTCTTTCTCTTGCCTGATTGTTCTGGCTAGAACTGTCAGTACTCTGTTGAATAGGAGTGGTGAAAATTGACATCCTTGTCTTTTTCCAGTTCTTATGATTTTTGGCTGTGGTACTGTTGTATATGATCTTTATTATTTTGAAGTATGCTCTTTGCATGCTTAATCTGTGGAGGGCTTTCGTCATGAAGGGATGCTGAAGTTATCACATGCTTTTTCTGCATCTTTGGAGATGATCATGTGGTTTTTGCCCTTAATTCTGTCAGTGTGATATATCACATTTACTGACTGTGTATGTTGAACCATCCTTACACTCCTGGTATAAAACCTGCCTGATCATGGTGTATTATCTTTTTGATGTGCTGTTGGATTCAGTTTGCTAATATTTCATTGAGAGTTTTTGCATCTGTGTTTATCAGGGATATTGGTCTGTAGTGTACTTGTCTGTTTGGGTATCAGAGTGATTTGGGCCTCATAGAATGACTTAGGAAGAATTCCCTCCGCCTCAGTTTTTGGGAACAGTTTCAGGAGGATTGGTATTAGTTCTTCTTTGTACATTTGGTAGAATTCAGCTGTGAATCCATCTGGTCCTGGGCTTTTCTTTGTTGAGAGATTTTTTTAATGGATTCAATCTTGCTACTCATCATTGGCCTGCTCGGGTTTTTTATTTCTTCCCGGTTCAATCTTGAGAGGTTGTATGTTTCTAGCCAGTAATTTATCCATTTCCTCTAGGTTTTCTATTTTGTGAATGTATAGTTGTTTATAATATTCTCTGATGATCTTTTGTATTTCTGTGGTATCGGTTGTAATGTTTACTTTTTCATTTCTGATTTTCTTTGTGTTGTCTCTTTTTTTTCCCTTGTTACTCTAGCAATTGGTTTATCAGTTTTATTTATTTTCTCGAAGAACCAACTTTTCATTTTCCTGATCCTTTGTACTGTTTTTTGGTTTTTATTTTATTGTTTTTTTTTTGGTTCTGCTCTGATCTTTGTTATTTCTTTTCTTCTACTGATTTTGGATTTGGTTTGTTACTTTTGTAGTTCCTTGAGGTATGACATTAGGTTGTTAATTTGTATCTTTCAGTATCTTTCATGTAGTCACTTGATGTCATAAACTTCCCTCCTAGCACTGTTTTTGCTGTATCTCGCAAGTTTCAGTATGTTGTGTTTCCATTTTCATTTGTTTCAAAAATTTTTTTTTTAATTTCTGACTTAATTTATTCTTTGACCCAATGGTCATTCAGAGGCATGTTGTTAATTTCTGTGTACTTGTATGTTTTCTGAAATTCTTCTTGGTATTGATTTCGTGATATTGATGCATGAAAATTTTTGATTTTTAAAAATTTGTTGAGACTTGTTTTGTGTTTTAACATATGGTTTATCTTGGAGAACGTTTTATGTGCTGATGAGTAGAACATAAATTCTGCAGTTGAGCAGAATATTCTGTAAATGTGTTTTAGGTCCGTTGCACCAAGTACAGTGTTTCTTTGCTGATTTTTTTTCTCGATAAGCTATGAATAGGGTGTTGAAGTCCACCACCATTATTTCATTGCTGTCTGCCTCTTTCTTTAGCTGTAGTAATATTTGTTTTATGAATCTTGGTGCTGTTGGCTGCATGTATATTTGGATGTATTGTTATATCCTCTTGCTGAATAGGTCCCTTTATCATTATATAATGACCTTTGTTGTCTTTTTTTTTTTTTAACTGTTTTTGATTTAAAGTCTGTTTTATCTGGTGTCAGTATAACTACTCCTGGTCTTGTTTGTTTTTTTGTTTGTGTGGAATATCTTTACTTTGAGGCTGTGTCTTCATAGGTAAGGTGGATTTCTTGTGAGCAGTGTATGGTTGGATCATGTTTTTCTCTATCCATTCCACCAATCTGTATCTTTTAAGAGGAGAATTTAATCCATTTATATTCAAGGTTAATATTGATATGTGAGGTTTTGTTCCTGTCATATTTTTTCATTGTTTTCTAGTTTTGTAAGTTCTTTGTTATCTTTTTCTCTATTTCTCTTTGTGGTTTGGTGGAATTCTGTAGTATTGCCATTGGATTCCCTTCTCTTTCTCCTTTGTGTGATTGTTTTACTTGTGAGTTTTATACTTTCATGTGTTTTCATGACGGTGAATATCTTCCTTTTGTTTCCACATTTAGGACTTTGAGCATTTCTTACAGGATCTGTATAGTGGAGACGAATTCTTTCAGCATTGCTTGTCTGCAAAAGACTTTATCTCTCCTTCATGTATGAAGCTTAATTTTTCTGAAAATAGAATTCTTCAATGGCAGGCTTTTTTCTTTTCTTTTTGCGACAGAGTCTCACTGTGTCTCCCAGCTGGAGTGCAGTGGCATGATCACAGCTCACTGCAACCTCTACCTCCCAGGCTCAAACAGTCCTTCCACCTCAGCCTCCCAAGTAGCTGGGACTACAGGCACATGCTACCATGCCCAGCTAACTTTTGTGTTTTTTGTAGAGATGGAGGTCTTACCATGTTGTCCAGGCTGGTCTCGAACTCCTGGGCTCAACCCATCCACCCACCTTGACGTCCCAAAGTGCTGGGATTACAGGTGTAAGCCACTATGCCCAGGGGCAGGCTTTTTGTTTTAGTGCTTTGAATATGCCCTCTCATTTTTTTTCTGGCCTATAAGATTTCTGCTGAAAAGTCTGCCATTGCTCTTTTCTTACTGATTTTAGAATTCTTTCACTTTGACTTTCGACAATCTGATTATAATATGCTGTGGTGAAGTCCTTTGTGCAGTGTATTTTTCATGGACCACTGGACCTCCTGTATTTGGATGTCTAAATCTCTTGCTATACTTGGGATCTTTTCACCATTTATTTTATTAGATATGTTTTCTAAACTTTTTGATCTTTCTTCCCCCTCAGGAATCTGTACGTTAGGTTTTTATGTAGTCTCAAACATCTCCAAGGCTTCATTCTTTTTTGTTCCTTTTTCTTTATTTTTGTCTGCCTGGATTATTTCAAAAGACCTGTCTTTCACGTTCTGAGATTCTTTCTTCTATTGGTCTATTGTTGAGGCTTTTGATTATATTTTATACTTCCTTATATTAATTTTTTTGTTTCAGAATTTCTGGTTTTTTTTTTTTTTAAAGACAACTATTTCCTTAGTAAACTTCTTATTCACATCCTATATTGATTTCTGATCTTTGTACTGGTTTTCAGATTTCTCTTACATCTCATTGAGCTTGTTTGAAATTAGTATTTTGAGCTTTAATCTGGCATTTTGAGGGTTTTTTTTTTTCAGTTAGGATCTATTGCTGGAGAATTATTGTTTTCCTTTGAGGGTGTCATATTGCCTTGGCTTTTTCAGGCCTTTTGTATCTTTACATTGATTTCTGCGCATCCGGAGCAATAGTTGCTGCTTATTTTTAAATTTACTTTCATTGGGAGGGGACTTTTTTTCTTGACTATGTGACCATGATGTGTTTGGGCAGGTAGGGCTGTTTGGCTTTGTTTCAGGATGTGCAGTGATAAAAACGCTGCATGATTTCTTTGGCTATAAATAGCCTTTGTGGTAGCTGTGGGTTTGTTGGTGTTATGGGGCGGTTATTGGTGGCAGCTATTGTGAAGTTGTACTGGGGACTGGAATGCCTGATGGATCCCTTTTCAGGTTTCATTGGTAGCAGTGGTGGGCTAAGCATGTCTGTTCTTGTGCCATGGGACAGTGTATTCTGGCGCCTGTGTTGGCAGTTCCAGGCTATTTCTTGGGCCTCTGTGTAGCTTTCCTGGATGCTGGTTGTAGTTGTGTATGCTGAATGGGTAAGTGGGCCCTCAGCCCCCTTGTAACCCAGGGTGGCATGGGTCATGGTGGTAGCAGTGGTTGTGCAATGATCTTCTAGTTTCCAAGCACTTTGCCCTTGTGTTAGAAGTTGTTGCAGTGGGCTTTGCATGTTGACCTCTAGGTCAGTAGGCGATGTTTACAGGTTAGAGCCAGCTACAGTGGGTACAACAGGATTTGTGCCCAGCCTCTTTTCCATGGGAGAAGTACTTGGGTGTCTCAGGTGGCAGATTGGGTAATGGAAAACTCATGAGCCCGGATGCCATGCTCCACCTTGGAGAGGCATGGGGAAGGGCCCAGGCAGAGCTGGACTGGGCAATTGTACTCAGGTCCCCCATGGTGATTGTATGCAAAAGTCCCAACAAGGGTAGTGAGGCAGCCCCCAAGCCCCTGGGAAAATGCTTGGGTGAGGGGTGGCCACCACTATGCCAGGGTCTCAGCCTAGGGAAGGATTGACATTGACAGCCCAAGCAGCCACAGTTGTGGCCAGCAGACATGGAACTTGTGTCCCTCTCCTATCCTTGTTCTCGTGGAGTGCTCCCTCCCTTGTTCCGACTGTGGCAGCGAACCCAGGTATCTAGTCAGTCCTAGAAGTTTGCATCCAGTCTGCCACTCAGCTTAGGGCCGTGGGAGATGCCACCCAGCCCCCATCCTGGCCTCTGAGGCAACTCTCCTCCTGCTGAGGTCTTAGGAGACAGCCTGGTTCCTGTGCCAGTTGGGCTGGATCCCAGGTCATGCTCATTTCTCAGTTCTGGCTGCAGGAGTTCTTCCCCTACTCAAGCCTCTTTTCTGCAAACCCCAGCCCAAGTCCCCCTAACTCCAGTGGTTGGTGCTGCTAATTTCCACACATTGTTGAGCAGCTAAGATCAAGAATGGCATCTTACTGTAGCTGCCTGGGTCTGAGAGAGCACATAGGACACACCCTGGAGCAGTTTCTTCTCATGGTTTCCTGGCTGCTCCTTAAATGTGATTCTGAGATTAGGAGAGTCAAGGTGCTCTCCAATGGCCTGGATTGTACAGTTTCCCAGGGAAAGTGGACCCCAGAAGGACACTCACTTACACTCTTCCATATGGGGGATTCATTCCCCATTTTTGGCCCCAGGCCACATGGGCTGCCTGTTTTCCTTCTCTTTTTCAGAATTCGACTTTTCCTTTTCAGGAAGCTGCTTTTGCCACAGTTTATCCATTTACCTACTGAAAGACATCTTGGTTGCTTCCAGATTTTGGCAGTTGTGAATAAAGCTTCTCTATAGATATTCATGTGCAAGTTTTTGTGTGGACAAAAGATTTCAACTCCTTGGGGTAGATATCAAAAAACATTTTTCTTGGATCATATGCTAAGAGTATGTTTAGTTTTCTTTTTTAAAAAACCTTCTCTGCTGCTGCTGAGATGTGAAAAAGAAGTAAAAATATTAAGAAATGAAAAAAGAAAATTTAACTGTCAAAGTGTCTTCTAAATTGGTTGTGTCAGCAAAAGAAACTATCATGAGAGTGAACAGACAGCCTACACAATGGGAGAAAATTTTTTCAGTCTAACAAAGGTCTAATATCCAGAATCTACAAGGAACTTAGATAAATTTACAAGAAAAAAACAAACCTCATTAAAAAGTGGGCAAAGGACATGAACATACAGTTCTCAAAAGAAGACATTTATGTGGTCCAGAAACATATGAAAAAAAGCTCAACATCACTGAGCATTAGAGAAATGCAAATCAGAACCACAATGAGATACCATATCATGCCAGTCAGAAGGGCAATTATTAAAAAGTCAAGAAACAACAGATGCTGGTGAGGTGGTGGAGAAATAGGAACACTTTTACACTGTTGTTGGGAATGTAAGTTAGTTCAGCCATTGTGGAAGACAGTGTGGCGATTCCCCAAAGACCTAGAACCAGAAATACCATTTGACCCAGCAGTCTCATTACTGGGTATATACCCAAAGGAATAAAAATCAGTTATAAAGATACATGCACATATATGTTCATTGCAGCACTATTCACAATAGCAAAGACATGGAATCAACCCAAATGCCCATCTGTGATAGACTAGATAAAGAAAATGTGGTACATATACACCATGGAATATTATACAGCCATAAAAAGGAACAAGATCATGTCCTTTGCCTGGATATGGATGGAGTTGGAAGCCATTATCCTCAGCAAACTAACACAGGAACAGAAAACCAAACACCACATGTTCTCACTTATAAGTGGGAACTGAACAATGAGAATACATGGACACAGGGAGGGGAACAACACACACTGGGCCTTGGTCGGGGGAGGGAGAGAATCAGGTTAAACAGCTAAGCATGTGGGGTCTAACACCTAGGTGATAGATTGATAGGTGCAGCAAACCACCATAGCACATGATAACAAACCTGCACATCCTGCACATGTATCCCAGAACTTAAAATAAAATTCAATTTTTGAAAAGAGTGGTTGTACCATTTTACATTCCTGACAGCATAGAATGAGAGTTCCTGTTGCTCCACATCCTCACCAGCATATGGTGTCAGTGTTCTGGATTTTGGCCATTCTCATACATGTGCCTGACCTTCTTTGTATAACTATAAATTAGTTTGCACTTCCTAGAATTTTATATATATGAAATCATACAATATGTACCATTTACCTGACTTCTTCTACTCATCATATTTAAGATGCATCTGTGATGATGTATGTATGAATAGTTCATTTTTTATTGTTGAATAGTACTCTCTTGTATGTATATATCACAATTTGTTTATCTGTTCACCCATTGGAAGACCTTTGAGTTGTTTACAACTTTTGGGTATTGCAAATAATGCAGCTTGAACAGTCATATCAACATTTCTGTTGGATGCATATCTAGGAAGGGAAGATTTAATTTGCATTTCCCTGATAACTAATGTGATTATTTGCCATTTGATATGGTGTGGCTGTGTCCCCACCCATATCTCATCTTGAATTCCCACATGTTGTGGGAGGGGTCTGGTGGGAGGTAATTGAATCATGGGGGCAGGCCTTTCCCTTGCTGTTTTCATAATAGTAAATCTCATGAGATCTGATGGTTTTAAAAAGGGGGTTTCCCTGCACAAGCTCACATTCTCTCTTGCTGCTGCCATGTAAGAAGTGCCTTTCACCTTCCACTATGATTGTGAGGCCTCCCCAGCCACATGCAACCATGAGTCCATTAAACCTGTTTTTCTTCCCAGTCTTGGGTGTGTCTTTAGCAGCAGCATGAAAACAGACTAATACAGTAAATTGGTAACAGTAGAATGGGGCACTGCTGAAAAGATACCTGAAAATATGGAAGCGACTTTGGAACTGGGTAACAGGCACAGGTTGGCACAGTTTGGAGGGCTCAGAAGAAGAAAGGAAAATATGGTAAAGTTTGGAACTTCCTAGAGACTTGTTGAATGGCTTTGCCCAAAATGCTGATGGCAATATGGACAATAAAGTCCAGGCTGAGGTGGTCTCAGGTGGGGATGAGGAACTTGTTGCGAACTGGAGCAAAGATGATTTTTTTTTAAATTTTATTATTATTATACTTTAAGTTTTAGGGTACATGTGCACAACGTGCAGGTTTGTTACATATGTATACACGTGCCATGTTGGTGTGCTGCACCCATTAACTCATCATTTAGCATTAGGTATATCTCCTAATGCTATCCCTCCCCCCCTCCTCCCACCCCACAACAGTCCGAGGTGAGTGATGTTCCCATTCCTGTGTCCATGTGTTCTCATTGTTCGATTCCCACCTATGAGTGAGAACATGCAGTGTTTGGTTTTTTGTCCTTGCAATAGTTTGCTGAGAATGATGGTTTCCAGTTTCATCCATGTCCCTACAAAGGACATGAACTCATCATTTTTATGGCTGCATAGTATTCCATGGTGTATATGTGCCACATTTTCTTAATCCAGTCTATCGTTGCTGGACATTTGGGTTGGTTCCAAGTCTTTGCTATTGTGAATAGTGCCGCAATAAACATACGTGTGCATGTGTCTTTATAGCAGCATGATTTATAATCCTTTGAGTATATACCCAGTAATGGGATGGCTGGGTCAAATGGTATTTCTAGTTCTAGATCCCTGAGGAATCGCCACACTGACTTCCACAACGGTTGACAGTCCCACCAACAGTATAAAAGTGTTCCTATTTCTCCACATCCTCTCCAGCACCTGTTGTTTCCTGACTTTTAAATGATCGCCATTCTAACTGGTGTGAGATGGTGTCTCATTGTGGTTTTGATTTGCATTTCTCTGATGGCCAGTGATGATGAGCATTTTTTCATGTGTTTTTTGGCTGCATAAATGTCTTCTTTTGAGAAGTGTCTGTTCATATCCTTTGCCCACTTTTTGATGGGGTTGTTTTTTTCTTGTAAATTTGTTTGAGTTCATTGTAGATTCTGGATATTAGCCCTTTGTCAGATGAGTAGGTTGCAAAAATTTTCTCCCATTCTGTAGGTTGCCTGTTCACTCTGATGGTGGTTTCTTTTGCTGTGCAGAAGCTGTTTAGTTTAATTAGATCCCATTTGTCAATTTTGGCTTTTGTTGCCATTGCTTTTGGTGTTTTAGACATGAATTCCTTGCCCGTGCCTATGTCCTGAATGGTATTGCCTAGGTTTTCTTCTAGGGTTTTTATGGTTTTAGGTCTAACATTTAAGTCTTTAATCCATCTTGAATTAATTTTTGTATAAAGTGTAAGGAAGGGATCCAGTTTCAGCTTTCTACATATGGCTAGCCAGTTTTCCCAGCACCATTTATTAAATAGGGAATCCTTTCCCCATTTCTTGTTTTTGTCAGGTTTGTCAAAGATCAGATAGTTGTAGATATGCGGCATTATTTCTGAGGGCTCTGTTCTATTCCATTGATCTATATCTCTGTTTTGGTACCAGTACCATGCTGTTTTGGTTACTGTAGCCTTGTTCTTGTTATGTTTTAGCAAAGAGACTGGTGGCATTTTGCCCCTGCCCTAGAGATTTGTGGAACTTTCAACTTCAGAGAGATGATTTAGGGTGTCTGGTGTGAGAAATTTCTAAGCAGCAAAGCATTCAAGAGGTGACTTGAGTGCTGTTCAATTTTAAAACATTAAACATTTAAACATAAAACATTTAAAACATTAAGGCATTCAGTTTTAAAAGGAAAACAGCATAAAAGTTTGGAAAATTTGCAGCCTGACAATGCAATAGAAAAGAAGATTCCATTTTCTAAGGAGAAATTCAAGCCAGCTGCAGAAGTTTGCATAAGTAATGAGGAGCTGAATGTTAATCACCAAGATAATGGGGAAAGTGTCTCCAGGGCATGTCAGAAACCTTTACGGCAGCCCCTCCCATCACAGGCTGGGAGGTTTAGGAGGAAAAAGTGGTTTCATGGGGCTGGACCCAGGGTCCCTCTGCTGTATGCAGTCTAGGGACTTGGTGCCCTGTGTCCCAGCTGCTCCAGCCGTGACTAAAGGGCCAGGGTACAGCTTGGGCTGTTGCTTCAGAGGGTGGAAGCCCCAAGCTTTGGCAGCTTCTATGTGGTGTTGAGCGTGTGGTGCACGGAAGTCAAGAATTGAGGTTTGGGAACCTCCACCTAGATTTCAGAAGATGTATGGAAACACCTGGGTTCCCAGGCAGAAGTTTGCTGCAAAGGCAGGGCTCTCACGGAGAACCTCTGCTAGGGCAGTACGGAATGAAAATGTGGGGTCAGAGCCCCCACACGGAGTCCCTACTGGGGCACTGCCTAGTGGAGCTGTGAGAAGAGGGCCACCATCTTCCAGACCTCAAAATGGTAGATCCACTGACAGCTTGCACTGTGTGCCTGGAAAACCAATACCAGCCTGTGAAAGCAGCTGGGAGGGAGGCTGTACCCTGCAAAGCCACAGGGGTGGAGCTGCCCAAGACCATGGGAACCCACTTCTTGCATCACCATGACCTGGATGCGAGACATGGAGTCAAAGGAGATCATTTTGGAGCTTTAAGATTTGACTGCCCTGCTGGATTTTGGACTTGTCTGTGGCCTGTAGCATCTTTGTCCTGGCCAATTTCTCCTGTTTGGAATGGCTGTATTTACCCAATGCCTGTATCCCTGTTGCGGGAAGTCACGGACCACGAATGGAGGGACTGGCTGGAGCTGCCGCAGAGGAACATAAATTGTGAAGATCTCATTTTAATATGGACATTTGTCAGTTCCCAAATAATACTTTTATAATTTTTTATGCCTGTCTTTAATCTCTCAATCCTGTTGTCTTCATAAGCAGACGATGTATGTCACCTCAGGACCACTGTGATAATTGTGTTAACTGTACAAATTGATTGTAAAACGTGTGTTTGAACAATATGAAATCAGTGCACCTTGAAAAAGAATAGAATAACAGTGATTTTTAGGGAACAAGGGAAGACAACCATAAGGTCTGACTGCCTGCGGGGTCGGGCAGAAAGAGCCATGTTTTTCTTCTTGCAGAGAGTCAATAAATGGACATGCAAATAGGGAAGATATCGCTAAATTCATTTCCTAGAAAGGAATATTGATATTAATACCTTGGGAAAAGAATGCATTCCTGGGGGGAGGTCTATAAACGGCCGCTCTGGGAATGACTGTCTTATGCGGTTGAGATAAGGACTGAGATATGCTGTGGTCTCCTGCAGTACCCTCAGGCTTAACTAGGGTGGGGAAAAACTCCGCCCTGGTAAATTTGTGGTCAGACCAGTTCTCTGCTCTCGAACCCTGTTTTCTGTTGTTTAAGATGTTTATCAAGACAATATGTGCACCGCTGAACAGACCCTTATCAGTGGTTCTTCTTTTTCCCTTTGTCCTGTTCCCTCAGAAGCATGTGATCTTTGTTAGATCCTTATTAGTAGTTCTGCTTTTTGCCCTTTGAAGCATGTGATCTTTGTACCTACTCCCTGTTCTTACACCCCCTCCCCTTTTGAAACCCTTAATAAAAACTTGCTGGTTTTGAGGCTCAGGTGGGCATCACGGTCCTACTGATATGTGATGTCACCCCTGGCGGCCCAGCTATAAAATTCCTCTCTTTGTACTGTCTCTCTCTCTCAGCTGGCCTACACTTATGGAAAATAGAACCTACATTGAAATATTGGCAGCAGGGTCCCCCAATATATCCCCGTTGTATCTAGGAAGTAACTAACTTGCTTTTGATTTTTCAGGCTCATAGGCAGAAGGTACTTGCCTTGTCTCAGATGAGACTTTGGACTGTGGACTTTTGAGTTAATGCTGAAATGAGTTAAGACTTTGGGAGACTGTTGGGAAGGCATAATTGGTTTTGAAATGAGAGGACATGAGATTTGTGAGGGGCCAGGGGCAGAATAATATGGTTTGGTTGTGTCCCCACCCAAATTTCATCTTGAATTCTCACATGCTGTGGGAGGGATTCAGTGGGAGGTAATTTAATCATGGGGGCAGGTCTTTCCCATGCTGTTGTTGTGATGGTGAATAAGTCTCACAAGATCTGATGGTTTTCAAAAGGGGAGCTTCCCAGCACAAGCTTCCATTCTGTCTTGCTGCCGCTATGTGAGAAGTGCCTTTCGCCCTCTGCCATGACTGTGAGGCCTTCCTAGCCATATGGAACTGTGATTCCATTAAACCTGTTTTTCTTCCCAGTCTCGGGTATGTCTTTATCAGCATCATGAAAATGGACCAATACACTGTTGCATATTTTCTTTGGCAAAATGTCTATTAAGATCTTTTGTTAATTTTAACGATTGGATTTATTTTCTTGTTATTTAACTTTGAGGGCTGTTTACATATTCTTGGTTAAAGTTCTTTATCAAAATATATGACGTGTAAATATTTCTTCCATTTAGTTACCTGTCTTTTCATTCTCCTAACAATATCTTTGAACAAGCAGACATCCTTAATTTTGATGAAGTCAAATTTATTAAATTTTCTTTTATGGATTGTGCTTTTGATGTCATAATCTACTAAATCTTTCTCTAACCCGGGATCACAAAGACTGTCCTCTATGTTTTCTTCTAGAAGTTTTATACATTTAGTTTCTGTGCTTTGGCCCATGACTCACTTTGAGTTAATTTTTGAATATAGTATGACATATAGATTGGAGGGGTTTTTTTCCATACTGGTTGCCAGTTATTCCAGCACCATTGCTTGAAAAGTTTATTCATTTTCCACTGCATTACCTTTGGATTTTCATTGAAAGCCAATTGTCCACATATGTGTGAATGTGATTCTGTTTCTGTGCTCTCTCTTTTTTTTTTTCCATCAGTGTCTTTTTTTTTCTTTACATCAGTACTACACTGTCTGGATTACAATAGATTGGTCATAAAACTTGACATTGGTAGTATAAGTTCTTTAGGTTTTTAAAAAATTGTTTTGTGTGCATGTGATATGGTTTGGATCTATGTCCTCACCCAGATCTCATGTTCAGTTGTGATTCCCAGTGTTGGAGGTGGGGTCTGGTGGGAGGTGACTGGATTTTGGGGGCAGTTTCTCATGGTTTAACACCATCCCCCTTGGTGCTGCTGTCATGGCAATAGTGAGTTATTGTGAGACCTGGTTGTCTAAAAGTGTCGGGTGCCTCCCCCAACCCTTTGCTCCTGCACCGGCCATGTAAGATGTGCCTGTTTCCCCTTCACTTTCCCCCATGATTGAAAGTTTCCTTAGACCTCCCCAGAAACTGAGCAGATGCCAGTATCATGCTTCCTCTACAGCCCATGGAATCATGAGCCAATTAAACCTCTTTTCTTTATAAATTACCCAGTCTGAAGTATTTCTTTATAGCAGTGTGAGAACAGACTAATACCGTTTGTTTGTTTTGGAGACAAAGTCTTGTTCTGTCACCCAGGCTGGAGTGTAGTGGTATGATTTTAAGTCATTGTGGCCACAACCTCGTGATGTCAAGTGATCCTCCTGCCTAAGCCTCCTAAGAAGTTAGGACTACAGGCATTCACCACTATGGCCATCTAATTTTTAAATTTCGTGTAGTCTTTGGCTCTTGCTGTGTTGCCCAGGCTGATCTCAAACTCCTGCTTCAAGTGATTTTCTTGTTTCAGCCTCCCAAAGGGCTGGGATTACTGGCATGAGCCACCACATCTGCTAGGATTTTGACTGGGATTGTATTGAATCTATAAAACATGTTGGAAAGGATTAACATCTTTACAATATTGAGTCTTTTACATGTCTTTTACTTTCTCTTGTTTGTAGTTTTGTTTAGGTCTTCTTTAGTGAACTTTGTTAGTGTCTTTTAAGGAATTTGTTTATTTCATCTAAGTTGTCGAGTTTATTATGACATTCTTTTTGATGCTATTACAAGTAGGATTATTTTGTTAATTTCGTTTTTGGAAAGTCCATTCTTAGTGTATAGAAATTCCACTGGTTTTTTATGTTGATTTTGTAACCTGTAATTTTACTGAATTCATTTATTCTAAAAGTTTTGTTTGATGGAGTCCTTAAGATTTTCTGCCTGTATGATCATTTCAACTGCATATGTAGATAATTTTACTTTTTCTCTGCCTATTTGGATGGATTTTTAAAGTTTTTCTAACTTGATTGCTCTGGCTAGGACTTCAAGTAGTATGTTGAATAGCAGTGGCAAAAGTGGGCATCCTTGCCTTCTTCCAGATCTTAGAAGCTTTCAGTTTCTTCCCATTGATTATAATGTTAGCTGTGGGTTTCTAAAAATATCTATTGTCTTGGCTGGGTGCAGTGGCTCATGCATGTAATCCCAGCACTTTGGGAGGTCAAGGTGGGTGGATAGCTTGAGTCCAGGAGTTCAAGACCGGCCTGGGCAACAAAATGAGACCCTGTCTCTGCAAAAAATACAAAAATTAGCCTGGCATGGTGGCATGCGCCTATAGTCCCAACTACCTGGAAGGCTGAGGTGGGATCATTTGCCAGGAGGCTGAGGCTCTGCACTCTAGCCTGGGTGACAGAGTGAGATTCTGTCTCTTAAAAAAAAAAATGTCTCTATTATGGTGAGATAAATTCCTTCTTTACCTGTTTTGTTGAGAGTTTTTATCATGAAAGTATATTCAATTTTGTCAGTTGCTCTTTTCTACATCTACTGAGCTAATCATGTGGTTTTGTCTTTCATTCTGCTAGTGTGGTATATCACATTGATTGACCTTCATATGTTGAACCATACTTGCATCCCAGCAATAAATTGGCCCCATTTGGCTAGGGCGTACGATCCTATTAATGTGTTGTTGAGTTAGGTTTGCTAGCTAGCATTGTATTGAGGAGTTTTGCATCTGTGTTTACTGGGAATACTGCCCTGTAGTTTTCTTTACTTTTGTTGCCTTTTTATTGGCTTTGGAATCAGGGCGATGCTGGCCTTGTAAAATGAGCTTGGAAGTTTACTTTCCTTTTCTGTTTTTGGATCAGTTTATGAAGAGTTCATATTAGTTTTTCTTTGAATTGTCTGGTTGAATTTACCTTTTGAAGCCATCTGGTCCTGGGCTTTTCTTTGCTGGAAAGTTTTGATTAGTGATTCAATCTTCTTGTTTATTAGTTTGCTCAGGTTTTCTATTTCTTCTAAAGTTAGTCTGGGCAGATTGTATGTTTCTAGGAATTTATCTGTTTCTTTTGGGTTATCCAATTTGTTGGCATATAATGGTTCATAATAGTTCCTTATGATCTTTTTATTTGTGTCATTTGTTGGAATATCTCTTTTTATTTCTTATTTTAGTTATTTCTGACTTCTCTTTGAGTTAGTCTAGCTAAGGTTTTTATCACTTTTATCTTTTAAAAAATCCAACTCTTGTTGATTTTTCTAATGTTTCTATATTTTCTAATTCATTTATTTCTGCTTCAGTCTTTATTATTTTCTTTCTTCTGCTAACTTTGGGTTTAGTTTGTTCTTTTCTGATTCCTTGTTCTTTGAGATTATTATACTTCTTTGGTTAATTTTCATCATATTTGAAAGATTTTCAGCCACTATTTTTTCAAATAGTGTTTTTTCTTCTCTTCTCCTTCAGGGACTCTAATCACAAGTACATAAGACATTTCAAATTAATTCATGGTTCATTGATGCTTTTTTCATTCTTATTTTGCTCTTTGTTTTGTTTTCCTGTTGCTGTGTCTTTAAATTTACTAATCTCTTCTTCTGCAGTGTCTAATCTGCCATTAATCCTATCTAGTATAATTTGCATATCCCACAGTATAATTTTCCTTTGTAGAAGGTCAGTTTCAGTCTATTTTCTTTCATATCTCTACTTAGCAAGTTTTATCTTTCCTCTAGCTTTTGAAATAAGAAATGTAGTTAAAATAACCGTTTTAATGTCTTTGCTACTCATTCTGTCACCTGCTTCATTTCTTGATTAGTTGCTCCCCACAAGCATACACTGGTCAGTTGTCTGCCAGGTTCTTCCTTTGTGCAGCCCACTGGCCACTGTGTCATCCTTATGCTCCAAGCTTCGTCTCATGAACTTAGGGAGATGGCTGGAGCTCTCCTCAGCTCTTCTCTCTACACTGCAGTCTCTCTTTAGGTGGTAAACTGTGGCAATCATAGGGCCCACCTTGTTTGTTTCTCATCTCTCAGTGATCACTGTCCTTCGTTTCCTGATGTCTAGGGTCTTGAAAACTGTTGTTTCATATACTTTGTTCAGTATTTCAGTTTATAAAGTTGAGAGGGAAAATCTGGCCTCTTTTACTCCATATAGGCTGGAGCCTGAAGTCAATAAGTATATCTCCAATTGATATAATTTCATGAAAATATACTTGCACAGTAAGACTGGTGAAAAGGTAAAGTCAGCTGGGCACAGTGGCTCACGCCTGTAATCCCAGCACTTTGGGAGGTCCAGGAGGGCGGATCATCTGAGGTCAGGAGTTTGAGACCAGCCTGGCCAACATGGTGAAACCCCATCTCTACTAAAAATACAAAAATTAGCCGGGCGTGGTGGTGGGCGCCTGTATTCCCAACTACTTGGGAGGCTGAGGCAGGAAAATCGCTTGAACCCAGGAGGGCTTGGGTTGCAGTGAGCTGAGATCGCGCTGCTGCACTCCAGCCTGGGCGACAAGTGCAAAACTCCATCTCAAAAAAAAAAGGTAAAGCGTTTGCTTCAACAGCATCATCTTTCATTCCACCTCAGAAGTGGAGCCTCTCTTTCGTTTTATGATGACTTTGTTTTTGAATGAATAAAACAATTGGCAATGAGCCAATTTAAATTATTCCTGTTTTAAAATGACTGTAGATTTCATTATTTCATACTCTTTGTCACTTTTTTTTCCCAACACTGTCTTAGCTAATATTATTTCAAAAAAATGGTTTAGAGGAAGAGATTTGAAAACATAGTCTAATAATCTAACCTTTGAGTTCAGAAGGAAAAAAGTATGCTAATCCTAATATTTCAGCAAAGAACATTTAATCTATAAGTTTTTTTTTTAAAATAACAAGATGTACGTGTTCTTTCTGGTAATCTTACATTAAAACCATGGATATTTATGTCAGCCATTTGTGTAAATGCCAACATATATAATTTATTGATAAAGTCATATTAATGATCCCTTTATGTGTCAAGCTTTATAAACTCTCTCTTAACTACTTTTTGCTGCTTTAGGAAGATGAATAAGCTTGCTAAAAGTAGAAGTTTACTCAGGTGGGCTAAAGAACATAAATTCTATTGACTCATATTGCAGGTAGAGAAACCAGCCCTTTCTTAAATGAGATTTTATTCTGTATGTTAATTCTTTTATAGGTATGAATAGAAAAAGATCATTATTCAAGGAATTATGCATAAAATATTTTCAGTTGAATTCTAGTTGGGGGAGGTGATGTGCAGTTTGTCATGAAGAATTTTTTTTATTGACAGATAATCTAGATAATGTGAACCTTATGCTTAACTACTGCTTAACTTACTAAGCTTCTTGCCTGGTGTGTATTTTACTTAATCTTTTAACAAAATGAACTTCCAAATGGACATAAGCATTTAGATACTTGACTAAGGGAGTTAACAACATTTGATAATTAGATCTTTCTAATAGTAGTATTTTAAAATATTTGCTTGCTTTTAATAGTAGTATTACTTCTAATAGTAGTATTTTAAAAAATTTGCTTGGTTTTAAAATGCTTTTACCTTTTTACGGAAATAGAGGTTTAAAACTCTTTTACATTTGTCAAATGATTGCTATTAAAGCTTTGTCTGAGTATTGCCATTTTTTCTTAATTGTTGGTGCTTTTAATTTTAAAAGTACATTTTATAATCTAATTATTGCCATGCCAGAAACCTCTCAGGCAGAATTTTAGAGAAGTTCATTTTTAAGGTTTCTTGTGGTCCAGTCTTTATAGAAAATTTTCAGAATTGAAGAACTGTGTGTTGGTCAGAGTGATCTGTTAGTCAATCTATCAGATTTTTAAAAATATTAAATTCAACACAATGATGTCTTGGAACTAGTTTTTATGAGGTAATATTTGTCTATTTCTTCGGTGCACTATAGCAACAGGCTCCTGGGTTTCTGTTGATGAAGTCAACCTGAAATAGCCTGAAAACCAAAACATCTGATGATAGAGACTGTTCTTTGCCTAGATATGTCTAAGTCTTGACCCTGAGTCTCAAGATACCAAGTTGAGTCCACTAAGAAGTTCTAGTGAAAGCACTTTCCCGTTTTGCAAAACATACCTTCCATTCTTACCGTGATGATGCATTCAGCTTCCTGACTTCTCATTATATGGTATTGCTGTCACAACGTAGGACACAGGCCATGTACAGGGCTGGTAGGATTACCCACCACAGAGCATATACCAGTGGTTTCCAAAGTGGAGTTTGTGCATTTCCTTGCATTCATAAAGTAAGTCGTTGGACTGTGTGAAGAAACTATTAGAACTTGCATTTATATTTATTGTTATGATTTTTAAAGTCTTTGTTTTGTCTGTATATGTCATTGAATAGTATATATGTAGCTTATAAATAATTAAATACACATATATGGGGTATAGATGCTCAAATTTTGTTTTTACTGATGGTAGTATATGTTAAAAAAAATTTCAAGAGCAGGTAAGACTGGTATAGAGCATCTGGGCAAGGGTTTGATTCTGGGATCTCCCGTGTCCTCCGTCAGTGAACTTCGTGCTGTGTAAAATTTGGGTGTCTGTGTCTGGGTTTTTCTTGTGAGAAGATTCATAGCTCTCAGCAGATTCTCAAAGGAGTCTTTGGCCCTAATGATAAAATTACTTATCTGAGATCTCTGGGTTGAAGCCACTGAAGCTTGTTTTGGTAGGACTATATCTTGTTTAAAGATCACTTCCTAGGCTAAATGAAATGGTACTGTATTTGAAAAATAAAACTTATAATTAGATATGTATTCCTTTTAACAAAGTAAAGTTTTATTAATATGAATAGCTGAGAAACTGTAGCCAAGATTGTTGTCATCATCTCATAACCATGTGTGACATATGCTGTGTACTCTTCTGGTGTCTGCATTTTAACCTTTTTAAAAAAGCTATTTTATTGTATGTTTTCATTAATTATCTACCTTAAAAAAATATTTTGGTATATTACTGTCTTTTAATTTCAAACACATTTGTCCTGGGTAGAAGTGGCTACAGAAGAGCTACTTTTGAGATCTCCTGTTTTTATGACAATGTTTGTATTTGGTTTTTCTGTTGTCTCTCTAAGCTGCTTTTGTAGAGGCTATCTGTAGTAGATTATGCCATTGCATTGGAGGGAGGATTAGAGTTCAGCTCAAAGGTCAACTGATAATGTAAAATTGAGTATAGTCAAAGTTATTCTTGAGATCACCCATAAAAATCCTTAAATCACCCTTAAAATACAAGGTACATAATTTTATTTATACAATTTTATAGACGATTGTTATTACTTATTCTAATTCTTTGTAGTTTAAATTTTATATGGCCCCCAAATGCTCTATCCTTTTTTCCTTGAAGAATGTTGACATTCCCATTATCTGTCTCTTGACCGACACCTGAATGATGTGATTTATTTATCTGTCAGTGGTCAGAAAAATCCTACCATTCATGTATTTTTTTCCAGTAAATACTGGACCTGGCCATGTGCTCATTTAATAGAATGACTATTTAAACTATTTTTAAGTAAAAATACTTTTACAAATGTGTATAGGTGAATTTAAGTAACTTCAATGCATATATTAGATCATCCTACTGTATTTCCTGCTTTGTCTTTTTACCCTACAAGCCTATAAGCATTAAACTCAGATTAACAATTTTTAATGGAAGGAAATTACCTTATTTATTCATTTATATTATACATATTAAGTGTGTATAAGACATTATTCTGGGCACTGGGATTATAGGGGTGAAACAAAGTTCCTGTTCTTATAGAACCTACATTCTAGTGGGGAAAACAGGCAATAATAAGCCAAAAAGAAAAAAAAATAGTCTATGTATGCTGTGAAGACTCGTAATTAGTATAGAAGGCCATGGAAGGTCCTGCTGTTTTAGGTAGGGGAGTCAGAGGTTTCCTGTCCGAGGAGATGGCATTTGCCCAGAGACCCGACTAAAGAGAGGGGACGGGCAGTTCCTCCAGAGAGCAGCAGCAGAGGAGGTGTAAGGATGTTCTCAGGCATCTTTTTCATCGTGACTCTTGCTTCCTGTGATCAGTTACAGCCGTCCTGTCTCGGTAGAGCATGCAGTCAGCCATCCTCCCCATGTAAGCAGCACGAGTGCTTGATTTTTAACATCAGCATGAGTTCCGTCGAATGTCGAGGGGCGTTCATTCTGACCTCATTACTCATCACTTGCTAGTGACTGTGGCGTGTATGTGAAGTAGGTTAGGTCTGGCTTGAGGCTGTCCCACTAGATAATAGTTACATATTTTAAATTAGGATTTATTCATTAGAGCATCTCACGTCACAGAAGTGAGAAAGTCCATAGAATTCGATCTAACTTGTACTTTACTTGTAGCACACTAAATATGTCTTAACCTGATTTCATTAAGGGCTATTTTATTTATTTTTAACAGGAATCACTAGATTTGATCTACTTGGCGACTTTGGAAGGTTTAATTGGCTGGGAAATTTCTATATTGTATTATCCTACAATTTGCTTTTTGCTATTGTGACAACATTGTGTCTGGTCCGAAAATTCACCTCTGCAGTTCGAGAAGAACTTTTCAAGGCCCTAGGTAATCCTGAGGTTTATGGGTATTTTTTCCTCTTTCTACTAAATAATTTTGACATTTGAGTTAATATTACATCTTCAGCTATTTAGTTTCCCAAATTTGTAAAACCTTAGAGGTCAAATTATTGATCCCCTACTTTGTGCAAAATTCCTTCATTAAGCCTTAGCTTCCTTATCTGTAATACAGTGATAGTATCATCTTCCTGTTAGGGTTTTTGTGAAGATCAACGGAAATAATTCTGTAAGATCCTTAGCATAGCGCCTGGCACATCCTAAGAACTCAGTAAATATTAGCCCCTTTATTATGACGATGGTGGTCATGGTGGTGGTGAGGATGATACGGTGTGAAAAGCTTATCTCTTGGTAATAATACCTTTTAGTTAAAGCTTTTTTGAGGCTTGGATTTTGCAAGTATTAGGCTAACCCATAAGTCTCTTCATTAAGCCAGAGAATAAATTCAAGATGAAAACGTTAGCATTCTTGGCATTGATGTAATAGAAGAGAGGGGATTTACTGTTATGTGTTCCAAGAGTCACATGTATTGTAATGGTGTTAAAAACGGGTAGGTTTAGCTAAAGGGTACAAACGTAACCTATGAATGTATTTTTATGCTTATTTCCACATTAGTGCTAAACATATTTCAAGTTTTATACTTTAAAAATACCAGGACAAAGTAAATTATCTTGGTTTGGGGTGGGAGGGGGTTGTA
Organism: Homo sapiens; assembly: GCF_000001405.40. Lineage (NCBI taxonomy): Eukaryota > Metazoa > Chordata > Mammalia > Primates > Hominidae > Homo > Homo sapiens. The sequence continues at coordinate 156,687,324 of NC_000007.14, read as the reverse complement.
ATTTTATGACAGAAGAAGGGAAAGGCAGTGACTTCTTGTAGAAAATTTTTAAAAATCCTGACATTAGCTCATTTACCTGAGTTGACATGATTTGAATGCATATGACTCCATACTGGGGCTTTTAGCTATTGTAAAAGGCCACATACTGATGGATTCATTAAGGTCCAGTTTTCAGATAACTTAAACGATATGAGCAGCAATAAAGCTTCTCAGATCACCAGGCCTTTCCAACCTTGATGTTTGAGAGGGTGACCTTTGGGAGGCACAAAAGATTTCAGATGAGCTGTCCATATGTATTTTACTTTGAATATGCCCTGGGAGGGGATGGCTCATCAAATATTGCAATGCCTGACAGGAAAAAGTCACAGCTCATTTCAGCTGACACACCAGATAACTTATACCTTTTAATGCTTAGGTTTAATAAAGCTGGCCCAACTTGAAGTAGGAATCAAACAGTCCTTTTTATCAGATGTCTAGCATTAAAACTTAATTTTTAAGCCTGTTATAATATCAGCAAGATTAGTTAGCCATGGTTTCAGATAAATTTCCACTTTCCATTCGCTAAATGAGATGGTTGCAAATGAACTGCCGTAACTTTAGCTTTTGAATTAGGTATTCTGGACATCATTTTGCTAAGAAAGCCTTTATTAAAGTAATAAAACATAACCTGATATAAAAGGCCTTATATGCATGTCAGTTCCTTGACCATAAGAGAGAGTAGAATTAGCAAGAGTTGTATAAAACTACCTAATAGATACATTTACTTTTCTTCCCCAGTGTTTTTCAGTATTCTTTGGGGTGTGCTACGGGGCAATTTATACATAGAAAAAGAGTCTTATTAAGTATATGTAATGTTTGAATGATCTGAGATCTTAACAGGGATTTAGCTGAGACTTGTAATTTGATTGTAAAGTAGCTATCCCCTTTCTTTCTTTTTTTTTGTAGAGATTTTTTCCCCTCTGCTACTCTGCCCATTGATAATAATAGTATCCATCTCAGAGAATATCTAGCACATAGTAAACACTAGAAATTTAGCTGTGGTGATGGTGGTAATGGACGGGATTGTTTCTGGAGTTGTCTGCAGAAGAGACACATCAGAACGTTTCAGAATGCATAACCTACATGACAGCCAAGTTTTAGGCGTGAACTCAGATAATCGATCCTAAAAGGGTGCCTTCATTTCAGCTCAGTCAGTGGGTACCGCAGTGATCCTCTGTCTTCACTCAGTCCCTTTTCTAACAAGCTTGATTTTAGCACACTTCCTCAACTCCAGCAGCTGTGGGTTCCTATTGTCATTCCTGGGACCTGACCATTTTTTGTGTTGGATTGATTTCTTTTTTCCCTTCCCATTCAAACATAGGCTCAGTTTTACCTTTTCTTTCATTAAGATATGCAGGTGACAGGAAGATTAAAATTTGGAGTGCTATATTAGTTTATGAGTGATGTAAAACTGCCTAATAGGTCAGTTACCATGTGAAATTTTAGGGAGAAAAATCTTTTCCAAGTAAGTTGTTGAGATGCCAGAAAGGTCTGAGCTTCGTGAAAAGTATTTTCTCAACATCTGCCCTGTGGAAGTGCTGCTGTGTGGCCATAGGCCACATGATGATCATTTGGTCAATAACAGACCACTTGCCTATGTGACAGTGGCCACAGCAGATGATCATGGAGCTGAACCGTTTCTGCCAGCAGTGGCGTGGCGGCTGTTGTAATGTCCTGGCGCCACGCATCAGCTTTTCTAGGTTCATATGTTTCTAGATGCACAGATATGTGCCATGGTGCCGCAGTGGCTGCAGCACTCAGGACAGTGACATGCTGTCTGCTTGGTAACTGAGGAGCAGCCGGCCACACCCTGCAGCCTAGGGATGGCATGGCTGTGCCCTCTGGGTGTATAGATACACTCTATGATGGCATCACAGCGACAGAATCGCTCGACAGCGCATTTCTCAGAATGCATTCCTGTTGTTCGGCAACACCTGACTGTGTTGCTGTATGTCATTGTGTTTCATTTTTATTAAAGTGCTTGACGCTCCAGTGCCACAGAAGCTCTTACATTTTCTTCTGCCCTTTCTCCCTGTGAGAGGGCAATGTTGGTCTGTGTATCAGGTATATTATGTAAATAATTGTTTTATGATACAGAGAGAAATAAATGTAACTTTAAAAGATAGTGATAGTTTTTTATTCTGTGAAATACCTTTGGGTAGTGAGATATTATTTATGTTCAGTTTATTCTTTTGTCATTTCTTTATTTTTTAGTAATGTTTTCCATTCTTTTCTTTTTAATTACATATTAATATTTGGCTGTGGCTTTCCCTACATTTTCCTGCATGTGTGTAAGGGGCAATTTATTTTACTTTATTTAAAATTTTTTTGAGACAGGGTCTCCTCTGTCACCCAGGCTGGAGTGCAGTGGTGTGATCACATCTCACTGCAGTCACAACCTGCTGAGCTCAAGGAATTCTCCCACCTCAGCCTCCCAGAGTGCTGGGATTATAGGCATGAGCCACTGCAGCCAGCTAATTTTTGTGTTTTTCATGAACATGGGGTTTCACAATGTTGCCCAGGCCTGTCTCAAACCCCTCAGCTCAAACGATCCTTCCACCTCGGCCTCCTGAAGTGCTGGGATGACAGGCGTGAGCCACCACGCCCAGCCTGTGTGTGTGCATTTTAAAATGCAAGTGGGAACGTATCTGTCTCGGGTTAGGTTCCCTGAGAAGCACACTTCAGATGGGAATCTGCTTGCCAGGAAGAGGTTTATTAGCCGGGTTGGGACAACGGAAGAGGAAGGGGCTGTGCAGAGGGAGGAACTGTGCCGTGATGCAGTCACACTGGAAGCCTCCGCTGGCCCTCGGGGATGTTGTGACTTCGATGGCCCTTCAGAGCTCCACTGAACTGAGAAGAAGGGACAGGCTCTTAGGACCCTCACGTGCTGTCCTGGAAGGGGCAGGACTTCCGCCTTGCAGCAGTCTTCAGCTTAGGCCATCCCCAAAGGGAGGTTGCCAGTAGGGAGAAGAAATCATTCATTCCTCAAGGGGATCTGGCCAGCACCTCACAGCTTTCCAAATAACACTTAGCTTTGTAAATCTCCTCTTCTCCCTACCCTAACCCTTTCCCAGCCACTCAGCAATATATCATTTCTCACCATTTTCTTAATTTTTTTGCAGGGCTTCATAAACTTCACTTACCAAATACTTCAAGGGATTCAGAAACAGCCAAGCCTTCTGTAAATGGGCATCAGAAAGCACTGTGAGACGCACAGACGGCGTCTTCTGCCACCAAGAGACCCGAGAACTCCAGATTCACGACATTCCTGTCCCATGTAGAAGCATTTCCATTCAACCGTGGCCCCTCTTCAGAACCTAGACCTATCAGTGCCATTTTTTTTTCATAATCTACGAAGAACTTGGCTATGGCTGATCTTTTTTAAATTTAACTTTCTGATGGACCCTGTAGTTTCCAGTTAAGTGCAGATTCCTTACAGACATATAGAACAGCGCATTCTTCTGTAGACATTTGCTCATGTTGGTAAATACAATCACCCATATGAAAAAATTGTTTTCACCTGATATGAAAATGTTAGAAAAGGCAAACTCCGGGACTTCTAAAGATTTACTTAAATCCCATTATGTACTTTATTCAGAATGTAGAAGCTGACTTGAAAGGCATCCTTGGTACTAAGTGAAGCTTATTCAGAAAATGCATTTTTCAAATGCAATGGCAACTGCTTGTAGATATCATTTTTGCAGTGTATGTTGGAGCTGTAATGGTTGCAATTATGTTTCTTATTTCCTTAAAAGCAAAAAGCGTAGTTTCTGATTTATGTTATAGAATGATACTGATTAGACTTTGAGCCAAGGGGAAAATACTAAATTCTTTTAAACCTGGAGCCTTAGAGAGCCACAGGAATATCTTCTGTTGTACAGTCTAATAAGCTGTGGTAGGAAGTATCATGTAATCACAGTTTAATGACAGTTTATGTATATATATAATTCAGTATTCCCTCTGATAACATAGTTGCCAGTGTTTAATACACTTGTAACTTGGATTTTTACCTTATAGGCTATATGTATACTCAGTTTTTTAAAGCATTTTTTTCAGAGATCACTTAATTCCCCATGCTTCTGCAATGCATATAAAAACTATAAATGCCGAGTGGTAGAAACTCCTCTTTCTTCATAGTCCTCAGGCTTTGGTTACATTTGCATATGCCATTTGAAGCCTCCAGCTTTTACCAGTTTAACATCCAAAGTTCACAGCATCAGCATTCATGGTGTAAGAACAGTTTTGCAGTATAACACGATCTGATAATCATTCAGTTATTAAATTGTAAATAATTATTGGGATGGTTTCTTGGCTTTAAGTCCACTGAATAAAAACTATGAAATTGCACTCTGTGTCAACCATCCACTAGGATAGAATACCGAAATCTGTGCATGCAAAAATAGGAGATGGGCCCATTTGCACACAATTCGTAGTTATGCAGTCTGCTATATAAATATGTTCACATGCACTGTGTGTATGAAAATAGATGGTCTGTGTTCAGACAAAAGTAAAACATTTTTTTCAAATTGTTACATTTAAAGGTTTTCTGGGAGAAATTTATGAAACGCAGGCTGTGTCTATTTGACATCAGAAATTTCCACTTTAAACCAAAATAATAAGAAACTTTAATCTGTATATTTACAACCTTTGTTGAGTACACTTCCCCCTTATTTATACGTCTGCATTTCCTTCCGAGCTTCACATCTTTCTAAAATGCAGCTTGGTTTTAAAATAAAAGAACATTCATTTTGTGATTCTAAACAAGCTTCAGTAAATACCACCAGTATAGTACTGGTGAATTTCTCAGCATAAAATCGACATACCTAAAAAGTTAATAAAATTCAGCTCTTTTCCAATTTCATTGTTATGCCTATTGAAGTATTAATTGCCAGGTTTGATTTTTAGTGAAGCTTGGAGTCCATACTTTGAGCAGACCAAGTGAAGGGAAGAACAGAAAGAAACTCAGGAGTAGAGTAATATCACTTCTCACTTACACCACTTTCAGGCACATCCAAAGAGTTCCTAGATACTTGGAAAATGTCTGAAAATTTTTAAGTAAAATACTAAACTTTTCAGTGTTTAGCTCAACTTTTTGTTCATTTGGAAGTTTCTCTCCATCCGAGGACTTAAGCCAGTTTTGGATTTGTAAGCCCTGAGTACAATACACTTCCTGGAGGCATCCTCACTGCTGTTGAAGCAAAGGATATGCATGGGGTGGAAGGACGGCTTCGAACCTGGGACTCATATGCCTTGAGAACAAATAGATTGTTACAGCCTTGGGCTGCTGCGTAATCACGGTTCCTCGAGGCTCTTCCTGAGCACATGCCCAAGCATCTGCCTCTGGAGAGACTGACTCCAAATGCAGGTGCTTCCATTGGAGCTAGGTCGGAGGCTGCTTTATATGACGAACTCCAGAAATGGATGCCAGAATACGGAGGCCAAACGTTCTGAGTCCTGGTAAGGACAGTCGCTCTGGGGGTCCTCATTTTACTGCAGTTCCTGCACGCCAGTGAAAGAGAGGAGATAGACCCTGGAAGGCAGAGCTGCAGATGCTCATCATCAGGTCAATTCTGGAGCTACAGTTTTGTTTCTGACTGGATAGGGATGCACCAGTGACTGTCACATCAAGCAGTCCTTTTATTCTCTCTCCTTTAGTATCGATTTTAAAGGGCATTAGGCACTATGGTTCCAGAGTTTCTTGGGGAAAACTTGCAGATTCTTATTAATTGGTTCTGCAATACTTAAATAAATTATTTTACAATTATAAGTTTTCAGATTATAACATTTGTATTAATTTTTACTGATTTTCCAAGATACTTCTTAGATTTACTATTTACGTAGCTTTATGTACATTCTCTGTAAAAATAGACCTCTAAATATGAGGCTTTACATGAAATTTGTACACACATACACACTAATGTTAGCTCCTTAAATTGCTGCACTAAGGTGCTGGTTAGTAGAGATGGACGGAGCCTCTCGCGTTTTGCTCTCAGATGTGTTAAAGGCGCACGTGTACCTGCTCTCAGCGGCAGTGCGGCCTCCCCATCTGCTGGGTGCCCATGGCCCTCCCTGCAGCCTCAGTGATGACCTCGTCTGCCAGGGACACAGGTTTTCATCATTTACAGGCTCTTATGTGCTAGTTTTGTTGGTAGCACGTTATTTAATGCATAAAGGCAGAATTCTTACAAGTTTTTTTTTTTAATGTGAACATAGATGCAGCACCGACTTTTTAAACTTGAAAAAACTGGTATAATGTTAACTTTTAAAAATAACATTTGGACACACTAGTAATTGATTTTTGTTTACAGATTGTTTTGTTTACAAATTGTTAGTCTTTGTTTCTATGAGATACTTTTAGTGTGACTTTTTAAATGTCTTAGAAATTAAAAGTTGTACAAAAAGTGATTTCATATTTGGTTTATAAGCATTTATATGTGGGGTTTATTTGTTCTTTTGTTTTTTCCATCTTAAATATTATCATGGCTAAAACTTAAGGGTATTTATAGTTTAATTCCATTTCAGTTTTATAGAGGGCAGTAATTATTCTGATGAATGTTGAATTAAGAAATGGATATTTTCTTTCTCTGTTGTGCAGTTATTGGTAGATCAATTTCTTATAACCCACAATGTAGCATCAATAATTGATAGCATGTATTTTATTTAATTACTTGAATTATTTAGACTTGATTTCTCTAATTTTTTCCATAAAAGGACTGAACAGCACCTACTTGTGGTCTGGACAGCTTAACCCAGAGTTCCTGGAAGAATAAATGCTGTTAGCATCTGGTTAATTTACTGGCAGACAGAAGCCTACTTACAGTGGCTTTCAACTTTTTGACCACAGTAAGAAATAACCCATTACACACACACACACACACACACTCTCTCTCTCTCTCTCTCTCTCTCTCTGTCTCTCAGATACGTATAAGCAAAAATTTAACAAGACAGTACTTGTTTTTCCTAAGTGTGCATGCTGGCATCTTCTGTTTTATTATTTTTAAAAATACTAGACACAGACACTAAGTTACTTTGTGGCCTCCTAATAGATGGCAGACTTCAGTTTGAAAAGCATCCCTTTGGAATGTGGTTTAAAAGAAGAAATAATACAAAGACCTTTTTGGAGTTTTTTTTTTTTTTGGTTTTTGAATATTGTTTAGGTAAAAATTATTGCTGCAAACACAACTGAAGCAAAAGTACTGTGTACGCAAATTACTTGTTGCACTGTAGAAAATGTAATATCAGGAGAAGTTCCTAAAACTCACAAATATATACAAAATTTCAAAACTTGGTGATTGATCCATATGTCTTGAAGGAATATTAGGCAATAAACTTACCTTTTCAAGAGAAGTTATTTAACTTCCAATTCTGTGTTCTTTAATTAGGAAAAAATTTTTTCAAGGTTAACTATAATCAAATAGGAACTTCACACAAAACCTCATTATTCTTGGATATGGATTTGGTGTTCTGCTGTTACTTCTAAAGGTGGTACAGAAGTCAAGTTTATGAGCCTGGATTATGAACAGCAGGGCGGCCCTGATGTGAGTGGTTGTGGAGGACTAGAGTGATGTAGAAGAATCTGTTGTGTCTGAGTGTGAGGAGGTGGAGAGTCACGTGTGGGCTATGGGTCTGAGAACTGAAGTTTTAACAGTTACTAAAACTGTTTTGTGGCTGTTGTAATGTCTTCTCCTTTCCTTTCCTTTGAAAAGCTGTTACTGAATGAACGATGCCGCTTACAAACACTGACACTTCAGAACCAAGCATATTTGATACTGCTGTAGCTATTTATATTGATTCTGCAACTTCTCTTTAACAGCATCTTGAAGTCATCCACAGTTGTTCTATATGGACTCCACAGTAGAGTCAGAGAACTAAGTGACAAGTGGAGCATCGTCCTCCTCCTGCTCACTTCCTCCTCGCCACCTCTCTGGCCTGGCTATCCTTCAGTCTGAAGAGTGATTCACTTTTTCTTTTCTTTTTAGTCTTTACTGTGGAATCTCATCAAAGACTTGGAAGCAGGGGTGGTGAGAGGGGCCTGGGGCGTGGTGTGGAGGGTCGAGTTCTTTGTCGTCCCACAGTCACCCCCAGGACCACCTTGCGAAGCCGAAAATACACATCTGCATTTTACCGACAAGGAACGCCACTGAGAAAGCTGCAGACATTTGCCTGGGGTCACGCTTACAGTGGGCAGATGAACTGGATGTAAATACAGGCCAGTACAACCGCAGTCTCATTTTTTCTTTGTTTTAGGTTTTCAGTTTCTTGTTCATTCATGTACCTTACAGTTCTATTATCTGGTTGATAAAGATTCATGACAGGTATCCTCATTCTAGATTATAACCTTTATTCTTATCAAATGCCTCCAGTCCCACAATTCGCTAAGAATTCTCTTTCTGGACTTGATAGTGATTTAATGATTCCCCCCGCCCATGGAATGGTAGGCTCCTAATTAAGTGGATTTAAAGGCAAAAAGGGATGTGTGAGAAGGCACAAGAAGTGGCTTCATCTTGCAAGGTGACTGTCAGACAAGTGGGTTCCAACCTGTTAAAATAAGGGAGGAATGGCCACATCCCGTAGGGACTGCTGTAGCTGACCAGGAAGACACAATGAGGGCAGCAGACAGGGCTCTCCCTGTCCGCTGAGTCCTCCCATGAACTCATGTTTCCAAAGGCCCCACTCTTTCTTGGTCAGTGTCCCAGTTTTTATAGAAGAGACCTGATGAGGCTGTGGAGTAATTGTATAAAAGCTTGCACTGTTTTCCTGACTTGACCTGACAATGTGGCGTTATCTTCAAATTGTCCAGAGAAGTAGCTACTTCATTCAGGTCCTTTTTAGCGTTCTGTGGTTGCAACTTGGTCTCGCAAGCTTTCGATGGGCGCGCCATTCCATGGCCACTTTTCAGTAAGAAAATTGCCTGATTTTCTGTTAACTGTCACAGGCTGCCCTGGACCATTCCTCAGAACTCATGGGATTTTCGCGACCCTCATCCTCAGTGAAGTTAGATGACCATTCCTGCCTTTCATCCCACCGATTTTCCTAAGTATCTGTTGCCTGCAACTAACACTAGTTCCTGTGTCAGTAAAGTACTGCACTTGGTTGCAAAGAATAGAGATGGACTCTGCCAACATAGGCACGGAAGGTTTACGGGGTGGATGGCATGGCTCACAGATGTGATGAGAAAGCCCCGGAAGAAGTGTTGGGCACAGCCTTAGGCACAACCTTTCCTGGGCTCTTCCCATCACTGAATGATCCATGTATCTCCGGGACTCTCCTTCTAGATCCAAAGTTTAGGGCGGCGGAATCGGACTGCTCTGGCCTTTGACACGTGCCTGTGCTTTGCCTGTCAACGCTATGGGGAGAGAGATGTCAGCTTACAGAAAATTGAGGTTCTGTGATTCAGTTTCCCTCTGCTCTCTTAGAATAAAAGTGCTTACTCATTGTTTAAAGCATTCTCCAAATTAGTCTGCAAATTTTTTGATAGTATACATCCTTAAAAAATGAGCACATCCCAATATATGCATATTTATTCATAAATGATACATACATATGTAGCTATATAATGTGTACATCACAAAACATAGGAGAGTATTTTTTCTAAGGGATGAGATAAGAATAAATAGAAATTTTGGCATTTCTTCTCACATTAGATGCTGGGTTATTCTGAGCCCATGCCATGTGCACACCCACTTGGCCTCTTCCTCTTAGGCCTACACCCTGCCCTTTCCTTGCCCCTTGTAGTTACTGTGGCTGGAGTGATGAGCGCCACTCCCAAGCATGGCCTGGAACAATGTCCTCCTGCCCCTCCACCAGCAGTGACAGGATTCACTGGGGACTCGGGGGCAAAGGAGACTGTGTCACAAGACAAAAGGAGCCAGGGTCACACATGGTGTACCCTCGCCCTGCCTCACCCATGGCTGACATGGGTTGGACACCTCAGAAATCATGTGTCTTCAGCGAGCCACTGAGAGTTGGGGCTTTATCTGTTACTCGGCTAGGGGTAACCTAACCGATGAGACTGTAACTGGTTACTGTAAATAACCAAGCTCCCAGTAATAGTAAACCAGTGACAAAAACAATTCTTATCCAAAAAGGTTCACTTTTTTTTAAAATGTGTGAACTAAAACAGTCTTTATTGCTCTAAGACATTAAAATTTGCACTTTTTTGATGTTGAATACCACTGAATATTTTATTTTTATATTTTATTACACAGAAATACAGCAATTATTACAAAACGAGTATTAGGAATGGCAAAGGCTTTAGGACAGACTATTAGCGGAAAACATTTGGAACTTAAGGAGTGTTTTACATTTGGAACTTACTTTAAGGAGTGTCGTTCAGACACTAGCTATATCTTAACCTCAATTTTTAGAAGTAAGCAAGCTCTCATTTTTTGCTATTCATATTTGAAGTGATTAAACTCATAAATTTGAAATTTACTTTTTAGAGACCAAAGATTAAAATTAGGTGGGATGTCAGCTTTTAAAATATACTAAGATTTCCTACAACTACCAATAGCTTATTTCCCTGGGAAACAGATTACATTGTAGTACTTAACCCAGAACTCATGCAGTTCATCCAAAATGATGGTAAACTTTTTTCCTCAGAATTACCTAACTTTCCTTGACTATGAATTCAACATTCAAGAATCTTCTTCTGGTAGCAGGAGCGGCAGAGAGGACAGGCATGGAAAGGAGGCCTGTCTCCCACGGAGAACTCCTCTAGTGCCAGCAGACACGCATGGTGGAACACATGTGAGCAGGACAGGAGGGCCATCTCTCTGGAACGCCTGCCTGCACCCACGCGCTGACCGCCAGCAGCGGAGAGAGGGGCCAGGCAGATGGAGCACTCGTGGGTCTCCCGGCGCAGAGCCTGCGGCACACAGGACGGGAAGAGGCCACGCGGGTTAGTTTCATCACAGCAGAAAGTTACTTAAACTGAAATGCGAACCATGTGCCCCGAGACATGGGTCTTCGAAACATGCGGAAGTTTCATTCTGTGTTAAAATCACATGCATTTTATTTATATATATACATATATATATACACACACATATACTCTGTTACTCCTGGGAACTGTGGAAAGGGTTAGTAACCCACCTGTGATAAGCAACATCCAACAGGAACTTCCAGAATTTCAAACTGAAGGGACCTTTGCCGTCACCCTAAAGCCCATGAGGAAAGTCCTACCACAGGTGCAGGGGCAGCTAGGGCAGCGGTTACCCCGGGACTGACACTCCTAGGCTTCCCAAAGTGAGTCCTCGACCTCCCCCGACATGCCACCCCCACAGCCTCCACGGCTGCACCCCGGGCCTGACACTCCTAGGCTCCCCAAAGTGAGTCCTCGACCTCCCCCCACATGCCACTCCCCACAGCCTCTGCAGCTGCAGCTGAGTCTGCTGGTTGCCAGGCTGCCAGCCAAACCTACCTGCACTTGGATTTTCTCCCATTCCTCTTCTGTGATCTCATGGCCACATTTTTCTTCCAACTGCTGAAGAACACTTCGATTTATGGCCAAGCACTGATCGATTTCTGCAAAGAGCTCTTCAATGTTGGTGTTGTATGAGCACAGGATGCGGTGGCTGATTTCTGTGAACTGAGGAGGAGGCGGGGGCGGGTAAGCTCACACCTGAGCTCGGTGGAGGTTGCAGGGAAGCGCTCTCGAGCCTGACCATCTATTTTGGTAACCTTCCTCGTCTCTGTCTTCGAATAATACTTTTTAGGGAAATAGATATATGTCTATTTTACTTAACTATAAATCCAGATAATCTGGACAGATGACCACAAGAACCCCTATCTGATGGAGTCCAGAACACACTACCCCAAAATACGGCACCTTGGCATACTGAATATTTTAAGGAAAAAACATTCCTTCCCAAAGGAATTTGAGAAATGACAGCTGCAGGAGGGACCGTCTGACCTCTCCCCACCCCTAAAGTGGGTCACAGGACCCTCCTGTGAGAGGCACCCTCGTCTCCAAAGACGGAGGGAGCCGGGAGGAGACAGCACACAGGCCTTGCCGTGGTTCCCACCGACCACCCTCAGCTCACCCCTTGTCCTGTCATGCTTCCCCACGACCTCTGTGTCCTCATCCAACCTAGCATAGAAAGCGCTCAGGCGTTACTGTCTCTTCGGGTCTCCGCTGCCCCTTCGGGTCGCCGCTGCCTCTTCGGGTCTGCACTATCTCTTCCGGTCTGCGCTGCCTTAGGAAGGCTTCCATACCACATGGGACTTACTAAGTAAATCCGTGTAATTTTCTCGTTAAGCTTAACTTACAGGGCTCCAGCTGAAGAATTTAGGAGGGTAGGGGAAAAGGGTATATTGTTTCCCTCCCCTGCTGTTTTCTTGGTTGTGAGCTTTGACCATTAGCAGGAACACATTTGAAATTAAAAGTTGAGAGAAAAGTTCGAATTTCGCAGGATCAGCTCTGTCCCATAGAAACATACTGTGAGCTACGTATGTAATTTTAAAATTTCTGGCAGTCACATTAAGTTTTTTAAAAGGTGAAATTAATTTTAATATTGTATCTGACCCAACAGATCCAAAATATTATCACTTCAACGTTTATTAATTGAATACAGTACTTTGTTTTTTTTGGTATTTTTGTTTGGTTTGGTGGAGACAGCATCTCGCTCTGTCACCCAAACTGGAGTGCTTGGGGCCATCAATGCTCACTCAGCCTCGGCCTCCCGGGCTCAAGCCATCCTACACTAGAAAGGTCTGAGTCATTACAGAGTGGCCACCAGTGTCATCTGAGGCACGGGTAGGTGGCTCATTCAGGGCCACACCAGCGGCTCCTTTTTAGTACATGTGAAGAGTGTAAAGCAAAGGAGAATAAGGTGTGTAAAAGGTTGTGCCAATGGTGACTGTCAGCCACACTTCCTGCCCTCTTGCTTGTCCTTTCAAGTACAGAGCTGTGGCTCACCCAGAGATGACATTTCCCATTCCCCCATGCCCAGGTGGGGCCACGTGAAGTAGTTCTTCCAGATGGACGTGGCTCATGTCTCTTCTGGGTGTTCTCCAGGCCCGGGGGGTGGCAGATAAAGGGCAGAGGGAGACAGTTCCCGAGCCCCACAGGCTGGCATGTTGCCTGCAAGCCAGGACACCTGAACTGTCCTATGAGACCGAAGCTCTGGCTTTCAGTCACTGAAATTCGGGGGGTTATTTGTCCAGCAGTGAGAAGTGCCGATTCAGCAGTTACATCTGCTTCATGGAATCCGGCTTGAAGCACAAAGAAGGATGAAATGAACAAGTCCCGTGGAGATCTCACACATTTAGATATGTGATGGGGAAAATGCATTTTGGATGGTCCATGACTGTCCAGGTTTCAAATATTCTAGTCTACTGGAGTCCTCACGTTCACTTTTTCTTTTTTTTTTTTTTTTATTAATGTGGAGCAACCTGGCAGAACGTAGTGTGTATTTAAATCACCAGACTTCTGAAGGTGCCTTTGAGGACATGGAGTTCTCTTCCAATTCTCTCCCTTCTGCAAAAAGATCGTGAGACAGCGCAGGGTCGAGTGCTGTGGAGACTATGAGCTGCCTTTCTCCCTGGGATGTTAGAAGAATGAGTATTGGCTTTAAGGATGAGAGGTCCTTTTGAGTAAAGAACATTCTGTGAACACAGCAGGCAGTCCACAAGGGTTGGGGTTTGAATGAAGGGGGTGGCTGAGGATCTTCCAGGCACCTGTGTTTTGGGATTAGCCGTACTTGGAAGCCTGGTGGAAGCTGCTTTTCTATTTATGAGTCAAATTCTCTTTCACTCTGAATGTAATTATAATTGCCAAGCAGCTGTATCTTAATTTAGGGTCTTGAATCGGTAACGTTTCCTAAGGCTTTAATTTTAATTTTCTTTATTCCTTGGCCTTTCAAATATCTAATAATATCTAAATAAATTATTGAAAGTAGAAGAGTTCTCTATACATTGTAAAAGGAAAAATTACTTGGAAATATACACAGTTACCTCCAATTGATGCTTTGTAATTCAGGTTTTCTGTAAATTGTTTTTAAGTGTGAGATACTTTCCACATATGCCTGAAAAGCAAGATCTTTTCTTCCTTCAAAATTATACCTCAGAAAAAGGGTCACATTCTAGTCCAGACCTTGCAAAGTGTTTCAACTTGTGAGGTATGTTCTGAGATTAGTTTTGGACATAAAAGTACTATTTGGAATGACTGATCAATTGAATGAAATGATCGATATGATCTGGGTGTTTATTCTCAAGGTGGGGCCCAGACCCCGCAGCCTCAGCTCCTGGGAATCTGTGAGAAAAGCAGAGCTTTTCAGGCTTTGCCCCGGGCCTGCCGAGGCCACAGTCCGCGGGGTGAGCCCTGCGATATGCTTTACAGCCCTCCAGGTGATTCTGAGGCCCATTCAGGTTTAAGAACCACGGTCATAGAAGTTACCGATCACATTTTTAAATATGCAAAGTTATTTAACACAGCATTAGTTATCATTCCTGGAGGTGTCACCTCCCAACTCCAAGCATGGGTATCGCTGTGCGTGCGCTTTCAGAAGCCACTTGAGAGAGGAACAGAGTAAGTGTGCGGGCCACATATAAATATGTATGTACATCTATATGCATTTATGTTACAGTGTCACCTGTGTGTGCATATATTCTATCATACGTGAGTGTATCGCTCTCTCTACAGGATGCCTGGAGCAATCCCAGCTGTCCTGATGTTACATAAATGAGTTACTTAGCTCAAGATAAACTTCCAAAGACAGCATCATTAGGACTTTTTAAAGTACATTTTCCTTCAAACACTTTAGATGGAAATAGAGCTCATATGCTCTGAACAACTGTGTTGGGTGACTCCTAAGTGGCCCTATTGATGACAAAGACCCTGAGGTCCAATACTGATGTCACCTATTGCCTCCTTCTGCCTCAGTCACTGTGGCATACAGGTCCTATCTCCTTTATTAGTCCTGGGGCCAGGACTGTTCTTAACGCTGGTAATAGCATCCAGGGTTTTTAAAGGGTTTTGCACCTGTCGTCGTCACACCCTGCCTTTAAACCCTCTCAAGAGCTCAGTACACGCACCGACCATAGTAGGCACTTGTTGAAAGAAACAGACTTGTCAGTTTTGCATATATACCAAATAAATCTCAGGGAGGGTGGCCCTTAACACTTAGTGCTCCAGTCTTAATGGTAACTGGTGTAATATAGCAAGAAAGCAAATAAATGCTTAGGATATTTTAATATACATAAGAATCACAAACTAATTCCACACTCAGGTGTTTGATTCCACAGAAGAAAACCTAGCATGGCAGACGCAAATATTCCTTTCCACAAGTTTTGATGAAATATTCCATTCCACAAGTTTTGATATGTACTTTTGCTATTCAACTGAAATTTCTTCTCATTTCCATTATAATTTTGTCTTCGATTAATACGTTATTTAGAACCGTTTATTTTCAAACGTGAGATAGTTCTATTTTTTTAAAAAAAATTTATTTCTAGCCTCAGCTGCACCGTGGTCAGGGAACATACTCTACACGACTTAAGTTTCTTCAAGTACGTGGACATAAAGATGGTGACATGAGATACTAGGACGACTGGGGAGGGACACGGGCTGAAAAACTAACTGTTGGGGACTGTGCTCATGAGCTGGGCGACAGGACCGCCTGTACCGCAAACATCGGCGTCCTGCAGTACACCCAGTGACAAACCTGCACAGGCACCCCCGAATCTAGAAGCTGAACTTATAAAACATAAATGTCTCGACCTATGATGACATCTGCATCATGGACAAGCGTATGGTCAGTTTTTATAATGATATATTTGTACTTTGAAAGAAAATATGTGCTGCCGTTGCTCGGTGTGGTGTTCTACACCATTATCTCTAATGATGCCTTTGCTTTAGAATCTCTTTCGTCAGGTATCAGCACATCAGCCTTCTTCTGTAAAGAGCTTATGTGTATATTATAGTACATATAATATGTTACCACACTCACACACACACTGTTCGCGTTTTCAGGCATCTCTTCTGAGTAACACATACATAATCTGATTGGTGCTGGAGCACTCAGTCCGCTTTGTGTTGTTACTGACAGACAAACGGTGCACCCATCCTGCTCTGTCTTCCATCTGCCCTGCCATTGGTTTCTTAATTTTTGCTCTTTTCAATTAAAGTTTTCTATTCATTCTCTTTACTGTTTTGAAGGTTAAAACTCTGTTTCTATTCTTTTAGCTATTGCCCTAGAAGTGCATACTTACATTATTAAGGTCTAAATTGGAATTTTTATCCCTCGAACCAATACAAGGATCTGAGCATACTTAATTTTCCTCTCCTGCTTTATGTTATTTTTGTCATAAGCTCTCTCTCTCTTTTAACCTGAGACATGAGTTTTCTTGTTCGGTGGAATCAATGTCTATTAGATTTACTCACATTTTTACCACTGACATCTCAGATTTCCCGTCTGGGGCCATTTTCCTTCCTCATGCAAGGCATCCTTTAGAATTTCCTTTAACGAAGACGTTCTAGTGGCACACTTTTTGTCTGGCTTTTCTTTTGCCTCTCGTCTTGAATGTAACTTTCATTTGGTTCACATGGGAGTCTAGACTGGCGGTTAGGTCTCTCCCGACACACGGAGATGCCATCTCACCTTCTGCCGCTCCCACTGGGAAATCTGCAGGTCCCAGGGTTTGCCATCGTCTGTCCTCGTTCCTGGCCACTTCCAAGATGACTCCGTGCTTTGTGTTCTGCAGGCTCACTAGACACTTAAAACAAAATCATATTGGGCTTCCTTGGGCTTCTTAAATCTGTGGCTTGTATCTTCTTCAGATCTGGAAAATTCTTAGCCTTTGTTGCTTCAAGCTGTTGCCTCTGTCCCACGTGTTCTCTTTTCTCTTCAAATTCTGACAGTGACATCCTGCGCCACATCCTCTCTTAGGCAAGTCACTTCCCTGGACCCGCTTTCCAGGGGATGCAAAACGCAGGGCCCCCCTTGCAGACCTGACTCCTCAGTGAGCTGAAGGCAGGGCCTGACTAGAATGTGTGTGTATCAAGAGCCAAAGTCAAAACAGTAGAGCCAGCCGTGCTTAGCATCCAGCTCCTCTGCAAAGAAGGAAATGTGTGTGCCCTAGTGGGTGGGAAATACGAATTGTGTGCTTTTGGTGATTCCACGTATGACTTAAATGCTCTAATATTTGCACTTAAAACTGACATTCTGGTGTAAAGATGCACTGTGAAAGTCATAAAATTTATAATTTAATTTTTTCTTAGAATAACATTAAATAAACAGCAAATAAAAAAAACTACATGACCACTGGAGAGAGAGGCCACAGAAGTACATACAGCTTTATACTTTTAGTACTTGGATGGCACTTTCCCATGTTTTCTTTCTTTTAAACAGGGATCTGTGTTTCATTTTCATGGCACTAGGCCATGACCGCCCGCCCTCCTGTCACCTGGAACAGAGTCCCCAAGCCCTGCGTGCTGCAGGCCCAACTGCACGTCTCATCTGGTTATTTTGAGCCTCCCCTCCATGGGCACGCCCTGCAGAGGCTCCCAGGAAGCGCCTGTGCTGGAGGGGCCCAGCCATGGCCCCTTCTCCCTGGGAGTCCCAGCCCTGCCCTCTTCACCCTCTTTGGTCTGGGTCCCAGCTGCTGACCTCGCATCCCCGGGGCTCTGAGGGCAGTTTCCAGTGTTCACGTGGCTGTGGGTCGCCCTCTTGAAAATGACCTATCTGCTCAGCGCCCAGCTCAGGGCCTCACAGGGGTCTGGGTCCTGGAAGGGTCACCTGTGCCCAGCGGCTCACACTCTGCCAGCCTGCCCCTCCCACATGCTAAGCCGTGCTGCCCTCTGCCTGGACAGAGGTTCCAGGGAACGGCACGGTTCCTCCATTTGGGTTCAGGGTGCATCTCCTCAGACATTTCCACCTTATTTCAAACATCTCACCCCTCACTTCACTCTCTCTCCCCTTCCTCTCTTTGCATTTTTCTTCCTGGCACTTATTCTTGAAAATTGTAACAAAATATTTTATTATTTGTCTCTCCCCAGCTCCCTGCAGGAAGCGTGCCCTGCAGCAGGCGCGAACCACCCGAGCGGCCTCCACATGCACCTAGACAGGCACGCCGGCTGGGTGCTCACACCTGGGCCCTTGCACCTGTGTCTGCCCAGAGGGGCTGGTCAGCACACCCTTTACAATGAAGGCTCACAAAGTACACAACTCCAAGTGCCAGTCCATGAAAGCAGTTCGCATAGACTTTTCATGCAGTTGAGTCTAATTTATATTTTACTATCCACTTACCCTATGTAACCAAATATCATTTTTACACTTATTAACAATTCATACTTTTTTCTTCCTTAAGAGGAATTAAAGCATTTCCTCAATGAGAAAAACAATTCCCTTTATATGTAATGGTGGTTAAAGACTATTAATATGCATTTTAATCAATCTAAAGTAAATAATTTTAACTTAAATTTACCACTTACAGGATCCGCATGGTGAATGACAAGTTTCTAAAGGGGCTGGGGTGAAAAGAGTTGGGGAATTGCTCAGCTGCCATAGAACAGGCACTGTGCTAGCCTGATGGTCTGGATGACAAACACTGGTTCCTTTAACAGAGAGCTCCCGTGTAGCAAGAAAAGCCCCGCTGACGATGGAAAGCGTGCTGCTGTGGCACTGGACTCCGGGAGACACGGAGTGAGGGAGGGATCGCCAGGCTTCTTGGGAAGTCAGCCTACAAGGCGCTCTGGGCAGATGCAGCCAGTGGGACGGGGACCTGGGAAGGAAGGAGTGAGGACACAGAGGCAGAGGGAAGCAGGGTGGCAAGACCCACAGGTGCAAGTCACTGGAGCCCGGCTCCACCCGCCTCCCCTCAACAGCCTCTGTCCTCTGGGAACACTCTCCCAGGTCACTCCCCATGGGCCACCCTCCTTCCTTCTTGTTCCTTCCTTTCCTGTGTGAATCTTATGGTCTGGCCAAACTTGTTGACTCAGTTCAGTGAATCACTGTTAGATTTTTCTGTTTCCTTGACTGCACATGAATGACTGGTGGGATCCATGTGTCCCAGGTACCTGGGCTGGAGGTGACCTCTCTTCTCTGAGCTCTCACAGGGCGCTGCTGCTCCTTTCATTCCACACACGTCAGCTGCCCAGTGTTAACTTTTTCCTGTGTGCACTGCTTATCTCCTTGAATGAGTGCCTTAGATTCAGGGAAGCACCAATTCATCTTTGTAAGGCCCTTAGCATTCAAGAAATTTTGACTTTAGGTTTGCAACAGATGAGAAATGAGAGCAAATATATGCCTCAAATGTACATATTCCAAAGGAGTGCAGTAGAAATCCTTTTTGGGGGAACTAAGAAAAAACACTGCCTACCTAAAATGATTTTCAAGTTACTTTCAGCGTCAAAATTCAGTAAAACGTCAACTTTAGCTTATAATCATAACATTGACATTAGCTTATTAATAAATATACTGAAAGTCCTTCCATAGACATTTATGACAAATTTAAACAGTGAACTGGGATGAATATTCTTACAGCTTTGAGTATTCAGAAGTTAGCAAGGGTGGTACTTTTAGAAGTCAAATCAACATTTATTAACTATTGTAGTTAATTCAAAGTACTATCCTATGGGCAGCTACTATTAGATATTTTTAATTGTCAGATTCTTCCGTGTGCAGCTTTCTTTATTCCTTTATTTACTCCCTCGCTTTTTATGTGGGTTAGATGACCTTAGTAACTGAAAGGGCAAGAACTGTCAAAAACAAATGACAACTGACTTCTAGTTTTTAAACAAGTGGTTGATATTATGAATTTTACAGAAACAGACAAAATACCTAAACATTTTCAATTTTACAAAGAATGAATGTCTTAGTGTAATTTTTCCTTTTAAGCCTCACATATCAGATACTTGATAAACTAAATAAGAGTTTGAGTTATTGATATGTAAAACAATTACTGGTCATTTACAAGTAACAAGCTGGCTAAACATTTAAAAAAAATATACTAACAAAAGCACCCAGGTGAACTCTGTCTACTCAGGAGGGCTTTTTAAGTGATCCATCTTGATGTCAGCAAATTGCTTACTAATGTGTTGACTTATGGCCGCCCTCAAAAGCAAAATGAAAAGCCTGGAATTTACAGCATATCAATGAATCAGTTGATAAGCTTTTACTGGTTTAATATCCTTCCAGTCCTGCTGCTTGGAGCCACTTCAAGTTAGCAACAGAATGTTTGCCATCTCTATGTGATAAAGGAAGTCAAAGGACTAAGCAAACTTTAAGACCATTATGCTGTTTGGTGAGATGTAAATGAAAAAAGTCAGAGAAATCTTGTGCTGGAGGGTGTGGGAGCCAGCAGCCCCTAAAGCCGCCCCAGCATCTGACAAATCACTCACCCCACTTTCTAAACAATGTCTGGGACTTTTAGCTGGGGCGGAGATAATATAATGCACTTGAGAAGTTTTAATTGCAGCAATAAAAGACCCTACCTCAATCATATGACATATGCTAGCAGAGTTTCTAGATAAGGATCAAAGGCAGTCAGGCCTAGCCGCTGCATTCTGGGCAACACTGTGGACTTTCTGTACACACCGGTGCTAGGTATTAGTAGAACAGCTTGAGTGACCTTTCCAGGCCTCTTTGATCTGCGTTCCTCAAAACCTGAATGAATAAGTGTTCGAGGACTACTGTATCATCCCGAGACAACTCAAACACCCTCTCTGACACAGGCATTTCTGAGTGAATTTTTATTCTCTGACACTTACCTAAGGGTACAAAACTCAACATCTGACCTTTTCAATTCTTACCACAAGACTTCAATATAGCTGAAAGGATCTACATTGTAGCACGACATCACTGCTGTGGTTGGGTTTTGTTAGGAATGTGTCAGTGACATCTTAGAGCAACACAACTTTGTGAAAAGAAACCTGCAGTGTATGCAAGCATTCCTCTTCACAGAAAGAGGGTCCCTTTTCACTCGTCAACACACCCAAAAGGTGCATGAAAACTAAAGAAAAGACTTCACTAACTCTCCCTGTAGTAGAGGAGTAAAAATGTAGGAACAAAGTTCGACAAGCAAAATAGATTAATTTATAAAAACAGAATGGCTTGGGCTAATCTCATCCTGAGTATTAAAAACGTATCCCTCTTGGTGAGATCCTAAAACATATGAGGGAAACAAACACTTCCTAATCAGCTATGTCTAAAAATATCAAACTATTATCCCTCCTTGCCCTCCTTTCTATTGATTAGACTTCTCTTTCCCCAAAGGCAACTTATCTTTGATCGAAACCAATGGTTCCCAAGTATAGCAAACAAGTTTTCACCTATCTGCCAGCCAAGAAAGAAAGAATAAATTCAGTGGAGTGAAATATGTGTAAGGCCAAATGTCTGCAGTGTGAAAGGAATATCCTTTAGTGTGCGGTCAGGTACTTTTTTCTTTTCTGGTGTTAAAATGGTCTTTCTTTTACACAATGATTCTGATGGTACGTGGTGTTTTGTTTTTTCCTCTAACTTGGTAAGGTAAGTTTAAAAAGTTGGCACTGACTTTGTTGAAGCCCCAGATTTCTCTCATAGTTCAGCAGAGTCTAGAAGACTGAAAAGCACTGGAGTGCAGAATCGAGATGGCTGGTGGGTGGGAGTGGAGAATCAGCCACTGACAGAGAGTCAGGGGAGCTGACGCTGACGTACCTTTAACTTTGGAGTGCGTCATGTGATTGATTTCTCCTAGTAATTTGTGATTTCAGTTTTTTTAGGTTAAAAATAAAATGAATTTGCAACAGTTTAACGTTCACCAACAGTGAGAATGGAGATGCCACTTAGAAATGTAGCTGCTGGTTTCACATGTTATTCCCAGACTTAAAAACTGTTGTTCCCCAGATCATTAAGAATTTGCCATATTCAATCTTATTAATTGCCACACATTTTGCTTTGTAAGATTTCCAGTTTCTAAAATTCAAACCTCAGAGTTGCATACACATAGAAGTATGGAAGGGGTGATGAGGTGAACGCATGTGAACAGACTCAGGGGTGGCTTCCCATACTACGCAGAAAAACCTGGCATGCCTGGAATTTCACTACATTACAAAGCTAGTCTCTCACTCAGAGGGGCCTTGATAAAGTCATTGTTCATTCTGGCTTTGGAATTTATTTTTAATGGCCGTATTACTAGGAAACCTATAGACACCGATGAATCTGAAGCTGGTCCTTATTTAGTACACATTTTTAGTTCTGAAGAACTTTTGGAAATATAAAGGACAAATGTAAGGAGAAAATGAAGCCTGAGTTGAGAACCTGAGACCCACAGTTATGTTTTTATTTTAAATATCTTAATCTGATTTCTAGAAGCTTAACAAGCCTCATTTTACTTATAATCTTACGTTAAAATTTTTATAGGTACTTAAAGGAAAGCAGTTCAATTTTCTCTTTTTTACTGAAACATATGTTTGTTTCTTGGTGAAAACAATACAATTCTGTTTCTATCATTGGAAAAATGACATTTTCACATGTTATGCCCAGATTAAACTAGATAAACTTGTTAATAGTATACTATTATGCTAGATGAAAAGAGTCTTTTCTAAAGGCATCTGAGGATGATGATGACTTTCTTTACTAAGATAGGGTCCGTGTATTATTTGTCTCACATTTATTATTAAGCTCTTCCAGTTTTGAGCTGTAAAATATTCTACTCATTGATTACATCTTTAAAAAAGAACAATAAAATAGATGCAACCCCTAAACATTAATATATAATATATACAAGGAAATTCTCCACTTGTACCAAACATGTAAATCAAGATGATCATTTTGCCTTGTCAACCAGGACAAATTACCACCTAGTGTGCTCTTGCAGTGTTTTTCTTTTTCTTTCTTTTTTTTTTGGATGGAGTTTGACTCTTGTCGCCCAGGCTGGAGTGCAATGGCACGATCTTGGCTCACTGCAACCTCTGCCTCCCGGGTGCAAGCTATTCTCCTGCCTCAGCCTCCTGAGTAGCTGGGATTACAGGCGTGCGCCACCACGCCCGGCTAATATTGTATTTTTAGTAGAGAAGGGGTTTCTCCATGTTGGTCAGGCTGGTCTCGAACTCCCGACCTCACGTGATGCCCCCGCCTCAGCCTCCCAAAGTGCTGGGATTACAGGCGTGAGCCACCGCGCCCGGCCCTTGCAATGTTTTTCTATAGCCTTCAGAACGTTGTAAAAGCCACGGTGGCAATCACGCAATGTGCCGTGTGCACTGGAGCAGAATCTGAGATCCAGGCTCTCTCCCCGCTCTGAGCTGCACACGTTCTGCTAGGATTGTGGTGTTTTGTCTGTTCCCTCGTTATCTCCCCTGACTAACAAAGCACAGGCAGAGAGCAGGCACCCAGGAAGCTATTTGACTCCATTAATTTCATGTATCCATTAAAATGTATTTGAGAGTGTAATCCGTGTGGAATGTTCTTGGCAGTAACGCATAAAGCAGTGTTCTTTAACCCCCTTCAGATGAATGAACTCAATTTCCCAATTGATTTTTCTCAAATAATTTTTTTCTCCACTGGTCTGAAATACCTTCTTTAGTACACTAAAATTTCCTGTATGCTGAGATGTGTGACTTTCTACTGTTTCATTGTTTGTCTATTATTCCCCAAGAATCTTAGTTGCCAAATTTATATATTTTGATATCTAACAAGGCTGTTCTATCTCATCAATCTGTCTTTTAAAAAAATTATTAGCTCTTCATACCTCTTTAGATAAACTTTAGAGTTAACCTGTAAAGTCCTAAATGCACAGCCAATCCTACTCCTTTGGGAGTTAGAAACTACATTAAATTTATATAAAGTAAGTGGACATTTTTACTCATTCCAGTGTAAAATGTCTGTCATTTTATTCAAGCCTTTTATTCCATCAGAAAAAATTTTTTCTTATCAGTGTGGTACATTCCTTGTTTGGCTTATTTTAATATAAATATAATGTAAAATTGTAATATACATGTGTGGATTTATATAATATGCATAACATATACACATATGTGCACACACATATATTTTGTTTTCATGTGTTATTGGCAAGGATTGGCTCAAGTGTGATGACAGTAAGTAACCTAGTTTTCTTTATGGTTTTTTACTCTCTAAAACAATGTGTTTTTAGTATTTGACACATAGTTTTTAATGTGACAAGGAAATTTCATTCTAGTTCTAGTGTCTTTCATTATTAAGAATGGCTGTTAAGGCCGGGTGCAGTGGCTCACGCCTGTAATCCCAGCACTTTGGGAGGCCGAGGCTGGTGGATCACGAGATCAGGAGATCGAGACCATCCTGGCTAACATGGTGAAACCTCATCTCTACAATTAGCCGGGCATGGTGGTGGGCGCCTGTAGTCCCAGCTACTTGGGAGGCTGAGGCAGGAGAATGGCCTGAACCTGGGAGGCGGAGGTTGCAGTGTGCCGAGATCGCGCCACTGCACTCCAGCCTGGGTGACAGAGCGAGACTGTGCCTCAAAAAAAAAAAAAAAAAAGAATGGCTGTTAAATTTTATTTAATATCTTTTCAGTAAAAACGGAGATGCTCATATAATTTTTTTCAGTCATTTCATACTTTAAATTTCTTTCCACGTTTGCTATTTTTACAGGAAGTAATTTCAATTATATTTTCACTTCTATTGCATAAAGTTGTATACAACAATTTTGTAATTTTAAAATGATTTCTATTTATATGGGTACACCTCCCTTTCTGTGTATCTACAGAAAACCAACGTCCCAGGTCAAGCAGTCAGGCAGAGACAGAGAGAAAGCACACGCAAGAGAGTGAGACTGTGCCTGTGTACACACGCAATTCACTTTACTGAGTCCACTGATTCAAATGCTCAGCTCATCTGGAAATACCCACAGGCACACCCAGCAATAATGTTTAACCAGATAACCTGAGCATCCCTTAGCCCAGTCAAGTTGACACATAAATTAACCATCACACCTGGGTAATGTGAAATTCAATAACCTAGTTCAGTAACCTTTTGGATTCCATTAAATATGCAGGGCATTCTAAAATTGTAGATTAACATTTCTCAGAGGATTCCCATCGCTCACAGAATGAGTTTATTAAGTTGGAAAGGTAGAAAAAAAGCATCAAATGGTGAGGTCATTTGGTAAATGATTAAGAAGTGGTCTTTATTATAAAGGACAGCTGTTGAGTTCTACCCATACAGGCATACAAGCACATAGGGCATGGACCCATATAGGCACCTACTACCTACTGCTAATACACTATTTTACAGTAAGTTCAATCTTCATTTATTTAACATGAGATCTGAGTTTACAGATTTCAAGTGTTTATGGCCAAATGAGTTAAGTGAGCAAGAGTTACATGATAGGATCCCTATTCATGTAACAAATTATGAGTATAACCTCACTATGATCTGAGTGTGTGTGCGTATATGTATACATCTGTTCCTCCCCACCCCCACACTTGAAACTTGAATGAGGTAAGATTACAGTTCAGCAGATAACACGGTCACTTGTATTATGTTTAAGGTGGCAGTTATTGATAATGCAGACTGCTGATATCTACAACCCATCAGTGACCCATAACATTAATGTAGTAGGCCCAGCACTTTGGAAACGAAGTGGAATAAAAATGAACACAGTGTGGTGCCTGCAGTGAAAGCAGATTTTGCTTTGCGAAAGTTACGTTTCTGTTAACTGTATACATGTGGTGGGTCATTGCTGTAAGCTAAAAATAAAATCCTGGCCAGGCCATGGTGGCTCTCACCTGTAATCCCAGCACTTTGGGAGGCCAAGGCAGGCAGATCACCTGAAGCTGGGAGTTCAGGACCTGCCTGGCCAACATGGGGAATCCCTGTGTCTACTAAAAAATACAAAAATTAGCTGGGCATGATGGCGGGTGCCTGTAATCCCAGCTACTCAAGAGGTTGAGATAGGAGAATTGCTTGAACTCGGGAAACGATGGTTGCAGTGAGCCAAGATCGTGCCACTGCACTCCAGCCTGGGCAGCTGAGCGAGACTCCGTCTCAAAAAAAAAAAAAAATCCTAAGGCCCCCAGCAACAGAACGAACCCCCTCTTGGCCAAGGGGGCCCTAGGAAAACCTTAACAATGGAATTTCTGGCCACGATGGGAAGAAAGGTGAGATGCCCCTTATGCCCACTCCTTGCTGGAGTTTAAGCTGAAGTGACCAGTATTCCTTTAAAAGTGATAAGGCTGACGGCAGTCTGAGGCAGTAAGAAACCAAAGTACAAACAAGACCTAAGGCCATGCCCGGCAAGGGACAGTCATGCCGCAGGCCATCAGTCTTGCTGCGCAGCATCCTCAACTTAGAGATTCCCTTCTGCTGACTCCAGTATTTAGATAGAGCCCTACTCCTTTAACCAACTGCAAATAAAGAATCTCTGAATCCACCTACAATCTGTAAACCCCCACTTCAAGATATCACGCCTTTCTGGCCAAACCAATGTATAACTTCCATGTACTGACTGATGTCTTTGCCTGTAACTCCTGCCTCCCTAAAATGTATGAAACCAAACCGTAATCCAACCGCCCGGGGTGCACTTTCTCAGGACTCCTTGAGAGTGGGTTTCCTGGCCTGCAGTCACTCGTATCAGTCAGAGTCAACTTCTTTAAAATACTTTACAGAGTTTGGTTTTTCTGTCAACATTGCTTAGAAGATATTTCTTATTGTGGTTGAGGAAAAGTCTGAAAGCCACTGCCCTAGCCTATGGCTCTTGCCTATAATCCCAGCTAACTGGGAGGCTGAGGTGGGAGGTTCGCTTCAGCCCAGGAATTTGAGGCCAGCCTGGGCAATATAACGAAACCCTGTCTCTAAATAAAAATAAAAAACAACTTATACAGTTTGTTCTCAACTACCACCCCTGCAAAAAATAAAAAATCAGTTTTACTTATCAGTTTCTTCACAGATATTCAGCTTAAGTGAATTTGCTATTGAAATCATCTGAGATCATCTTAAAAGCCCCAAAGGAAAAACCACATTTGTAATATACAAGCTAGAATAGCATTCATACTTCTGTTCTTCTTGATCTCTTAGATGGTGTTGTTTAAACATACAATAGAGGTTTAGAGAAGACCAAAGAAATTGGAAGAAAGCTTCAGCTAGGCTTTGAAAAACTGGCACATTTTAAGCAAGGCAGAGGGAACCAGTAGGAACGGGCAGGACATGCGGGGGCGGGCAAGAGTGTGCTCAGAAAAGCAGACACGGGGATCAGAGCGGGGCGTTCCGAGCGATGAGGGCTCAGGACGAGGAGGCAGCAGTTGGGATGAACCAAGGATAAAACAAAAAACAGTATTTGTGGGGAGGTGGGATGGCCACAGGGCAGCGGACCCAACGTCCAGTGGGACAGAGCTATGAATCTGCCTTGTAAAGTTCCATCTCTCTGTGGGAGACACTGAATTAGAAACTGAGGAACTTGTTTGATCAGGTCTCCCTGCCCCGACTGCTCTTGGTCACTTGCTTTTTGTTATTTTTCGTTTCCTTTTTCCATGAAGCTGAAGGCTGCAGCATTTGAACACCTGAGCACTGAACGCTGAAACTTAACCTTCACTGGCTACTTTACAAGATAACACAAGGCACATTGTAATGGTTGCTTCACTTGTTTCCAGCAACCTGGGCCAGTTCTCGTCCAGTTCAATGGGCTGAGACCACCAACACTTTCAGTGGGCCTTTATCTTCAAGAGTTCTTATAAAATGATGTGTGCACATGAAAAATATTTATATATATAAGGTAAAATGACTATCAAATCTGTAATTAAAATTGTATAAGAGGTGACAAAAAATCACTTCTGATTTAAGAGACAACCTACTATGACATATTAGAAATTACTAAGAGTAGCCCAGAGAACACAACTGACTGTCAACGACTGAAGATAAAAAACTGGAAAGAATGTAAAGGAAGGATGACGCAATCGTGCATGGCGGTCCTTTACCAAATTGAGAATGAACACCCGAGACGAATGATCTCTGAAGATCAGAGACACTGCTCTCAGGAACAGAACACACAGTAACTCATCTCCATATTCTAGGAAAGGAGTTAATAGTGATAATAAATACAGAATTTCCAGCACCTACTGTGTGCTGGGCCATTATAAATGCTACAGCTCTTCTCAGGCCAACACTGCCAGGAAGAAGTGATGGCTTTCATATGACAGCCTCGGAGCTGCTGCTGTTTGCCTGAAGCCACAGGCTGATGGGGTAGGACTGTCCTTTTCATATGGGGACAAGGAATGGGAAATTGTTAAATAAGTCCCCCAAAAGTAAAACTAAAGCATAAATAGTGGTTAAGAGGAAGGGTAGACATGGAAGTTAGCTCTAAAGCTCATTGTGATGACCCCACGAGGTACTCAATACAATGGTAGCATGTGGGGGCTTTATTTTTATAGGCAGCTTCTATTTTCATTACTATGAGATGTGCAGCAGATGTCTTCATTTACATATAGCCCAGGAGATGGGAAAAATTAAGCTGGTTTCCAGTCTTGTGTCTGAAGAGATAAGTTTATTTAAACAATTAGCACAAAATGGCCAAACAGAAGTTGCTTTGATTTAACCTAATTTTATGATTTAACTAGAAAAGAAAGTCTAGAAGTATTTGAACATCTAGGTTGGAAAGCCAACTAAAGTTAAACAGGATTTTTAGCAGCATCTCACCCATTTTTAAAAAGCCCTCAAAGTGAAGTAAGTCTCAAAGTTTTACCACCTCTGTTAGCCTTCCTGACCCCAAGTGAACCACCCGCACGGAGACCATATCTGGAGAACATAATGATCTTTACCTACCTTTTTTTCAAAGAATTTTTTTCTTAACTTGGCATCTGTGGGAGGTACTGTTTTCCTCAGGTTTCTGTACCACTTTCTAACAACACATCCTCTCCAGTAGGCTTGGATTCTAAAACACAGATATTTGAAAATGACTAATTTATGATGACTCTATGTCAACCAATACTTCAGTAGTTGTTATAAGCCCTGTGCTGTACAAGGCCCTGGGGAAATTATGGTGGCCAAGAAGAGAGATAAAATCCCACTATTCAAAAAACAAGTTAGTTGTCATAGCCTGATCTGTGTCTGCTTAGCGCCAAACGGGCCTGGCGTCCTCACCTGGTCACACACTTGATTCTGAACAGGCGGGCCCCATCGTGTATCACTCGGGTTTGATACTGGTTCTTTCTACAGAGAGGACAGGTTTTCTTATTTGTGAACTTTTCAAAAGCCTGAAGACATGCCTGAAGAAAAACATTTCACTTAAAATTTTACAAGTAATTACTTATAAACAACGTTTTTACTTCCAATGTTAGTGTTCTAATTATAGTGTTCTTTTCTCCCATAACTATGAGACTTAGCCCAATTTAGGTTATAAAGTGAGGAGGCTTCATCAGGTGCTACCACCTTCCTCACAAAACCTGTTCCAAAAATGATTTCTTACAAGAATATACATGCAGAGACATCAAAAACTTCTGAAATCCACTAGCACAAAGGTGAGTCACGCGTGTGTATGGGGCCACATGCAGATCGATCATGTGAATTTAGCTGTCACTTTGACATGCATTACTGACAACAATCTGTTACATAAACATTTGTGGTTCTTTTGTCACAAAACTCATGATTTTCAAAATAGGATGAATTGTACTGCAGCCTACAGTCATGTTTCTTTAACTATAGATGGTGGTGATGAATAAAATAAATGGCTCTCCTTAGGAGCCTTGAAAATGACTATGGTTTCTCTGCACTGTGAGAGCGACATGTGCAGCACCTGGGCAGGCGTGAGGGGTGGACTTACTTTGTGGAACACATGGGAGCATGAAAGCAGCACCTGTTCATGAGGAAACAGAACGACGTTGAAGTTTACAAAAGAGAAGCAGCATGTATCCAACAGTTAAAATCCTGAATGCTTAGAAGGTAAGCTGTATTATTTCTTTAAAAAAGCAAATTAATAACTTTGATATTTATACTATTTATTGTTTGTTTAGCACAGCACAAGTATATACTCTAAATAACAAAAATTCATGATCTGAAATATCAAATAAACACATGAAGTTTGATATTTAACTATTAAAATGAGTGTATACTTAAGAGCGAAACAATGACAAAATGAAAGTTTCCCTTAGATGCGGGCAGTGACTGCAAACTGGAGGGGTGAGGAGGGGGGCCTGTCCAGTGGGGCCAGGGAAACGCTAAGTAAATACCATTTAGGTCTTTGTTCAGCTCAGTTATGCCCCCCAATTTTTGTGAAATCATAGCTCTACTGAGATATAATTCTGACAGTCTTAAATTTAAATAGCAACAAATCATGGAGTCTTTTTTCTTTTTTAAATGCAGGGAAAGTGTGCTCACAAGAAAACTTCACCTTTCTGTGACCCAAATTCCCCACTAAACAGTGATATACTGGGCTGTGACAAAAGACTGAAGCTTAGACCAAATGAAGAAGAAGGCAGTGGGTACTTAGTAGAAGGGACAGCCGCCAGCCCACCAGCGCCAGGCCCTGCGGGCTGCCACACAAAGGCCAGGCTCCTGCTTCCCTTGGGAGGGGCTGCTTTCAGCAACGGGGAGGAAAGCAGGGGAAACTTGTGAGACTGAGCAAAGCGGTGGGGTCAGGCGAAGGGTTTTCCCTTTTTGTCAAGAATCTGACTTGGGTGACCACAGTCTGGGGCACTCCTGGGTGAGGTTTCAATCTCAGCCGGCCCAGGATGCCTGCTGTGGGGAAAACTTAACAGTTTTTAAAGTGAATCCCACCTGCCTTCACTCAATGTATGCTTTTCTTCTTAAATGGAAGAAATACAGAAATAACTAGAACTCAGAAAGTTGTAAAACCTTTTCTTGAAACTTATTGCCAAGAGTAAGTCTGAATTGAATAAACTCAGTAATAGGGTCCTTTTTCATTACCACCATTTAATAGCAATCTTTTCTATACTTAATTCATTCTTTATAGAATACTTTTCAGTGTTTTATCAACATATATTCTATCTATATGGAGCAACATTAGACGTCAGTATATTAAAGTGTTATCTTTTTAAGTGTCCCCAAATATTTGTTATTGGCAAACATTCTCTGATGTAACAAAAATCAAGGATTAAGTAGTGGAAAACACACTAAAAATGGCCTAGAAGTTAGGATTGGATTCCAGCAGGACTCTGATACTTTCTGCGTCGGCCTACTATGAGTCATTTGAATTGTTTTTATTCCCTCATCTGCTAAATGGGCAGAATGCCTACTATACGGAATTAATTGAAGGCCCTCTGAAATCACTAAATGTTATAAAAATGCCAACTATTGTTTATAACTAAGGAAAAATCTGAACATGGAAATGATCACTGGAAATGCAAAATATACAGGATGGGTCTTATATCAAAACCAAGTAAAAATAATGGAATTTAGTGAGAAATTTATAAAAATCAGAAAGAAATGTTGGGCAGGGTACACCCTGATCCCCATAAGATAGTAACTTTCACTTTTCATTCTTCATACAGACACTCGGGTTGGATATTTTAGTATAAGTAAGAAAGAGGGTGCTTAGCCAGAAAGACACCCTCTGGCTTTATTCACAGTTTTGCTACATTAAATTACTAAATTATCCTAGACAATTTGTGGTTTCAGGGCTAAAATCTGTCCAAAATACCCAACTTTCACATATGTAAGATTAGGTCCTGATAGAGAACTGGAATATAATAAGTATGTCTAAAGTAACTTATGAATTCAAATTAGTGAATAGAAGTGTAACTGTTGTGAGCTTTCTTGCTGATGAAACCTACTCAAATTCAATGAAGACTCAGAGTTCATTTGCCCAGATTGTAATAAGCCTGGGTTCCTAGGCTACAAACTCCAAGGCTGATTTTAACTGTATTTGCTGTGTTTTCTCAGCAAATCTCTGAGGGCCTGCTATGCAGGAAGCGTAATGCCACACCACGTGGGAAATTGTTACAGGGCAACCACGCACGCACGTGCACGCACACACACACTTCTGATAAATCTAAGTGTCCCCAACTTCAGGGGACAATAGTTTAGTTAGGCAGACAAAATATGTATAGAAAAAACCCTATATGCATTCTCTCTCTCTCTCTCTATATATATATATGCATTCTCTCTCTCTCTCTGTGTGTGTGTGTGTGTGTGTGTGCGCGCGCGTGTATATTATCTGTTAACCCAGAGTAGTATCATCAGTCTTACTATGGTAAAGTTTCATGAATAAAAATCATTAAAAGATTTTACTTTTCTTAAAGATTCTCTCACAAATTCTTTGGAGACATTCAAGCACAGTTTTTTTTTTCTTTTCTGACTCAAATCACAAAACCACTTAAGAGTCCCTCTGCTTTCATCCTTCCCGCGCTGGGACACAGCTGCTCCTGGGAAGCCCCCCAGTTGTCTGCACAGCCGCATGGGGCCTGTTGAACAGAAACATTCCTTTTGTACAAACTTTAGTACTTGAGAATACCAGTTAGTAAACAAACAAAACTATTTAATGAGGGTGTTTAGCTCTTCACACACTTTAATTAATGGAAAACAAAATGGAAGTGTGTGAGGCTCACACAGGAGGATGAAACTGGAAAAAGGAAGCTTGGAATCTTAGGCTCCAGCTCTGGGCCTCGTCCCTAGGAAACAGCCCAGGAGCTCTCTAGCTCACCCTCGTATGCTAAACACCTGAGGACGAAGCTCGAATTCTTCTTTACAGATGGGGCATGGTTGCACGGAGTCCCCTTGCAGGAGAGAGCGCTGTTTCACCTTCTCCCATTCATCTGATGACAGTGGAGGTGGTGGAGGCCCAATGAGGCCCAACTTCTGTGCTAAAGTAAGACAGCACAGGACAGGAGTTAGAGTGTCTTTTAGCATATGGCACCCACCTATAACTTTAATGACACCATTTGCAAACAAAGATTAAAGAACTACATA
This sequence comes from Homo sapiens, assembly GCF_000001405.40. Taxonomy (NCBI): domain Eukaryota; kingdom Metazoa; phylum Chordata; class Mammalia; order Primates; family Hominidae; genus Homo; species Homo sapiens. The sequence goes on along the minus strand of NC_000007.14, from coordinate 156,654,469 downwards.
TAGATCACATACTTTATTTCACAATAGAAGCTGTCCATTGGTATCCACAGGGAATGTGTTCCAGGACATTCCAAGGATGCTCAAGTCCCTGATAGAAGATGGTGGAGTATTTGCATACAACCCATGCATATCCTCCTGTATACTGCCAGTCATCTCGATTACCAATAATTCCTAATGCAAGTGCTATGTAAATAGCTGTTATACTATATTGTTTTTAATCTGTATTATTTTTATTATATTGTTGTATTGTTATTTTTTATTCATTTATTAAAATTTTGATCTGTGGCTGGTTGAATCTGTGGATGCCAAACCCACGGATACAAATGGTGGACTGTATATAGGATGCCGTTTTTCTATGAGGGCGCAAAAGTCAGTGGTAATAATACCTGACATTTTCAATACGTTTATTTTTTATTTACAAAGCATTTCCCATATCTTATTTCATTTCCCAATAACTCAATAAGGCAAGCAGGAGTGATATCCAAGTTTATGAAAGAAAAACTGAGGAATACTCATTGTTCACACGTATTGGCCCAAGTTTCTCCCAGTTCTCACCTGCCTCAGCCCTCAGCCTTCAGCACTGCCTCTCCCAGCTCACCTTGCTCTGCCACCAGTGGCCTCTACATCAATCTGCACCTCCCCTGCTAAAAACTTTCTATGACGTATCATCACGGTCAGAATAAAGTTCTTATTTCAATAACACGTGGGTACCCACCATGTGCTGTCTCGGCATCGAGCTGATAGTGCGGTGGGAAACACTCACTTTGAAAAAGCAACTGCAACATCCTCAGGCAAAATGCAGGAAGCGAAGTTCACCTTCCACCACCTCCCCGCACCCCAAAGACGGGTCAATGCATAAAAAAGCATCGACTTACAAGGATATCTTCAGAAATGGAAGACAAAATGTTACATCGACAAAACATGACAGAAAACTATGAAGGGACACTTTCGAGTACAGAAAGAGCTCTTGGGCTTTTAGAGTAGAAATGTGAACGTCCACTGAAAGGCTGGAAGAGAAAGCTAAGATACAGTCCTGAGATGCTTAACAACAGGCGATTGTTGTTAAGAAATGTGCTGTTAGGCGATTTCGTCATCTTGCTAACATCACAGCATATGTATACATGCTTAGCTGGTACAGCCCACCACACACCAAAGCTACACGGTACAGCTGATTAGACTACACACCTGCACAGCATGTTACTGTACTGAATACTGCAGGTAACTGTAACACAATGGTAAGGATCTGTGCTTCCAAACATGGAAAAGGTATAGTAAAAATATGTATAAAAGATTAAAAATGGTGTACCTGTGTAGGGCACTCACCATGAATGGAGCTTGCAGGCCTGGAAGTTGCTCTGGGTGAGTCAGTGAGTGAGTGCTGAGTGAGTGTGAAGGCCTAGGACATGACTGTACACCACTGTAGACATCATAAACAGTCTACACTTACGCTACACTAAATTTATAAAAATATATTTTCTTTAATAATAAATTAAAGTTAGCTTCCTATAACTTTTTTACTCTCTAAACTTTTAAATTTTTTACAATAACATTTAGCTTAAAACAGTATGTTGTCCAGGCTAGCACGTAGTGATGTGGTCATGGCTCACTGCAGGCTGTGTCTCCTGGGCTCAAGCTATCCTCCCACCTCAGCCTCCTGAGAAGCTGGGACCAAAGGCACACAATACCATGCTCAGCTAATTTTTCAGTTAATACAAAATATTTTCTTTCTTATCCTTATTCTATAAGCTTTTTCTATTTCTCAAATCTTTTTTTTTTAACTTTTTTGTTAAAAACTAAGACACAAACACACATATTAGCCTAGGCCAACACAGGGTCAGAGTCATCAAGACGTCATGAAGTGGTAGGAATTTTTCAACTCCATTATAATTTTATGGGAGCACTGTGGTTTATTGTTGATTGAAACATTGCTATGTGGCACGTGACTGTAATCTCACAGAAAAACATATATCAGGAGACAGAAAATAAGAAAATCAAGGGACCGGTCTAGGTGTTGTTGTGACATCTGAAAAACTGGCATTTTAGAAAGAAAACATGGAAAATGGGGAGTAAAAATTTTAAAGAAAATAGTCCAAAACATCTCCCAGAAGCAAAGGACATGAGCTTCTGGTTTGAGAGGGCCCAGTAAGTACTCAGAACATCGAATCCCGTCACTGTGAGAATCTCGGAGACAGAAAGCAGACTCAAAAAAACAGGCCTCAAAAAAGGATCAGGAATCAGAACTGCATCAGACTCATCCACAGCACAACAGACAGGAGAAGACAATTCCTTCAAAATTCGGAGGAAGGAAAGATTTCCATATCAAGATTCCTTATTAGCTATCAATCAAATGTGAGAAAAGAGCAAAGACATTGTTACACATGTGAGCTTCTGTGTGGGTCTCCTCCGCACTCCTCCAGGGAGCTACTGACAGAGAAGCGTCGCCACTACGAGGGAAGAAACCAAGGAGGAGGCCGCCATGAGGTCCAGGGAGACAGAATCCAAGGAGAGAGCCCAGGGTCCCGGGATGCTGCTCAAGAGGGAGCCCGGGGAGGGGCCGGGGGAGGGGACCACGGAGGATTCCAGAAGCAACGTCCCCATTGATAAAGTGCCCTGGTATATTTTAATGTATTGAGATAATGTATTTCTGGAGGAGATTTTAGGGATGAATCAGTGATGAGTGATGATAGAGGAAACTAAAATGTGAAAAAATGAGACAGAACTTCAGGTAGAATAGAAAAATGTCTGAGAAGGAAACTGTAATATAGAACACCACATTGCTCAGCTGTGAGTGAAGTCACGGAATTGTAACAGAGTAAACACTGAATGTTATTAGTCTAACCACAAGTTATGAAAACAATATGCTAAATCTCGATCTTCTGCAGTAAGAAGAGATATCCAGAACTGAAAATTAACAAAACAGCAGCGTAGACATGTTATTTAGAATTATTAAAAATATGGCTGGGCATGGTGGCTCACGCCTGTAATCTCAGCACTTTGGGAGGCCGAGGTGGGTGGATCACCTGAAGTCAGGAGTTCGAGACCAGCCTGGCCAACATGGTGAAACCCCGTCTCTACTAAAAATACAAAAATTAGCCAGGTGTGGTGGCACACACCTGTAATCCCAGCTACTCAGGAGGCTCAGGCACGAGAATCGCTTGAACCCGGGAGGTGGAGGTTGCAGTGAGCCGAGATTGTGCCACCGCACTCCAGCCTGGGCATCAGAGCAAGACTGTGTGTCAAAAAAAAAAAAAAAAGAAATATTAAAAATAATACCAGAAGAATGAACCAAAGGATTTGAAAATGGCTGCCTTAGAGTAATGCCCAAAATGGGTCAGGGGAATGCTACACTTTCTGTTATAATCCTCATAGAACAATTTTACTTCTAAAACTATGCCCATGGATCTTCTGATAAGAATCAAGCAGCTACAAGTGTGATGAACGCTATGGAGAATGGTGTGCAGGATGCATGGGGCTGTGACCCCAGAGAAGGTTACTTGACCAAAGTGGCATTAAATGGAGACCCGCAGGGTTAAGAGTAACAGCAGCAGGTGAAGGGGGAGGTTTTCTAGATGGAGGAAAAGGATGTGCAGATGGCCATTAGTGAGAGAGCACCTGGCCTGCAGAGAAACAAATGAACAGTAAGACTGAAGAGGCTGAGACTGAGGTTGCGGAGGAGGGGCGCTGCCTCAGGGCAGCTCTTTGCCTTTGGCTCAAGGTGTGGGAGCAGGGAGAGACAGGGCCCCCAGCACCACCCTTCCTCTTAGACTTGGGTGGGCACTTGCTGTACAATCCAGACTCTGCTATGGTCAATGTCAACTGCCTCAACTTCAAACATCCACATCTCCCCATCATGCAAACCTGGCCTTATATTTATAAACTAATCAAGACCTTAGAACGGGAGGGAGAATAGGTAAATTGTATTGACAGATTTCAGCAAACTGCTGTGCTCTCTGGCCACAATGTAATAATGTTTAAAATCAATAGCACGTCCAGCACCCATCTTGCCTTTAGAACCCCACTGCGCGTCAGTGGAAATGGGCTCAGCCTCACAGAGGTCTCTTGATGGATCTAAGCATGTCGTGGAAGTCTTGCTACCCTTTGCCAATTTTTAGACTATCAATGGGCATGTGACCGTCTCAGGTGAAGCGGAAGGAAGGTCTGTTGGGAGCTTTCTCCCCTGCCTTTCTGGCTCCTCCCTTGTTGTTGAGGACTGACCCTGGGGCTGTGCACCCTCTTGTGTCCATGCACGGGGCAGCACCTCCCGACGGCAGCACCGGAAGGAGGCTGGTCCCGGCAAACATCAATAAGCCACCAAACCAGAACTGCTGTGAACAATGACACACACCATTAAGCTTTACATCACTTTCAGTGTGTTGCTTGTATATTTGCAGCCAAATGCATCCTAACCCATCACCTCTCCTCACCCCGCTTAAAGGAAAAAAAGCCTCAGGCCCAGATGATTTTACAAGTGAGTTTCCCCAAACTTTTAAGGAACATATCATCCCTATTTTCTGTTATTCCAGAATCCTGAAAAAGAGGGAACACTGCCCAACTTATTTGGTGAAGCTTATATGGCTTTGATAATAAAACCAGACAAGGACAATCATAGTCCAGGGTAATCCATGGTTAAACGTCAAACATCGTAAACGAGAATTAGTTATCAGAATGCAACAGTGAATGTGAAAAACACCGTGGGCAAGTAGGGTTTATTCAAGCTATGCACGAAGATTCAACATCAGAGTCTGTCACTGTAATTTACGGCACAAACAAACTCAAGGAGAAAACCCACAACAAACACGCTCATCTAAAAAGTTGCAGGAAAAAAAGCATTTAAAAAAGTACACCTATTAATGAGTTTAAAAACCTGTAGCAACTGGCTAAAAGGGAAATTTTATAATTAGATAAAGGCCAACAAACAACACAAAACAACAATAAACAAAGGGCAAACATCACATAAGTAAGTAAATGAAACGTGTTAGGCTAAGGAACGAGACAGAAATGCTAGGTATTACTACTCGTATTCACCACAGCTCAGGAGATCCTGGCCAGATTAAAAAAAAAGCAGGGAAAAAAAAGAAGGGGCATAAAAGTAGAGAGGCACAGACAATAAGAATCACTGCAGAGATCAACTTACTCAGAAAACCCCTAGGAATCAGAGACAAAAAGACCTAAATGGTGTGAGATGCTACCATATTTGTGGATCAGATGATAACACTGTAAATACAGTATTTCCCCGATCTATAAATCCAATTCAAAAAAAATCTCCAGCAGAATTTTATGTAGAAAATGAGGCAGTTTTAGGAAAAAAAAAAAGAGGAAACGTCTTTTCCTAGCAGCTATTAAGACATATTGCAAGACTCTATTAATCAAAACAGTGCAATACTGACATAGAAGCAGAAGCCTTGGAAGGAGAGAACAAAACACGCTTTAATCTCGTCGATTTTCCCAGTATCATAAGCAAAACAAACTGTGGTGACATCTAAATGTGAAAGGTAAAAGGTTAAAGGTAAATAAAGAAAATGTAGGAAAATCTTTGCACTCTCAGAATGGTGAAGTATATCTAAAGTCTCTCCCAAACAGCAATAAAGTGAAAAAAACAAAACAAAACAAAACAATGGATTTAACATTAATCAGAATGAAAATTGTATTCAATATAAAACAATAGATATAATTTAAAAGATGGTAAAAGAACAGAAGATATTTTCAGTGGCTAAATCAACAAGAGATTACTATGTAGAATATGCAAAGAACTCCAGTAAATCAGCAAGAAAAGACAGAAATCCAAGTGGAATATTATGTATAGACAGTAAAGAGCATATGGTTCAATGTCATTAGTAACTAATACGCACAATCAAGATTTTTTCCATAAAGAGGTCCTGAAAAAAGGTCTCATCTATTTTCCTTAATAACTTTACTTATTTTCCAAATTGGGACGTTCCTCTTTATATCTAATTTAAATTTTTCCTGATAAAACTCTTAAGATTGATTATGATGAAACTATTTGGTCATCTACATAAACCATACAGGTACAACAGAAGATCTTCACTAAACTACTGTACGACATTATTCCAAGTCTCAACACGTTCATGAGCCATGCTGTTTTCTAGAAGACATCGAGCTTGTTAGCAGAAGTTCAGAGGAAGACAGCATCAAATATCTCCCCTGGCGTCGCTGTGGAAACAGGTCCCCTCCACCTTGTGTGACTCCAACACACAGATCTTCCAGCACCTCCAGATCCATCTGACCTGCGCCAAGACACGCCATCCTCAACCAAACCTATTTTCCATGCCTATCAATAAAAAATCATATTTCTAACTTTTCGGTTTAAAATAATTTCAGATTTACAAAAGGTTGTAAAAACAGTATGAAGAATTCTCAGCAAAGGACTAGTATCCAGAACCTACGAGGAACTCAAACAAATCAGCAAGAAAAAAAAAAAACAAATAATCCCATCAAAAAGAGGGCAAATGATACGAACAGATATTTCCCAAAAGAAGATATGCAGATGGCCAACAAACATGAAAAAATGGTCGTCACTCGTCATCAGGGAAATGCAAATTAAAACCACAGTGAGATACCACCTTATTCCTGCAAGAATGACCATTACTAAAAAGTCACAAAACAACAGATGTTGGCGTTGATGTGGTGCAAGGAGAATGCTTATACACTGCTGGTGGGAATGTAAATTAGTACAACCTCTATGGAGAACAGTATGAAGACTCCTTGAATAACTAAAAGTGGATCTATCCCTCGATCCAGCAATCCCACTACTGGGTGTCTACCCAAAGGAAAAGAAGTCATTATATGAAAAAGATGCATGCATACGTATGTTTATTGCAGCCCAATTCACAACTGCAAAGATACGGAACCAACCTAAGTGCCCATGAACCAATGAGTGGATAAAGAAAATGTGGTATATATACACCATGGAATACTACTCAGCCACAAAAAAGAATGAAAAAATGTCCTTTGCAGCAGCTTGGATGGAACTGGAGGTCATTATTCCAAGTGAAGTAACTCATGTTGTATGTTCTCACTTATAAGTGGAAGCTAAGATACGAGTATGCAAAGGCATACACAGTGGTATAATGGACATTGGAGACTCAGGAGGCGGAGGGTGGGAGGGTGTGGGATAAAAAGACTGCACGTTAGGTACAGGGTAGGCTACTCTGGTGGTGGCACTAAAATCTCAGAATTCACCACTATATAATTCATCCATGTAACCAAAAACCACTTGTACCACAAAAGCTATTGAAATAAAAATAAATAAAAAAGAAGAAACACACACAAAAAACAAACAAAAAATTAAAAAAAAACAGGCCAGGCATGGTGACTCACGCCTTTAATCCCAACACTTTGGGAGGCTGAGGCGGGTGGATTACCTGAGGTCAGGAGTTTAAGACCAGCCTGGCCAACATGGCAAAACCCCATCTCTACTAAAACTACAAAAATTAGCTGGGTGTGGTGGCACACACCTGTAATTCCAGCTACTTGGGAGGCTGAGGCACGAGAATCACTTGAACCCGGAAGGCAGAGGTTGCAGTGGGCCAAGATCGCACCACTGCACTCCAGCCTGGGCAACAGAGCAAGACTCCATCTCAAAAAAAACAAAACAAAATGAAATTTCAACATGAGTTTTGGAGGGGACAAACATTCAAACCATAGCCTAGCCACTGTGAGCTATCAAAAGACCTCTGGTACCTATCAACATAGTAATATATGTGAGTAGTGGATAAGGAACAAAGTATGAAAAGTACTTAGCTTGATGCTGTGAAAAAGTCTTCCAGACAACAAATGTAAGTGAAGGATTCCGTTCTCATTGATGCCTAATCTAAATGGAAGTTCTCCCCTATCAGGGACATACTTGATGTACTGGGTTGAATTGTGTCATCTCAAAATTCTTATTCACCTGGAACCTCTGGATGTTGACCTTATTTGGAAATAGGGTCTTTGCAGATGTAGTTAAGATGAGGTCATACTGGTTTAAAGTTGGCTGTACATCCTATGAATGGTATCCTTATAAGAAGAGGAAAGGGAGAGTACAATCACACCTAGAGAAGAAGGTTTTGTGAAGTCAGAGGCAGAGATTGGAGTGACGCTGCCACAAGCTAAGCAATGCCAGGAACCACCAGGGAAAGGTAAGTTAGGATTCTTCTGTAGAACCCTGCCAACAGCGCCATTTTGGACTTCTGGCCTCCAGGACACTGAGAGAATACATTTCTTTTGTTTTAACCCACCCAGTTTGTACTAATTGCTTGTGGCAGCACTGGGAAACGAATATCCTTAAAAACAGCATTTACAATTATAAGTGCATAATACATCTCCTTTTATTAATTAGAAGAAATGGAATTGATTTGCATGCCTTTATTTACAGGCACAAACTTGTAGCAATACCATACACAGTAAGAATGTGTGTGAAGTTGCATGCTATATGCATCCCACCTATCATAAAGAATTTCAATCAGCCATGACGGAGGTAAGGCTGACTTATTTCTATAGAGAATGACATTACAGAATTATTGTCACATGAAAATATGATCAAAGAGTATCTAGCAATCAAAAGAGATGGAAAAAGTATTACAGAGATATTTCAGGCAGCTAACTAATACAAAATATTATGCTATTTTTATTGATTTTTGTTTGGGATACATTTCATGTTGTTTTGAAATTCCTGATTTGTTGCAAGTTTTGGTCTTACTCTAAATACATATTCACACTTGCAAAAAGAAAATATTATCGTATGTTCTTAACCCCAAATGTTAACCTTTTATATAACCCTGGTACAAAGATCAAAACCACAAAATTAATGTTGCTATAATCTATCAATTAGCCTACATGCCTTCTGCAGATCTGGTTCTCTGTCACACTGATGTCTTTTTTCTGAACTAGGATCTGATCCAGGATCACAGATTGCACTTGCAGCTATGTCCCCTGGGTCTCCTGTAATCTGGAACAGTTGCTAGGTCTTCATTTGCTTCTGTTGACTTGATACTTTTGAAGAGTACTAGCCAGGAACTGTGTGGAATGTCTTTCACTTGGACTGGTCTGAGGTTTCCTCATGATTAAATTCAGATATACATTTTGGTAAGAATGCCACAGAAGTGATGTTGTACCTTTCAGCAGGAGACACATGATGCTGGCCCGTGCGTTACTGCTGACCTAACTAGGATTACTTGGTTCAGGTGCTGCTTGCCAAGCGTTACAACTGTACAGCTGAAGTAATTGTGAAGTTATTGTTTTTCTCCCTGCCATGTACTTGCATCTCTGGAGAAACTACCTCAATATTCTGTGTCTGTACGTAAATTTTTCTCATTCCTAATTTCAGTATTGATGATCATTACTGTGGTGTTTGCCAAAGGTGATTTTCTATCCCCGTCTACTATCCTTATGAGTTATATTCATTCTACTATAAGGGATTTTTCTTTTCCATCATTTATTTACTCAATTATTTATTTTTATCAATGTGAATCAATAGATATTTCTTTTGTTCTCCCATTTTTACTTATTCTACTTACCATTACTATCTTTACCTTCTTGCTCTAATGGTCCCCTATCATTTTTAAACTTCAATACATACATACCTTCAATACATACACACCTCTCTGTATAATTATAAATAAGTTATTTCTGTAACATAAAAAATTATACTATTAATCTCAATAGATTTTTTTAGCCCTAATAAGCCAAAAGATGAATGACTACGTCAGCTTACCCAAAGTCAACGGCGGCGGTTTGGGATCAAGAACATATTCTTTTTCTGAGTCTTCTAGTTTGGGGCACTGTGTAGTTTTTTTAAGTCCAGTATCTATTATTGCCTTTGTATCTCTTTTTAGAGATTTGTTCTCTTTCTTTTGTACTTGTGTCTTAGAATGATCTGCAACTGAAAGATTTCGAAGTTGAAGATCATGTAAAATGTGATCTTGTAAAGCAACTGCATTGACTGCCAAGTTATCTTTCTTAGATGAGTGACCCTAAAAAGTAGGAAAAAAGTCATATTTAGAGGAGTATTATGTAATATATCATTTAGAAGAGAACTGAGGCTTCAATACTCAACCTTGATGGCACATACAACCAAATCAAATAGTAAGGAATGCTTGACTCATTGTTACCTAAGTAGGAGCAGACCCTTGTCTCAGCATTTATGTTAACAATACAGGAATATCTTTTCATTTAATTATGAAAGCCTTAATTATAATATGAATAAATTCATTATGACCCATAAACCTGTGCATGCCTAAACAAACCCACGCTGCTTCACTATAATTAAATTAGACTCCAGGCAACTACTAAGGAGACTCCTGCCATTTCAGCTTATGCCTTTTTGTGAAAACTTAATAATTTCCTGTGCAGAATAAAAATCACCAAACAGCTAAGAGATGCTTGCAGTAAATATCGCCAGAGATTGTTTTTCCATTGGCTTGTCCACTGCCCCATGCGACACTTGGCATCGCCCATTCCTGCTGACAATTCCTAGTTCAAGCAGGGTTTGCAAACTAGTTTTTATACTCTCAAATGGCTGAATTAAAATACATTTCATGAGTCAAATAACGTGTATGTTTAAGAAAAGAATAGCGTACCTTATTTTTTAACATGCCGAATTAGGAAAAGTTGTTGCTTGGCTATCACAAATTCTATCATCACATCCTATCACCTTCCTTCTATTCTTCTGCTGCAAAGACGTGGTCAACAGAAAGTCAAAGTTACAGTGCACAGAAAAACCATGAAGTTTGTGAGGATGCTCTGTAAGAGTCTAACAGATCCTGAAGCAGCAGGAATGCCTGCTACAGGGTGGCACTAAGCTACACATTCTGGTTCTGGAGGAAGGGGGTGAACTCAAGTCAGTTATGCTTCGACTCATCCCTGTCCTCAAATAGTTCACCCCTGAGCTCCTGAGGACACATTAATACAAATGGTTAATTACTATGAATTAATCCATTGCTAAATATAACATGATACATAAGTACTACAAAACTTCAGGCTAACACTGGAGACTTGGAAAAACCAGTTAAACTGGCATTTGAAAGATACACAGAGGGAAATGAAGATGGCACATTACAGGTAGGAGGAAAGAACTGGCAGGCTGGAAATCAGCATGATATGCTTATTTTGGGGAGAAAGGGAACAATGAAGAAACTGGAACGCAAGAGGAACACTGGCTAACTTCAGTCTGTCCAGAACACAGAAGTACAGAATATGGGGACAGACCAACTTGAGTTCCAATTGAACTCTACCGCTTTGCTGCGCAAGATACTGGACACAGCTGAGCCCCAGGCTCCTCATCTATAAAGCAGGTATAATAACGCTGGCTTTGCAGGGTTGCCGCAAGGATTAATGAGACAACCTTTGAAGTATCTAAAGTAGGTCTTTTCACACAGAACTTACTCTTGTTATTCTTGCTTCAATTCCCTTCAAAGCTGGTGGAATAATTTGGAATTGGCCCTTTTAGATTTTGGACATGGTGTATTTTATGAAGACAGATGTATTCAAAATATACTGTGATGAGGAGAAATAGAAAGTTATTCAAGTAATCTAGGAACTGGCACAGAAGGCCCTTGAACATATTTCTTCTAATGTTGTTTCCCTATAACGCTGATGAGAAAAAAAATTGATCCCCAGCAGGGGCCACTGTCTGTTTGGAGTTTGCACGTCCTCCCCATGTGCTGTGGGTTTCCTCCAGGTACCCCGGGTTCCTCCCACATCCCAAAGCTGTGCACGTGAGGCTCACTGGGGCGTCCCCGTCTGAGTGAGTGTGAGTGTGCCCTGCCATGGGATGCCGTCCTCTCCAGGACTGTTGCCCGCCTTGGTCCTGAGCTGCCTGGATGGGCTCAGCCCCCTGCCACCCTGAACTGGAATAAGCAGGTTGGAAAATGAAAGGATACAAATTATTGTCAAATAAAAACTCGTAAAGCATACGGTATTCACACAGAGATGCAGGACAATACCCGATGCAGTAAGAAAGGCCCAGCGGGCTGAGAAGTGGCTCCTGTTTGTTTTGAAACTGCATGGTAGGGGGAGGTGCTTCAGAGCTTTGGCTTGGCCAACATTATCTTTAACACAGCCCCTCCACAACCCGGTCACTCATGGATTCACCAGAAATTGGGTAATGATATTTCTTAAATGTAGAGCTCATATGTACTTCAGTGTTTCATATTAGAAGTGCTTTGGTCTTTATTTAGAAGTTTGGCGATGTTTTTGTGACCAGGAATGTGCTGTGGGAACTTTCCTCTTATTTATATCAATTAACCTATGGTGAAACTGGTTTCCTTGTACACTGCATGGCTTAAAGCTCCAGTTTCTAAGAACCTATGGATGATGTTAAGTGAAGACTTACTGTGTTGAGGGCCTAACTCTAAAAATAGAAAGAAATTAATCCAAAATGTATTTCTAAGGACTAACACTTGTATTAAATTACTCCAACCGAAAGAACAAACTCACTAAGGCGTGAGTGGAGAGATAGAAAAGCACAGTGGAACCAAATCTCTGAGATATCCAGGGTTAGAAGTAAAAACGTCAGTCGCTGCTCAAGTCCTGGAGGCTTTGATGATGGTTCTTACTACAGCCCTTTTCTGTTCCCGTTCAATTCTGGCATCAAGAGATGTTTGAAATAAGTTCCACCCTGTATCTCATCAAGACAACTGAACTTGGAGAAATGGTGGAATTTAAAATACTGAAAGATCACTGCCAGAATTTTCTCAGTTCCTGCTTCCAAAATGCCTATAACCTGCAGAAGATACAGTTTGCATCACACTAAAAATGGTCCGGTCATAGCTGCAGTCTGCAATTTAATCTCAAGTTTCTACACAGTAGACCACTGTCATTAATATCAAGGTAAGAGCTTTTAAAACCTATACTCTCTTAAAGTCCTACGGTATCATTAAGTTTTAGAGTTTAAAATTCAGAATTTAAAGGTATTGAAAACCCTTCAAGTACCTACTCCAACTCCACTTTATAAATGAGAAAACCAAATACCAGGTGAGTCCTTCAATATATAATGAGCCTGCGGCACTGGTAGGGTTAGAAACGTAACCCTTGCCCAGTATTGAAAGCTAAGATTAACAGGAACCCGTTGCTTTGTAAATCCCAGTATTAAACGCTCAAGAGGCAGAGCTTGGTGGCAAAAACGATCACTGGGGTGCCAAAGCGAGTAACCTCAGCTAATTAAACACGCTCAATAAAAATACACGAGACCAAGCCTACGACGTAAAGATGCAATCCTACGTAGGGTCTTGGTGTTATCTCCTGCCTTCTGAACCCCGCTGACCGTTTTCTGAGGTTCCACTCATGCAGGAAGCGCGCGGTGACGAGGCTCCAATTCCTCTCAAAGCTGACACCACCCTGCACCTGGGGCCCCTGATGGCAGCCGGTCCTACCGGGTTCTAAAATTACCGACGTGGGATCACTGTTCTAAGGCTTTAGGCAGCCGTAAATTCGTACCCCTCAGATAGAAGGAGCTGTGGAAACTAACCAGGACCCCGAGTCCCCCAAGGAGGCTGCGCGCCGCTACGGGACCCGACCTCGCCTCACAGCTGCGGCCATCGCCGGCCCGGCTCGGAGGAGGCGAAAGCGAGGCCGCGGACGGCCCTCACCCCGAATCCATGGACCCCGCCCGCCTGGCGGGCCACCCTTCTTTCCGTCCCTCCCCCGAAGCCTCTCCGTGCCTCGACTCCTCCGCGAACACCGGAACCCAGGGACGTCTGCCCCTTTTCCCTCAGGCAACTCCCTGGCCGCCCACCGTTGCCGTAGCAACGCCCGCCTCCGCGCTCGCTCCCCGCGGGCTTGCTCACCAGCCCTGCCCCGCCCCGCCCCATACTGCGCATGCTCGCCAGCCCCGCCCGGCCCACATTGCGCATGCTTGCCAACCACGCCCTGTCCACACCACACTGCGCATGCTCGCCGGCCCCCGCCCCGCGCACGGCGTCAGCGTCTAGACGCAGGTGCGTTCCCGTCGAGGCTCGCGCAGCGGGCGTTTTTGGGGATCGCCTGGCGGGGGTGTTCGGGAGCCGCGGGCTGAAGCACGGGGGCGTGCAGGCGCCCAGGCCTCGTGTAGTGAGGGCCGAGCCCCGCGCCGGCTTCGCTGTAGTCCGCAGCCCCCGGCGGCTTTGTGGGCGCAGCCACGCTCCTCAGCCGCCCGCCCACCTGGGCCTGGGCCCCGGTTGTTTCCCTGCGGTGGCTGTGGTCGTTCCCGTTCCAGGGTCTCGAGCGCACCGCCCCTTCGCTGCGCTGTTAGTCGAGGGCAGTTTTCTGGGGGATCCCCCGATCCCCCCGCGCCGCTCAGGCGTCTTGGCTCGCGGAAGCGCAGGCGCCGACTGCCTGGCGTCGTCCGTGACTCCTGGCCCTTCTCTGTGGATCCCTTTGCTTCTCGTTGCGGGTTGTGTTTCCTGCTTCGTGGGCCTGGCCGTTTGCGTTTGGATGCAGGCCCGGGTGAGCCCTGCGTGGCCCGCTGGCCTTTTCCTGCTCCCTAGGTGACTGAGCCGCGTGTGTGACACATCGGAGTGAATTGAGGCAACGCGTTCCTTTCCAGGCTTGCAGCGGGCGGTGTCGTTCACGCTCCTGAGCAGAGCCTTCCGGTGCTTTACTCGACGCCACAAATAGTGCAGGGTTCCTCCCAGGGGCTGTCGCGAGCTAGAACTCTTCCCCGCCCCTGTGAGCTCGGGCTGTTCTTCCTCCTCCGCGTGGCTCACTCCAGCCTCGGATGTTTCCTCGCTGCACAGACCTGCTCGGGAAGACTCGAGAAGGCCACCCCAGGACTCCAGCTCTCCCCGGAAGGGCTTCCCCTCGGATTGCGTCTTGGCCCCTGGAACCCTCCCTCTGTATCCTCTGCTGTTCCTCTCTTGGCCTCCATTTGGGTTGTGGCCTGGATACTCTGGCTCGCTGCTTCCCTTCTCTTAAGGATCACAGCCCTGCACTGCCTGTCGTCCGGTGCCTGGAAACCATTGTATTTTTTGGTCTGATTTTGTAGTTGTTTGAGAACTTAAGTCTGGTCCCTCACACTCCATGCCCAGAAGCAGAAATGAGTAAAGTTTGTTTTATCTTTTCTTAATATGACAATTATTGTGTTGGTTCAACTTATGTTGTACTTTAATTAGAAGAAATTTGGCCGAAAATACAAGGAAAATATACAAATGCAAGTAATTTTTTTTAAACTTCCCTGAAAGCAGGGTCTAAAGAAATTACCAACCAACTTAGACTGGATCTAGAAGAAAAGGAAGGGTCTTTGCAGTCTTAGGACTCTTCCGTTCCGCGACGTAGGTGTTAGGATAACAGCCATAAATGGTTGTAAGACTTTGGGCTCAGATAAGTAGACTTAAGTTCAAATTTTGACTTATTTTACAAGTGTGTGATTTTTGGCAAGCTCATCTTCCTAAACCATGAGCTCCTTATTTGTAAAGGGGACATTAGCCACTCTCCAGCAACAGCCCTGGTACTTCTTCAGTCCTGGGATGGGACGTATGATTAGCCTAAGCGAACCAGAAAATCCAGGCCCGTGACCAGTGACTTGATCAGGGCTGGCGATATATCTAGGTAGGCCAACCAGGTGGACTCAGTATTTTTGTGGGTGCTACTGGAAAATTTATTTAATTCTAACTGAATGTAGAAACAGCAACAGACATGAAATGGCAGTTGTATTGCTGTCTTATCATGAGGTGAGGGCCTGAAGCTATGGTAGCCACCCTGTGAACCTTGGAAGGAGGGTTCTACAGGAACTGGCAGAGCTGAGACTGGGACGCAACCCATGTCCTGGTGACGTATTTGAGTCCTGAGGCTGGCCCTCCTGTTAGTCTTTTCTCTTACTGGCTTCAGCCAGATGGGGTCTGGTTTTCTGTTACTTGCAACAGGAAAAATTGGAATGATATCTATGCATGCTATTACCGCCTTATGGCTGTGGTGAGATTAAAACATGATACTGTGGGTGAACTGCTTAGTACAGTGCCTGCTATTCTTTATGTTGGTTTTAAGGTATTTTTCTTGAACTTTAAAGTTCTAAGAAAAATTACCGTTTTAAAATTCCTACCCTCTGTTCACATGTTTAAATTTTCATGATAGTTTTTCTGTCTGCATGTTTTCTATTCAAAATAAATTGGTCATTCTTCAGTTAGCCACGAAGAATATTGTGAATTTTTTATTTTTAAATTTATTTTTTATTGATACATATTAGATGAACATGTTTTTGGATAACGTGATAATTCGATAAATTCATAAAATCAAATCAGGGTAATTGGGATATCCATCCCCTTAAATATTTATCTTCTATTTACACTAGGAACATTCAAATTATTCTAGCTATTTTGAAATGTGCAATCGATTTGTGTTAAGTATAGGCTTGACTGAAAATTTAACCTTATTGCTTTCTAATTCTTGACAAAAACAAAGCTAACATAGTTGATATTTGAAGAATACATTCATTCTTCAAGATAGTGTGTTCTGTTGAAATGAGTTAGATGATCAGAATGCAACATTCTTGGATAGGGATAATTAAAAATATAGTCAACCTATCTTGTCCCCAAAACCATGTTATCAATGATTTGTATTTTAACATTATGCCTTTTGTTTTAAAAAAGTTTTTTTGTTTTTTTGAGATGGGCCTGAGAAACTGCATGTATACAAAGCATGTTTACATCTTCAGAAAACTGCTATTGAGTACATTCTCCATGGTGCTGTTCAGTGCCATTTGTGTAAGCACCCACATGATTGTTTTAGAATTTCAAAACCACTAATTGAATGTCCTAGGAATAGTGGAGACGGAAGAGAAAATTAGAGGTGCATGATGTTAAGGATGTTGAGGTGCTTAGTCACAAGGAGAAGGGCACCAGTGTACTTGGCTGATTAAGATGCACTTCTGTACTCCACTGTGCTTAAGAAGAAAGCTGCGGGTGGTACTCTAAGAGATCTGTTGTATAAACATTATCACAAAAAGAGTGATGATACCTGTGCTTATCCAAGGAAGAGCAGCCCAAGATGGATGGCAATAGCGGACTATTTAAGTGGAAGACATTGATATGAAGGGAAAATCTTATATTTTGCTTGTGTAGAGCGCAATTCACAGAAAGTGTTCAAATACTAGAATAGGCAGTTGGAGTCCAGCTTGTGGAAGATGGGGTTTTCTTCATGATGACACTAGAGATCATGATATTGGATACTAGTGCTGGCCCTGTATTTTTATTTATTTATTTATTTATTTATTTATTTATTTATTTATTTATTTATTTTGAGACAGAGTCTCTGTTGCCCAGGCTGGAATGCAGTGGCGCCATCTCGGCTCACTGCAACTTCTGCCTCCCAGGATCAAGTAATTCTCCTGTCTTAGCCTCCCGAATAGCTGGGATTACAGGTGCCCGTCACCACGCTTAGCTAATTTTTGTATTTTTTAGTAGAGTCGGGGTTTCGCTATGTTGGCCAGGCTGGTCTTGAACTTCTGACCTCAGGTGATCCGCCTGCCTCGGCCTCCCAAAGTGCTGGGATTACAGGCGTGAACCACCGTGCCTGGCCTATGGATTCTTAATGTATCATACCCATAATATTTGAATTTGCCCACCTGCCTAGTCTCTAAACACTGCACTAATGAAAGCCTAGGCAGGGTCAGAATGGTTCTTAGTTCAATATCCTTCTCACATTTTAGTATCTTAATGCTCTCACATTTCTCCTTTGTTATGTACAAAATATTCTCAAAGCCTACTCAGTGCCTATTTGACTCTTGTCTCTCTTAACACAGTCCTTGACATCTAAAACAAACCTAAGGAGCAGAAATTGGTGGCATGGGGTTCATCTTTAATTTAGTTCTCAATTTTAACCTTCACCAAAACCATCTCTCCATTTATTTTTCTTAATCTTCTGTATTACCTTTAACTTTCTACTCACACTTGTATATTTATTTATTTATTTATTTTTTCTTTCTTTATTATTATTCTTTAAGTTTTAGGGTACATGTGCACAATGTGCAGGTTAGTTACATATGTATACATGTGCCATGCTGGTGCGCTGCACCCACTAACACGTCATCTGGCATGAGGTATATCTCCCAATGCTATCCCTCCTCCCACACTTGTATATTTATTATCAATTTCTATTCCTAACTTGCTGATGTGGTTTGGCTGTGTCCCCACACAAATCTCACCTTGAATTGTAGTAAGTAATCCCCATGTGTCAAGGGCAGGGCCAGGTGGAGAGAA
Source organism: Homo sapiens (assembly GCF_000001405.40). Lineage (NCBI taxonomy): Eukaryota > Metazoa > Chordata > Mammalia > Primates > Hominidae > Homo > Homo sapiens. The sequence continues at coordinate 156,636,302 of NC_000007.14, read as the reverse complement.
TTCAATCATAGGGACAGTTTCCCCCATACTATTCTTGTGGTAGTGAATAAGTCTCACAAGATCTGATGGTTTTATACATTGGAGTGGCCCTGCGCAAGCTCTGTCTTGCCTGCTGCCATATAAGACCTGTCTTGCTTCCTGTTCCACCATGATTTTGAGCCCTCCCAGCCATGTGGAACTGTGAGTCAATTAAACCTCTTTCCTTTATAAATTATGCAGTCCCGGGTATGTCTTTATTAGCAGCATGAGAACAAACTAACACCCTTGCTTCCACCCAGATTATTTTTTCAAATAATTCTAAGTCATTGCCTATATTATGCAGTATGTGATGTCCAGCAATTGTTTGGAAATTTGCCAATCTCTCCGAGTGTTTTGTAGCAGCAGTTGCTGTAAAGACTCAGGTATACTTGTGGGAACTTACTGAAGTGTTTTTTTTTTTTTTTTCCTAGAGATTATATTATAGTTCTGTTTTGTCTTTAATAATGAAAAAGGGCTTAGGATGAGTTGTTTCCACTCCTCTGATAAAATGCATTTAAAAAAATACCTGTGGCAGACATATCATGATGACATCATTCCTGTCAACATTAAAATAGTAGTAGAGAAACACTGATGAAAACACTTCCGACACTGGAGAAGAGAGGAGAAATCTTGTTTTCATTCTTACTCTATAATTTAAAGTCACGGGTATAACAAGCGAGCCTTTAAAAACTGTTTTCCGAATTAAAAAATGGAGCAAATTCATTCTTTGTTGTTGAATTCAATATACTTAGAAGTAATTTATCACTTTGGTAAAGAATAATGTCCTACTATGCCTTAATATCTGACACGATGGAGATATTCTTGCTATCTACACTGTGATCACCAGATACCAGACACTTCAAAAATGTTGCCAAAAGCTGTTAGGCATACTGATTGTATGAAAGGTGTTTGGGTAATGTGGACTCCTTTCAGACATTTGTGATTTTTCTGCCTTAATTGAAAGTTTTGACAGGTTTGTAAAAGCATAAATGTCAGGTTATTAGTAGAAACTCTAAAATAACCTGGGAAATAAATACATATACTGGTTTCAACCACTTTGGCTAAAGCTGAATGTCTCTAAAAATTGAATCAGCTGATGCTCTAATATGTTAAATATATCAAGAGACAGGATGTTTCCTGATCACATCCAGATAATTTTTTTAATTAATAGATTTATTTTCTTAATAAATTTTACAGATAAATTGAACAAATAATACAGAGAGCTCCCTCTCCTTGCAACAGTTTCCCCTATTTGCCATTTGTATGCTATATTTGTTAAAATTGATGTACAATAAGGTTGTTCATGTTTAATGTTGACTATGAAATTCTCCGCAAATAAAAGTATACCCCACAAGTACACAGGAGAGACCCCTTCTGCAGTTCTATTCATAGAGGCACAAGCAAAGGAACTATTGAGAGATAAGAGTCTCATGATAGCAGAAAAGTATTGATCCATGATCTTGGGAAAGCTGTCCACATCTAGGATGCTGTCTGCTTTTAGGGAGAAACTTTCCTGGTTAGCTTTACCTTAAGGTCTCCAACAAGTGTATAGATTGAAGAGTCTGGAGGGGCCCATTTCAGCTGTGAGATTGTAAACCCAAGGCTCAAGGTGCTGAAGTTTTGCTGCAGTGTAAGTGGCAGGGGCAGTCTTTCCCTGATGATGTTTCCAGAAGAGTCAGTTTCTAGGCTTTAGATCATGTAGGGTTTGTCCTCAGTGGACCATGGAAAGCTTTCTTTACCTGGTGAAAATAGACTTGGGCATAATGCATTAAAGCCTGGCAGCACTTAGTCATATCAGAGCTTAGGAGGAGAAGATGTGTGAGGTTTTATTATTAGGAGCATAGGCCTTCAGTGACTATTGCATAAGGGATCAACTTAACGTTTTGCACATGGAAGTGGATCTGTCATCAATCCGCAGTACTTTAGACCAAGGAAATCCAGTCAATTCAGTTAGCTTTGCCTGATGTGATTGTACCTATGATACCTTATCTCATTGTTTTACAACTTGTCTGATGAAACAAGTACCTCTATCACTAGCAATCTTTCCAGGTATGTCCCATGAGAGAAACATGTTTCCTAATAACCTTTTGTCTACTGTTACAGCACGAGACTTTTTGAATGGAAAAGCTTCTATACAATCAGAAAACATGCATTGAAAATGGCAATGGAATGAAATCCCTCTAAAAATGTTTCAGTGGCCTATAATGTAGCAGAAATGTACATGAAGTTTTGATTGCCTTCCCAGGATTGTAGATTTGACAAACCAAACATTGGACATAAACTATTTTAGCAATTTAGAACATGCCAATATTCTATTTGGATCATCTTACCTCTTCCATGATGGGCCTTGGAGTGTAGAGCTTTTAGTAATGGAAGCTTTAAGGATTCAGGAAGGACCAGGCATCTGTCCAGGCTCCATGAGTCCATCCTTAACATTAGATTTATATCTTCCTTTTGTTTTTCATTTCAAGTTTTAAAGCTTGTATATAAGATTACTTTATTCCTGCATCTTCTCAATTGTTTCTTCCTTGTATTTGCCCTTTTCCTACTTGGCGAGATTTGGCTTTCTGTTCAAGAATCTTTTTGCGGTCTATGTCCAGTTTTAGCCTAGTGATAACCACCTTGCTGGGGTGAATGCCTACATGGACAGTTGTGCCATTAGCCTTTTCCCACTGCACCCGTTCGATGTAGAGGACATATTTCTTCCTGTAAACCTGGACTACTCTGCCAATTGGCTAACCTTTATAGTGTCCTCGTACAACCTGAACTTCATCATCCTTTTGGATGGGCATGGATCACACGTTGTACTTCTGTCTCAGCTCTTTGGAAAGAGGGGAAGACATAGTCTTCCTGTAAATGTGGGAAGGTGCATTGAAATGCCTTTTGTGGTTCTTGTTTCGGTTGGAAGTCGCAAAGGGATTGAACTTCATTTTGGCGATTGCTGCTTCAGTGATAGCTGCAAAATGGAAGATTTATGTCTTCTTAAATATCAGTTTTGTTTCTCCAATTCACGTGCATAGCACTGTTTATTAGATGGGTTATCATAGGTAAATTTGACTTGGATCATGGAATTCATCTAAACTACATATCAAAACAATTTCAGTACTGGCTGACTTAGCTTGAAGATCTGGCAGAGTAGTTCCTTGGTATTCAATTAATTTTTATCCTAATTGGATTATCAGTTTCATAAGCCAGTCAGTGTGTTCATTAGAGTGCTGGTAATTCATACCCAGTCTAAACGATATGATCCTAAAGACATCAGAAACTTCGCATTCAAGAGTGCTTGTCAGGGTCCTTTCCATCCTTTTCATGAATCTCCTTGAAGGCATGATACTCTAGGATTTTACTTGCTTATAAACTTAACATAGCAAATAATCCTGTTTCTCTGTCTTTTGGATGCTGCAGGGGCCCTCTGTAGCATCCCAAAGTTAGTTTGAGGTAACAACAAAAAAAGACAATTTGAAATTTGATTTTGGGAAGGCTGTCAAATATGTCAAAGGCTTAAAATAATCAAAATAGGATCACAAGGCATTGTAAGATAATATTCATTTAGCCAAAGTGATAAAAGGGGTTAGAAAGCAAAAACCTTTCTTCTTTGATAGAGGGGAGACTCAGTTTTCCAATCAACAGATCTGAGAAAGACAGCATGAGACAGAATCTGTCTCCTTCTCTCCTCTGTCTCTCTTTTGCAGTTTACTCAAAAGGTGAACAAAAGTCTTTTACTACCTCTTATTAATAATACTACATGAAAATTCTTGTTCAAAAGGGAAAACCAAATTTTACTTTTGCATAGTGTATTATCAACACTAAGCTAATAAAACCTTATAAACAGATCTGTCCAATTTGTCATCTTTTGACCACAGAAAATTTCCATAAACTTTTTATAATCTCTTACAATTTTTTTATTCTTTCCAACTTTATTCATTTATCTTTCTTTTTTATTCCTTCAATTTGAAACAATCTTCAGCTTCTAGACAAAATTATTTTTTTTCTCAACACACATTTTCATGCCTTTACAACTTTCCTTACCGAAAAATACTTTGCTTTTCTTTAGACACTATATACAAAATTGTTTTTTATATCTATTAGTTTCAATTACATATATTAACTACAGTTTTAACTACTAGTAACCCTAATTTCTAGTGAAAGCCTAGGAAGTAGTTTTGAACTGTTCTATATCAATAATTGTAGATGAAAACTATTTCATAACTTTTTAGATAGGTTTTCTCAAGTTTATTAATAGATGTAAATATATGTAGCTTTTCTATACCATCTAAAAATAAGATGCCAAAATATATAAACTTAAATTTATGTTTACTAATTAATGTTTCAGTATTTTAACTTACTTAGAAATGATTCAGACATTTATGCTTATTACTTAATTCAATATAGCATAACTTTAAGATTTTAAATTATGGAAAAGAACTTTGAAACAGGTACTCTCCTGCCAATGACACAGGTACTCTCCTGCTAATATTTTCCTCAGTTGTTCTGAGTCTCAAGTAGTCACATCGTATCCAGGATGGCTTTGAAGGGCAGGGCCTATTTGGGTCTTGAATTTACATACCAAATGTAGAGCTCAAGACAGAAGACACCTGTGAAGATGATGCCTGGGAGATCCAAACCCTTTCAGCATGGCTAGGAGACAAAGCTGGGCCAAGGAAGAAGGGGCTCATCTTGGGCTTGACTCTGCCTAGTAATTGGTGGTCTGGCCACTGATAACATGTCCTCAGGCCTCACTATGGCCACCTATCCAGACCCCAGAATCCAGAGGCTCAAAACCAAGAACAAAATATTACAGACAAATTAAGAAAGTATATAAAGTATTATAGAAGCAGCAGTTTTATGCCCTTAAAAACATGTAGAGATAGCATAAACCTATTTGACCAGTAGATCTAGCCAAAAATATCTGAATTATATTTAACTAACAATTCTGAAGCCATTTCTATCTTATCAACAATTTTAAAGCTAGCTTTATTTGCCAAATATTATACACATAATACATATCAACATACAGACACATGGAGAAGCAGAGCTTATAGCTTTTACAAGTAATTCTCATTTGCTGGCTTTCAAATAGTTTTTATTTCCCTATTCAGACTTAATCTTCCAATTACCTGTTTCATTGCCCTAAGCAATTGTTAGCTAGGCAGCCCTAAATTTGCATTTCTAGGGATGACTGTTAGGTGAAACAAGGTAGAAAATTTATATCTGAAAAGCTCGGAGCTGAGACTTTAGGCTTAAAGGAAAAAGATTGTACATAAAGGCATAGTTAAGACAAGATGACCAAGAAAAGTGCCATAAAGGTAATACTTGTTATGTAAATTTAAAATAATGTTAAGAGTTTTTGGGGTTGGGAGGTGGTACCACACACTTTTAAATAACTAGATCTCACAAGAACTTACTATCATGAGAACAACACCAAGGGGAGCAATCTGCCCCTGTGATCCAATCACCTCCAACATTGGGGATTACAACATTGGGACCTCACTCCAACATTGGGGATTACAATTTAACATGAGCTTTGGGTGGGGACACAGATCCAAACCACATAATTCCTCCCCTGACCTTTCCAAATTTTATATCCTCACATTGCAAAATACAATCATGCCTTCCCAACAGTCCCCCAAAGTCTTAACTAATTCCAGCATTAACTCAAAAGTCCAAAGTATCATCTGAGACAAGGCTAGTCCCTTCCACCTATGAGCCTGTAAAATAAAAAAAACAAGTTAGTTGCTTCCAAGATACAATGCAAGTATGGGCATTGGGTAAATACTCCTGTTCCAAAAGGAAGGAATCCACCAAAAGAAAGGGGCTACAGGCCCCACTTGAAGTCTGAAACCCAGGAAGGAAGTTATTAAACCTTAAAGCTCCAAAATAATCTTGTTTGACTCCATGTCCCAATTTCAAGACACACCAGTGTGAGAGGTGGGCTCCCAAGTCCTTGGACAGCTCTGCTCCTTTGACTTTGCAGGGATCAGCCCCTGCAGCTGCTCTCACAGGCTGTGGTTGAGTGCTTGCAGCTTTTCCAGGTACATGGTGCAAGCTGTTGGTGGCTCTACCATTTCAGGATCTGGAGGATGGTGGCCCTTTTCTCACAACTCCACTAGGCAGTGTCCCAGTGGGGACTCTATAGGGGGGTTCAACCCCACATTTCCCCTCTGCACTGCCCTAGTAGAGGTTCTCTGAGAGGGCTCTGCTCCTGCAGTAGGCTTCTGCCTGGACATCCAGGGTTTTCCATACATCCTCTGCAATCCATCCAGGTGGAGGCTTTTGAGCCTCAACTCTTGCGTTCTTTGCACCCACAGGCTTAACATTATGTAGAAGCTACCAAAGCTTAGAGCTTGCACCCTCTGAAGCAGTGGCCGAAGCTGTACCTGGACCCCTTTTAGCCATGGCTGGAGCTGGAGTGGCTGGGATGCAAGGAGCAGTGTCCAGAGGCTGTGCAGGGCAGCAGGGGCTGGGCCTGGTGCAGGAAACCATTCAGTCCTTCTAGCACTTCAAGCCTACGATGGGAGGGTGATATGGTTTGGCTCTGTGTCCTCAACCAGATCTCATCTTGAATGGTACTGCCACAATTCCCACATACTGTGAGAGGGACCTGATGGGAGATAATTGAATCGGGGGGCAGTTTCCCCCATACTGTTCTTGTGGTAGTGAATAAGTCTCAGGAGATCTGATGGTTTCATAAGGGTAAACCTGTTTCTCTTGGCTCTTATTCTCTCTCTTGCTGCTGCCATGTGAGATGTGCCTTTCACCTTCTGCCATGATTGCGAGGCCTCCTCAGCCACATAGAACTATAAGTCCAATAAACCTGTTTCTTTTGTAAACTGCCAAGTCTCTATGTCTTTATCAGCAGCATGAAAATGGATGAATAAAGAGAGGCTGACTTGAAGGTCTCTGAAGTGCCTTAGAGGTCTTTTTGCCATTGTCTAGGTTATCAGCACTTGCCTTCCTTTTAGTTGTGCAAATTTCTGAAGCCTGCTTGTATTCCTCCCCTGAAAATGGGCTTTTCTTTTCTACAACATGGCCAGGTTGTAAATTTTCCAAACTTTTATGCTCTGCTTCCCTTTTAAATATAAGTTCCAGTTTCAGGTTATTTCTTTCCTCACATATATGAGCATAGGTTGTTTAGAAGCAGCCAGATCATATCTTGATTGCTTTGCTGCATAGAAATTTCTTCCATCAGATACACTAAATCATGTTTCTCAAGTTCAAAGTTCCACAGATCCCTAGAGCAGGGACACAATGCAGCCAGGCTCTTTGCTAAAGCATAGCAAAAGTGATCTTTATTCCAGTTCCCAATAAGTTTCCCATTTCCATCTGAGATCTCCTCAGCTTTGACTTTATTGTCTGTTTCACTATCAAATTTTTGGTCCCAACAATTTAGCAAGTCTCTAGGATGTTCAAAATGTTCCTTAATCTTCCTTTCTTTTTCTGAGCCCTTCATGCTCTTTCAATCTCTGTTTTCCAAAGCTGCTTTCAGGTTTTCAGGTATATTTATAGTAATACCCCACTTCTGGTACCAATTTTCTGTATTAGTTCTTACACTGTTATAAAGAAATACCCAAGACTGGGTGATTCATTAAGAAGAAAGAGGCTTAATTGGCTCACAGTTCCACAGGCTGTACAGGAAGCATGATATTGACATCTGCTCAGCTTCTGGGGAGGCCTCAGAACACTCAGAAGGCAAAGGGGAAGCAGGCATGTCTTCTTAAATGGCCAGAGCAGGAGCAAGAGGTGGGGTGGTGGGATTCCATACAGATCTCATGAAAACTCACTCATTATCATGAGAACAGCACCAAGGGAGAAATCTGACCCCATGATCCAATCACTGCTCATCAGGCCCCACCTCCAACATTGGGGATTACAATTTGACATGAGATTTGGGTGGGGACACAGATGCAGACCATATCACCAGTCGACTGCCAGAAAGATGTATTTTAGAGACATGATTTTGTTCAATAGGTGGTCTTTTTAACTTAGGTACCGTTTCTTGGTTAAAATTACTGAGTTCAGGGTGGAGCCCATTAAATAGGGCAAAGAAAGCATTCTCTGTGTCTGGACTCAGCGTGGATACCTCTGAAAAAGAGGCAAGCCTACTTTACCCGAGGGCCTACCTTTTATAAACACTTTATCCAGGATAGCTTTCTTTTTGCTTTTGGGGTGGGATAGTAACTAAGCCAAAAGGTTAGCAGATTTAACTTTTCTTATCAATTAGTCACTTAAACTTTTTGTTTGTCTTTTAGAATGATTCTTTTAAAAGAGGCAATAAAAAAATTGACATCTTTTTAGAAGCTTCTGCAGATCAACAGGCATTGCTGGATGAGACTAATTTGGGAGCCCTCATTTTCAAATGCACTTCTTAAAGTGCAGTGTTGTTTATTTGAATGTCCTACTATAGTTTTGTTTGTTTGTTTGTTTGAGACAATCTAGCTTTGTCGCCCAGGCTGGAATGCAGTGGTGCAATCTTGGCTCACTGCAACCTCTGCCTCCCAGGTTCAAGTGATTCTCCTGCCTCAGCCTCCCGAGTAGCGAGGATTACAGGCGCCCACCATCATGCCCAACTAATTTTTGTATTTTTGGAATAGACAGGGTTTCACCATGTTGGTCAGGCTGGTTTCTAACTCCTGACTTCAGGTGATCTGTCCGCCTCAGCCTCCCAAAGTGCTGGGATTACAGGTGTGAGCCACCGCAGCTGGCCCCTACTGTAGATTTTAATTGTCTTTAATAATATTTCACCATGTCTACATGCCCTATTTGCTGTTTGTAGGGCCTAATACTTATACATATATAGATAGGCAAAGCCAGAAGGTAGAGTACTCAGTTCTTCAGAAATTAAGGATTCCATTTTTACATTGAATCTTGGCTTTGGCTACGAGATCCCCATAATCAACTTAGCCAATGATTTTTCCTACCTAAGCATGCAAGAAAGAGAAACAAAGGGGATGGAACACACAAAATCGCTACAAATTTTCGAAAGCTGGAGTTTGCGCCCCCTGCAGTGCTGCCATGTACTGCCAGTTTCTGCCTGACCCAGTCAGACGTCTGAGGCCTCTATCTAACTGGATTCAAGCCAGTTAATCATCAGATCCAGTCTGATCCTGGACCCAGTCCAGTTTGTTATGACTTCTGAACCCAGTTGGAATTAAAATTTTGCTCAAACTTGGATAGCTCAAAACACAAATCTGCGAAGCTTACCCAGCATCCCCAACAGCTGTGAGACACAATACTCACAGTGGGCCCCGTGGGGATCCTGTTTGGTTATTCGATGCTCCTAGGTGTCACTGGACATTCTACTTTGGATCCCACTTCTGATGCCATCTGTTAAAATAAAAACTTGAGACAAATCAAATTTACTAGTGCTTAATACAGCAAAGAACGATTTGTGAATCAGGCAGCCCCCCCAAACCAGAATAGGTTCAGAGATACTCCGACACTGCTGCATGTTTGAAGAGGATTTACAGGCAGAAAATTAAAGAGAGGTACAGAAAATGGAAGCAAGGTACAGAAACAGCTGGATTGGTTACAGCTCGGCATTTGCCTTATTTGAACATGGTGTGGCTGCCTGTGAGTGGTTGAAGTATGGCAGTGATTGGCTGAGACTCAGCTACTTGTCACAAGTGTAGGTTACAGTCTGTTTGCATGTCCAGTTAGGTTACAGTTTACTATGTACAGAAAAACTTTTAGGCTGAACTTACAAAGAGGCGACTTTAGGCTAAACTTAAATTTAATAGTTCCTTAGCCTTTCCCTTCTCCCCTTATGTGAGACAAGAAGACTAAAGGGAACGGAATGCATTCAGTTGTCTTTTTCGTAGGTTAGACAAGGCTCTAACAAGATAGTTTACCCTGAGGACCGGTCCCTGCCGTGAAGAAGAGAAAGCTCAGGTGTATTTCATAATGGCAACCTTTCTCCATGGCCTATTTCAAAATGGTTACTTTTCCTCTCCTACTGCCACAAACACAAAGGAGTTTTTCTGTGAAATTCAGTGTGAGAACCTGTTCAGACTCCTGTAGGTAAAATTTATGAAAGTATGAGGATACCTTAAGAGTGGGCCCCCAGGCTGAGCACAGTGGCTCACGCCTGTAATCCCAGCACTTTGGGAGGTCAAGGCAGGCGGATCACCTGAGGTCGGGAGTTCGAGACCAGCCTGACCAACATGGAGAAACCCTGTCTCTATTAAAAAAATACAAAATTAGCCGGGCATGGTGGCTCATGCCTGTAATCCCAGCTACTCAGGAAGGCTGAGGCAGGAGAATCGCTTGAACCTGGGAGGTGGAGGTTGCAGTGAGCCGAGATTGAGCCGTTGCACTCCAGCCTGGGCAACAAGAGTGAAACTCCGACTCAAAAAAAAAAAAAAAAAAAAAAAAAAAAAAGGAGTGGGCCCCCAGTGGTCTCTAACTCTTAGGCAAGTCCACACTCAGCCTCTAGCAATTTGTGCCTGCCAGCTGCTGGCTGCAGCAGTAACTTTTGTACCTTGTAAACTGTGGCTCTCTGTATTCATGTCTGTCCCCAGCTTTTGAGGTGGTGATTTGCCCTGTGACCTCATTTCTCTGGTTATTCTAAGAAGTGTTGTTGATTTTCAGTTTGTTCAGTTTTTTCTTGTTGTGAGGTTGACAGCAAGTACTGCAAGTTCTTTGCATGTCAGAGTAAAAACCAGAATTTGTGAATCCAAATGGGTTTTTTGTTTGTTTGTCCTTGTTTTGTTTTTGCCTTTAACTGTCCTCTTGTTGTATCATGTTCTTTTATTCACATTCTTTGGATTTTTTTTCTTTCTTTCTAATTATCTCTCTTTTTAGTTTTTCTACCTTTTATTTTATAATGATCCCAGGAGGATTTTTTGGTACTTATTCCCTTTGCTGTCTAGCACCTACTATTTATTTGGTTTATGTACATTTTCTAAATTTTTCCTCTATATTTTTAGTTTCATAAATTCTTAATAAGTTATTTAATGAATTGATTTAGATATTTTTTTTTGAGATGGAGTTTCGCTCTTGTTGCCCAGGCTGGAGGGCAATGGCCTGATTTCCGCTCACTGCAACCTCTGCCTCCTGGGTTCAAGCAATTCTCCTGCCTCAGCCTCCCAAGTAGCTGGGATTACAGGCATGCACCACCATGTCTGGCTAATTTGGTATTTTTAGTAGAGATGGGGTTTCACCATGTCGGCCAGGCTGGTCTTGAACTCCTGACCTCATGATCCGCTCTCCTTGGCTTCCTAAAGCACTGGGATTACAGGCATGAGCCACCGCGCCTAGCTTATTTATTTATTTTTAATGTATAAAACTATATATATTTGTTATGTACAGTGTGTTGTTTTGAAATATGTATACATTGTAGAATGACTAAATTGAGCTAAGTAATGTACGCATTACTTCGTGTAATTATTTTGTGATGAGAACATTTAAAATCTCTTAGCAATTTTCAAGAATTTAATACATTGTTATTAATTATAGTCATATAATAAGTTATACAATAAACTATAGTTATACAATATATCTCTTGAGCTTATTTCTCCTATTAACTGAAATTTTGCATCTTTTGACCAACATCTCCTGAACCTCTCCCTCTCCACAGCCCCTGCCAACCACCATTCGACTCTCTACTTCTATGAGATGAACTTTTTTAGATTCCATATATTAGTGAGATTACTGGCATTTGTCTTTCTGTGCTTGACTTATTTCACTTAACATAATATCCATATGATTGCAAATGACAGGATTTACTTCTTTTTATGGTTAATAGTACTGAATTGTGCATATAAACCACATTTTCTTTACACATCTGTTGATGGACACTTGGGTTGATTCTACATCTTGGCTATTGTGAATAACACTGCAGTGAACATGGGAGTGCAGTTATCTCTCCAACACACTGCTTTCATTTTCTTTGAACACATATCCGGTAGAATTGCTGAATATGGTAGTTGTATTGTTAAGTTTTTGAGAAACCTCCATACTATTTTCCATAATGGCTGTAGCAATTTCCATTCTCACCAGCAGTGTGCACGTGTTCTCTTTTCTTCACATCCTCTTCAATTCTTGTTATCTTTGATCTTTTTGGTAATAACCATTCTAACAGATGTGAAGTGATACCTCATTGTGTTTTTAATTTGCGTCTCTCTGATGATTAGTGATGTTGAGCAATTTTTTTATTAATTTTTTTATTGAGACAGAATCTCACTCTGTTGGCCAGGCTGGAGTGCAGTGACACAACCTTGGCTCACTGCAGCCTCCATCTCCCAGGCTCAAGCAATTCTTCTGTCTCAGCCTCCAAGTAGCTGGGATTACAGGCACCCATCACCACACCCGGCTAATTTTTCTATTTTTAGTAGAGACGGAGTTTCACCATGTTGGCCAGGCTGGTCTTGAACTCCTGGCCTCAGGTAATCCTCTCGCCTTGACCTCCCAAAGTGCTGGGATTATAAGCATGAGCCACCACGCCCGGCAGAGCAATTTTTTATATACTTTTTGGCTCTTTGTATGTCTTCTTTTGAGAAATGTCTATTCAGGTTCCTTGCCTATATTTTAATCAGGTTATTTGATTTCTTACTATTGAGTTGTTTGGCGTCCTTATATAGTTTGGATATTAACCTCTTGTCAGGTGCATAGTTTGCATATATTTTCTCCCGTTCTTTAGGTGGTCTCTTCACTCTGTTGATTGTTTCCTCTACTCTGCAGAAACTTGTTAGTTTGTTGCAATCCCATTTGTCTATTTTTGATTTTGTTGCTGATGTTCTTGGGGTCGTATCCAAAAATGAACCAGGCCAATGTCATGGAGCTTTTCCCCTATGTTTTCTTCTAGCTTTATAGTTTCAGGTTTTATGTCAGTCTTTAATCCATTTTCAGTTGATTTTTAAAAATCTGGTGTGAGAAAGGGTCTAATTTTATTCCTCTGCATATGGATGTCCAGTTGCCCCAACATGATTTATGGAAGAGACTGTCCTTCCCCTATTGTGTGTTTTTGGCATTTTTGTTGAAACTTAATTGCCCATAAATGTGTGTATTTATTTCTGGGCTCTCTATTCTGTTCCATTGGTCTATGTGTCTGTTTTTATGCCAGTACCATGCTGTTTTGATTATTATATGTTTGTAGCAGATTATGAAGTCAGTCAGTTTGATCCCTCCAGCTTTGTTCTTTTTGCTCAAGAACCTAGATTGCTTTGGCTATTCAGGGTCATTTATGGTTCTATACAAATTTCAGGATTGTTTTATCTATTTCTGTGAAAAAATGTTATTGGAATTTTGATGGGGAGTGCATTGAATGTGTAGATTGCTTTGGGTGATACAGACATTTTAACAATATTAATTCTGTCAATCCATGAACACAGGATTTTCATTTATTTGTGTCTTCTTAATTTCCCTCATCATTGTATTACAGTTTTCAGTTTAGAAGTCTTTCATCTCTTTGGTTAAATTTATTCCTAAGTATTTTATTTTATTTTATTTTGTAGGTATTACATATTGTAAATGGGATTGTTTTCTTTTTTGGGTAATTTGTTGTTAGTGTATAGAAATGCTCCTGATTTTTGTATATTTATTTCATTTCATGTGTGTTTACTGAATTTGCGTATTAGTTCTAACAGTTTTTTGATGGAATTTTAGGGTTTTCTTTTTCGTTTTTGTTTTGTTTTGTTTTTTGAGACAGAGACTCACTCTGTCGCCCAGGCTGGAGTGCAGTGGTGCGATCTTGGCTCACTGCAATCTCTGCCTTCTGGGTTCAAGCGATTCTCCTGCCTCAGCTTCTCGAGTAGCTGGGATTACAGGCACCGCCACCATGCCCAGCTAATTTTTTGTATTTTTAGTAGATATGGGGTTTCCCCATCTTGCCCAGGCTGGTTTCAAACTCCCAAGCTCAGGCAACCTGCCCGCCTCAGCCTCCCAAATTGCTGGGATTACAGGCATGAGCCACCGTGCCCTGCCAGGATTTTCAATATATAAGATCATGTTGTCTGCAAACAGGGACAATTTAACTTATTTTTTTTAAGCATCCCCACAATTTGGATGCTTTCCATTTCTTTCTCTTGTCTAGTTGCTTTGGTTTGGACTTCCAGTACTATGTTGAATAAAAGTAGTGAGCCTGCCCATGCTTGTTTGGTTTCTGAGGAAAAGCCTTCAATTTTTTTTTACCATGAGTACAGGCATACCTCATCTTGTCGCACTTCACTTTATTGCACTTTGCAGATATTGCATTTTTTTACAAATTGGAGGTTTGTGGCATCGAGCAAATCTACTGGTGCCATTTTTTTCCCACAGCCTGTGCTTGCTTTCTCAGTGTTTTTAGCAATAAAGTATTTTTAAGTTAAGGTATGTACATTTTTTAGACATAATGCTGTTGCATACTTAATATACTATAGTATAAACATAACTCTTGTAGGCACTGGGAAGCAAAAAAATTCATGTGACTCTATTGCAAAATTAGCTTTATTGCAGTGATCTGGAACTGAATACACAATATCTCTAAGGTATGCCTTTATGATGTTAGTTGTGGATTAGTCATCTATGGCTTTTATTGTGTTGAGGTACACTTCTTCTGTACCTAATTTGTCAAGAGTTTTTATCATGAAAGAATATTGAATTTTGTTAAATGCTTTTTCTGCATCTATTGAGATGATCATATGGTTTTTATCCTTCATTCTCTTAATATGGTGAATCACACTTATAGATTTGTGTACGTTGAACCATTCTTGCATCCCTGGGATAAAGACAAATAAAATCAGAAACGAAAGAGGAGACATTACAACAGATACCACAGAAATACAAAGGATCATAAGAGACTACTGTGAAGAATTAAATGCCAACAAATTGGACAACCTAGAAGAAATGGATACGTTACTAGACACGTACAGCCTACTAAGACTGAATCACGAAGAACCAGAACATCTGAATAGATCAATAATGAGAAAGGAGATTTGAATCAGTAATGAAACATCTCTCATCAAAGAAAAGCCCAAGACCTGATGGCTTCACTGCTGAATCTTACCGAACAATTGTAGAACTAATACCCATCCTTCTCAAACCCTTCCTAAAACATTGAAGAAGAGAGAATACTTTCAAACTCATTTCACAAGGCTAGTTTACCCTGATACTAAGTCAGACAAGGACACTACAAGAAAAGAAAATTACAGACCAATATCCCTGATGATCATAGATGCAAAAATCCTCAACAGAATACTAGCAAACCAAATTCAACAGCACATTAAAAGAATTATTCACCATGATCAAGTGGGATTTTCCTACAGATAGAAAGTAAAAAGTAGTGAGTTTAATTTTTAGATAATTTATTTTGTTTCTAAAGGATCTTTCTAAAATATAGAAAAAAATGAAAAGACAGGCATTGATATTCTGATTTTATTATGAAAATTTTCTAATGAAACATTTATAAGAATATTGCTATTCAAATATCCCTTCCCACTTCCCACTGGCAACTGTGCCATCGGTATCTTTGTCAACTTGTTTCTCACCAGTGCAGGGCATCATGGACACTTAAGGATACAAGGTAAAAAGATTGCAAAGAAAAAACTGCAAATTCCATGAAAGGTTCAGGATTTAATGGAATTGACGGAAATGACGTGGCAGGCTCTTAGGTAAAGCTGTTACTGATTAAAGATCTGGCGGAAATAGACCTGATAATTTTAGAAGAGAAAATGACAAGACTGATGGCCAGGAGCTTCAGAAGAGAAAAGACTTGCATACTGAAGGATTAAGGAAGGCTTCAGGAATGCATTGAAGAGCCTCTTGATCATCTGCAACACAATGGAAGTCAAAGTTGAATGAATACCACAATGCAGTTTTTCAGTCTGGCACATATTAACCATGCTTATGCCCTGTGACCCATCCATTTGGCTCCTATGTCTGTTGTAGCTTGTAGTATTGTCAGAGGCGTGTGAACCAGAGCAACTCCATCTTAAACAGGAGCTGGGTAAAACGAGGCTGAAACCTACTGGGCTGCATTCCCAGACAGTTAAGGCATTCTAAGTCACAGGATGAGATAGGAGGTCAGCACAAAATACGGGTCATAAAGACCTTGCTGATAAAACAGGTTGCAGTGAAGGAGCCGGCCAAAACCCACCAAAACCAAAATGGCCACGAGAGTGGCCTCTGGTCGTCCTCACTGCTAGGTTCCCACCAGCGCCATGACAATTTACAAATGCCATGGCAACGTCAGGAAGTTACCCTATATGGTTTAAAAAGGGAGGCATGAATAATCCACCCCTTGTTTAGCATGTCATCAAGAAATAACCATAAAAATGGGCAACTCGCAGCCCTCAGGGCTGCTCTGTCTATGGAGTAGCCATTCTTCATTCCTTTACTTTCTTAATAAACTTGCTTTCACTTTGCACTGTGGACTCACCCTGAATTCTTTCTTGCGCAAGATCCAAGAACCCTCTCTTGGGGTCCAGATCGGGACCACTTTCCTGTAACAGTAATGGCCCCAGTTCTCTACCCGCTTTTGGTTGTGGAGGCAAGGACCAGCCAAAGGAGAACAAACAGGCTGTTTATTTACAGCTTGTGATAACAAGGAATTCAGCTCCACCACCTGCATTCAGCAGGGGCTCAGAGGTGGAGAGCAGGAAAGCTGTAGAGTGAAGAAAGGAAAACTTCTAGGGTGTCCTGATTGGAGGTTGCCAGTGTGGGGGTGGCTCATGCAAAGTGAGCATCGCATGCCAGTGGTTTGGCGAACATATTTGGCTTTCTCTAGTTAGTCCTAATTTGGAAGCAGGGGCAAAATATACAGAAACTGGGTGTCGTGGACCTGGAAGGAAACTGAGGCACAGCTTAAGCCACAAAGAATTTTTCTGAGCCACATTTGAGTGACTGTAGCCCAGGAAATGCTTCCCAGTTACCTTGGGAAGTGCTTCAGAGGACAAGGGAGGATTCCAAGCTTTTAAAGAAAAAAGGATGAATCAGGAGAGGGGGCAATTGCAAAAGTCGTTTTTCAACTCTTACAATGGGTTTGATTGCAGTCAAAGCAGCCCTGGAGCTGAGGGTTGGGTGTAACTGTAAGAAGCGCCCTTGGAGAGGGAGAGGGCCACCACAACAGATGCCTTGGCTCACCCCCGCTCAGCCAGGGGGTTGTAGTCTGGGATTGAACATTCTCCACTTAAGCCGCCAGAGGCTCAAGCCCAAGTGGCCTCCCAGCTCCAGCCTAGGCCCCTTGACTAACATGTCGCAGGCTTCCCTGGTCAGGCTGTTCACCAGGTCCCAGGGTTCCCGGCCAGTCGGTCCAGAGAGCCTGGCCTTCCTTCCCCAGCTGCTGCTGCGGAGGCCGTGGTAAGCGCTATGCTGTCACACTTGGCCTGGCCTCTGGCTCTCATCCGTTTGTGTGCTGTCTCTTGATGCTTCCAGGCTTGTGTTATTAGGGAGTGTTTCAGTAACCCTGTACTCCAACCCTGCTCACCCCCAGACTCTGGTTTCAGATATTCAGCTTCACTGGATTTACGAGTGGGCCTGCAGGCTGGCGGTCCTGGCCGGGCTGAGCAGAAGCTTGTTTTGAGCTTGTTTTGGTCTCACTGATGACTTACCGTATGGACAGGCAATCTGCTGAAGAAGAAACCCAAAGCAGCTAACGTTCAAACGGAGCCGCAGGCTGCTGGCTAACCTGGCCTGGGCCGGGGCAACTCAGCCGTGGTGCCCCAAAGCTCTTCATCCTCCAGCTACCCAGCTCAGCTGTGTTTCTCCATGAGAAAGGACGGGAAGCCTGTGTGCACGCCCGCTGTGGGCCTTGGCCGGCGTGTTTGCTAACATGCCAGCCGTCGAAGCAGGACACATGGCTGAGCCCAGGTCTCCAGGGGGAGGGACCGCACAGCTGCCCGGCAGAGTGCACACAGGGGTCTCCACCGCACTCTACCCAGTGACTTTGTGATTTTCCGGGTGTCGCCACATGATTTGCTTTGTTCAGGAAAGTGAAAATGGTTGGATATCAAGAGAAAACTGCTTCTTGGATGGTTTGACAATTGCCATGTATGAAACACAGCATTACTACTTTTATTTATTTATTTATTTATTTATTTATTTATTTATTTATTTATTTATAAGAGACAGGGTCTTGCTCTGTCCCCCAGGCTGGAGTGCAGTGGCACCATCATAGCTCACTTCAGGCTCAATCTCCTGGCCTCCAGCCATCCTCCCACCTCAGCCTCCTGAGTAGCTGGGACTACAGGCACAAGTCACCATGCCCAGCTAATTTTATTTTATTTTATTTTTTGGTAGAGGCGGAGGTCTCACTATGCTGCTGGAGCTGGTCGTGAACTCTTGGCCTCAAGTGATCCTCCCACCTCAGCCTTCCAAGTCGCTGGGATGACAGGTGTGAACCACTGCATTTGGCCTGTTACTGCTTTTTAAACGAGATCTTAGTCCATGAGTCCAGAATTTATGAATTCATAGATAGAATATTTAAAACGAGGCCACTGGACTGCTTTTCTGCAGTTCACATATCTGTTTTATTTTCACAGTGCAGAGATAATTTGGAAGTAAATGTTTTTGTGGAAATTTTAAGTGTCATGGGTGGCTCTTCCATTCGTATAGTATTTAAGGATTTATTTTCAACATCCACAGGAAAACATTTATTCCTTTAATTAGGACTGGACTCAGTTTCCCAGTTAGGAGCCATTAAGTAGTAACAGTCTTGCTGGTGGGTTCCATTTCCCCCATATTTAAAGCCTGTGTAGTAACTGTCACTCTTTATTACTCTTAAAATGAATCATAAAGGAATGGAGTTTAGACTGTATTTAAGTTCAGCAGGTGTGCGCTTCTAGACTCCCGTGTGCGCTGCGTGCACAGAAACGGGTGCAGCCCAGCCTGGGGGAGACACCACAGCTGTGCCCGTCCTGCCACGACTGCCCTGAGATGCGCCCTTGCCTGGAGACCATCAAATCATCCAAGAAGCAGTTTTCTCTTGATATCCACTAAGACAAATGTTCTGCCCAAAACCTTTACCTCGTGTACACTTTATTAATGGAAAAAGTAGTTTTATGCAAGTAGAAATACTAAAAGAAACAGAAATAAACGGATAATACACGCAAGTATCACTTCCCTCTGTTTCTGAAATTGTTCTGTTTTATTGTAACTCTCTCCGTGGTTTGGTCGTGGCATATTTTAATGAATGCTTTTATTCGCGTCTTTTCCTGCGTCAGTCCCGGCATGGCCAGTGGGGATCCGTGTTTATTCCTTGAACTAGGACTTACTATTCCGCGCCCTTTTATGAAAGCGCTGGGCCAGGAACACAGTTCCAGGTTCACCCGGCTGAGCGCGCTGCCCTTGCGGAGGCCGCGGGTTAGCGGGAGGGGGGCGCAGATGCGGGGTGCGGGGGTGACGCCCGGCTGGGGAGGGGGACACGGAAGCCAAGAAGACTCGCGGGAAAGGCGGGTGGAGAGGGCAGAGACCCGAACCCAGAGCGCTGCGCTGCAGGGAGGGGACGGGCCGCGGGCAGGAGCGGGGCGCGGGGCGCGGGAGGCGGCAGGGACCGGGCTGGAGCCCGGGCGCAGGGGCGCGGGGTCGGGGCGAGGAGGGGCGCGGGGCAGGAGGGCGCGGCGGGGGAGAGCGCGGGGGACGCGAGGTCTGGGGGCGCACGGGGTCGGGGAGAGCGCGGGGCGGAGCTCCTTGGAGAAAGTGGTTCCAGCGGGGAAAGGGGAGTTTTGGACTCTGCGTGTGACGGTGACTTTTCTGCAGGGTTTTTGCCCCCACCCGTCACCGCAGAGGCCTGCAGCTGTAGCGGAGCGGAGCAGGGCGGCCGGGGCCTTCCCTTCTGCCGCCGCCAACGTCCCGGGTGCTGGGCCCCGCGGCCAGCGCCAACGCAGGAAAGACCGGGGCGCCAACGCCGCTTTGCTGGTTCCCTCCTGGGTTCTGTGATGATACATTCAGCCCAGCGTTTTTGCTGACCCTAAACCGGCCCACTCCCAAATTGTGGTTCTGGAGGATCCCGGGTCGCGGGCGCTGACACGTGCGGGTGGAGCCCGCTGAGACTGTGGAGGGGTGACGGCTGGCCACAGTTGAACTTTCAGGTTCTGGCGGGACGTCTGAATCCAAACATATAGGGGTGTGTGTGTGTGTGTGTGTGTGTGTGTATATAAAGTGCATATGTGTGTGTGTGTATATATATAGTGCATGTGTGTGTGTGTGTGTGTGTATATATATATATATAAAGTGCATATATGTATATACTTTTTATAAGTGGAAAACACAGTTCTCCTGGGATCCAAAATATTGTTTTCCTGTTTTCTTAACTGTTTGTCCTCACCACGCGGCCCAGTACCCACCCGGAGTGGGCAGCCGAAGGATGTTGTGGAATTCATAATATCCGGTGGTAGAAGTACATTAAACTACTTTGTAACAGGTGAAATAACAGGAGGGTTTCTCCCGGATTCAGGAAGGGTTCTGAAAGAAAAGGTGAAGGCATCCGTTTTTAAGTGTTAGAGTAACTCATTCATTGGAAGGAACTGTTCCCATACAGTTTGGGTTTTACAAGTAAAAGGACAGGTGCAGAGCTCGGCTCTGTCACTGGGTGCGTATGGTCTTGGGCAACTTATTGCACTTATTTTGAGCTTCAGTCCCTCATTTGGAAAATGAGAGTGATAATATCCGCCTCGGGGGATTGTGGAGGGATTAAATTAGGTAACCTGTGAGACCCTTTGCCAGGGCCTAGTGGGCAGCAGTGCTCAGGAAACGCAGTGTCCTTTGTTCTTTGGCCCAGACTATGGCCGATGAGACGTACCACCTGGGTCTAATGAGTGATTATGTGGCAACTTTATTCAATGCCATTCCTTATTAATGGGCACCTTGTGGCAAAAGTTAACATGGGAAAGAAATAGGCTGTTGTAGAATTGTTAAATAATATTGAAACCTTCTTTTGATACAGTCTGGTTGGGTACAGATATACCACAGAAAAATTGTTTTTAAACTAAGAAAATAGAGACAAATGAACATTTTTTATTTGAATATAGACCATTCCATTTAAGTTTTGCAGAGTTTAAATTTAGCAAGTTGAAACCACAGGTTTTTGAACAATGGCAATTTCAGAACTTCTGGTATGTGAGTTTTGTGTCTTTTCCTCATTATTTAAAGCTCCTCATTCTTTGAGAGTGTAGTAAAGTTCTATCATTTCAGACATCAGAATTAGCATTGAAAACATGGGATTCTTTATCTGGATTGATGAAAGTAATTTATTGTTTGCTGTGTCAAACACAGCATGCTATTTGTCACATTGTGGTTTGTGTATCTTTCTAGAAGCTTTCAACTTTGATCTGAGGCAAAGTACACTCAGTAGCACAGATGACAGAGCTAAAAAAAAAAAAAAGCCAGTGATGTGCATTGTCACTCAGAGACTCTAAATCAACAAGCATGGAGACGCGGAGTAAAAAGCCACCTGACTTTAAAGAGGCTTGTACGTTCTTGTGAGAGAGCAGACCTCTGCCTTTCTCGGGGGAGACAAAGGTGTAGAGCGATTTATGAGTTAAAGATCGGGTTCACTGTGTGCAACCCAAAGGCACCTCCTCAAGGCCAGAGCCTGGTCCTGGCCTGCAGCCTTAGGTAAACACTCGCATTTAAAAGACCGCGCAGAGCCGGGACTCCGTGCACATAAAGGCGGCTTTCTTCAACTGTCATCAGAGTGGATTTTAGAACGTGCTTTTAATACTTACAAGGTTGATGTTTGCCTTTTAAAAAATGCTATTTGAGATCGTTTCTTATTTAACTTTCACCTTGGCGTGCCTTTTACCTGATTCGTGGCAGCGTTAAGGAAACTCACCTTGTTGTGAGATCAGACAAAGATTTAGAGCAGTGTCGCACAGTGTGACCTTTTAGAAGTCAAGGCTCCACCAAATCCTTGTTTAAACACCGTAAAAACTGGATGAAAAGCAACAACATATAATCTTAATCTGAACATTTGGTCTCAGATTCTTTTTATTGCGCTTGGGTTGATTATTCTGTGAGATAAATTAATCGTGTCCCAGGATAGCTGTGTACTTCCATTTCCTTTCTGATTTTTAACAGACAATGGCCCAGATCAATAAAACGGCAAAATAAAGAGGTTTGGAATGAGGAACATTGTTGCATACCTAAGTCTGTACTCTTCTAGAGAATGATTCTCAAAAGAAATTCAGCTATGCTGTTAAATCTGCATTTGCAGAGTTAATTATTAGTAGGAATTTTAAACTTGTATATTAAAATGATCATTAATAGCTGCAGAATAATGCATGGTCCAGATGCAACAATTTATTCAAGCATTCCTTTAGTTATTGGCATTCTCTGTTTTGTGTTTTGTAGTAAGAATATTCCTGTCCATTTATATTTATGTACCTGGTGTATTTTAATTCAAGTATATTGAGCTAAAAAACACATACCCCTTTAAAATTTTACAATTCTATGAATTTTAGCAAGTGCAGACTGTCTTGTAACCACCATGGAAATCACAATGAAAAACATACCCATCATCACGAGTTTCCTGGTGCCCATGTGCAGCCAGCACCTCCCATCACGCCCAGGTGGGACTGGCTAGTTGTAGGAAAACAAGCTCAGGGTTCCCACGGATTCTACCTTACAGTGAGTGGTATGATTATTCCATTATATATTACAATGTAATAATAATGGAAATAAAGTGCACAAATGTGATGTGCTCAAATCAACCCAAAACCATCCCCATCCTAGGTCCATGGAAAAATTGTATTCCACGAAACTGGTCTCTGGTGCCAGAAAGACTGGGATCTGTTCTAAGCCTTCTCCGATGAAGTTGCCCTTTGGTAAGCTTTCCCGCGTAACACAAATTTATCCATACTCCGTGTCCACCGAAGAAGTCTATCCACATAGTTCCTGCAGAGACTGCCCTGTTATCAGTTTTCCAGCTGTATTCCTTCCAAGTCCTGGGCCATCCATTCATACTGATGGCTCCTGCTGTCTTGGGCCATATTCTCTTTGGGGCAAAATGAACAGCCAGGTGCTTTTCTGGGAGTTCTGCCCACTGCAAATACTTCCCTCAACACTGTCCTTCAGAGCCGTCTCTCCATTTCTGGGCAGATGTAGCATGTATTGTGCACAATCATCTGTAAATGAGGCCTGAACCTTTGATTTCTCAGTCAGCGGGTGGAGGGTGCTCGTCACCGGGCTGCAGGCCTGCTTGAGAGAGGATGTGACTGGCAGAGTGGCGCCACGGGGATCTGAGCCACGCGCCCATGTGGCTTGTGCTTTAGAATCATCTTGGGTGGAGCCAATATTCACCACTTCAACTCAAGGACAGAAAGCTGCTGTGGCTTTGTGGTCGGAAAACACCCAGCTCATGGTGAAGCGTAAGAGAGGAGGAGAAATGGGGCAAACTCTCTCTGCCTCCCTGCAAAAAAGAAATCTGAAGTTTTAAAGAATATCTCCAAATCAGATATAGGAGGATTCTATTGATAAATTAAAATGAACAGACACTCTCTCAAGTAAGCAATAAGCTGTGTTTCTTGTCGTATAGATCTTACCTCAGGAATTTTAAAGCTTATCTATTGCTTGCATCCAAGGTTCTCTTTACCTTTACCAGGTAAAGGTGTCTTTGTTTGTGCTGCTACAATAGCATACCTGAGACTGGGTACTTTACAAAGAATGGAAATTAATTTGCCCACAGTTCTGGAGGCTGGAAGTCCAAGGTCAAGGTGCTGGCATCTGGTGTGGGCCTTCTTGCTGTGTTCTCAGTGATTCTGATGCAGCTAAAGCTGGAGGACCACTGGCAGAAGGCAAGAGAGAGCCGGCTCCCTCCAGCAAGCCCCTTTACAAGGGCATTTAGTCTCATGGCCTAATCGCCTCTTAAAGACCCACTTCTTAATACCATCCCATTGGCAACACCTGGATTTTGGAAGGAGCATGTTCAAACCACAGCATGGTTTTCTATGTGATTTTGGTTGTATACAGCATGGCTGTATCATGCTAGGCAGAAATATGACCTTGTTATTGTCTTTATTTGGAGATTAAATCGGGTTTAAGGAGATGTGTATGGGTACCAAAGTGACAAGGGGGGAAGCTTGGGATGGTGGATTTTGGATGTCAAGGTGACAGGGTATTAAGGGATGCCCAAATAGCTGGCAAAGCACCATTTATTCTTATGCTTCAGTGGGCATTGGGCATGGCCCTCTTCTACTGTAAGGGAAATCCAGTTGGCCTGGTGTTTGATTAGAATGATTGTGCTGCCCCAGGAGTGTCTGTGAGGGAGTTTCCGGAGGAGTTTGGTGTGTCAGTCAGTGGACTGAGTGGGGAAGAACTGCCCTCAATGTGGATGGCATCCTCCAATTGGCTGGGGGGTCCTGGATGGAGCACAAATGCAGAGGAAGGGTGGATTCTGGCCCCTTCTCCCAGAGCCAGGATGCCCTTTGTCTCCTGCCATTGGACACTGGAACTCCAGGCTTTATGGCATTTGGACTCAGGGACTCACACCAGCCCCCTGTGCATGACCCTCTCTGGTACTGGGGCCTTCTGCCTCACACTGAGAGTTATAGCACCGGCTTCCCTGGTTCTGAGGCCTTCGGATGTGGTCTAAGCCGCGCTGCCAGCTTCCTGGGGTCTCCAGCATGCAGACGGCCTGCTGTGGGCCTCCCCAGCTTCCATAATCAAGTGAGCCAATTTCCTGATGAATCCCTTTCCTCCAGCTCCTATGAACCACGTCGGTTCTGTCTTGAGAAGCCTGGCTGAAACGCTAGGCGTTGCAACACTAAAGATGGTCTCTATTTCCTTCTTTAAATCACACACACAAAGTTCAGTGACAGGCTGTGTGTAAAAGGCCAGATTCCACAGGCATTCCCACACAACAGGCTTTAGTGACTCCTAGGGCATTCGCTCAGCAAAAGTTAACACTGGGCACTTACTCTGTCCCATTCCCTGTGCTGGGCAGTGGGGGACAGCAGCAGGCAGGAAACTGAGGTCCCTGCTCTGTGGAGCTTATAATTTAGTGTAAGGCGGGGCTAAGACTCACCCCAAGAAATCAGTGAGCAGACCACAGTGCACAGGCCCCACTCCAGGCCATTAGATAGCTCAGCTGACTCGGGAGGAACAGCATCTCCAGGGGGCTTTCTGACTCTGTCTTGGTCAACAGTTAATCCATGACTGAGGCAGAGCATTAAAGAATGTCCAGTACGTCTGGGAATGACACAAAGCTCGGAGAAACAGCAAATGCCTCATCTATCACTCATGATTGAATAGAGAAGTTGCCGGGAACTGATGTTTAACCTTGGGCTGTACATTGGAATCACCTGGGAGCTTGAAAAGCGTCCCAGTGCAGTCCGATGCTTTGGGGAGCAGGCCCTGGCTGGTGCTTCTCAGCAGTGTCTTCATCTTCCGTCTCCACTGGGCTCTGGCCACGCTTTCTCCACGGCAGTCCTCAGACTTCGTTCTCACAGCAGCAGCAGCAACTGGGAACTTGTTAGACATTCAGATTCTCGGGCCCCACTCCAGACTCACTGAATCAGAAACTCTGGGAAGGAGAGCCAGAAATCCATGCTTTAATGAACTCAGGTGACTCTGATGCAGCTAAAAGCTGGAGAGCCACGTTCCAGGAATACCCTTTCCCCAGGTAGTTCTCATCTTGCAAGACTTGGCTCACACGCGCTCCCTTGCAAGACATCCCAGCACCTGTAACTCCCTGTCCACACAGGCAAGTCGTCCTAACACGTCAGATAGGAAATCGTGATGGTGGCTTTGTGCCTGTGTCTCTGCTAGACCTTGAATTTCCTAAGGGAAGGGATTTTTTTTCCTATTCATCTCTTCATACTCTGGAGCCAAAAGTAGTACCTGAAACCTATTGGGAACTTCAAAGTAGTCTTTCTCTTCTTAGCCAGCGACAAAAGAAGAAAGTTCTGGCTGCCGTGCTGGGCCTCTGACCAGCTGCCCGTTCTTGCTCCAGGGCCTCCTGCCCTCTGGCTCCTGCTTGCTGCCGGCTCCTCCACTTTTCTTCCTGAATTCGGAAACAGAAGTGGGGCTAAGTAGCTCCCCAGCAAGGCGCACACCAGGTGCTCGGGAGGCACAGATGCAGCTCCTGACTCAATCTCTAAGCACGGGGCCCGTTCAAGTTCAGCACCCCAGCTTCTAATGCAGCGAAGATTTAAGGAGGAATCTCAAGACGTAGCTGTGGAGTCTTAGGGCAAGGGAATAAATACTATTTATGTGTTTTTGTCTTTAATTTGTCTTCTGTAATCCATATGCCTCAAATCGGGATTAGGTTAGAATCTAGTTTTTGATGTTCTAAGTATAAGAATACTGAAAAATCGAGTCAGGTTTACTTTTCCTCCCATGCACTGGATGGATGCTGAGCTAGAACTTTCTCTTGGTGTGTGCTAGGACTCATCTCCACAACAGTTCACTTTATTTAACCCTATTGCTCCTATTAAAATGGTCGGTTTTACAAGGCAAACCTAATATTGGAAAGGATACTAGAAAGGCACACATATTTACTGAGCATTTACTACTCACCAGGCATTATTTTAGGTAATTTTGCATAAATCGTCATATTTAATCCTCATTCTACCTTTTAAAATGGGAAGCACGTTCTGTGTTAAGAAAAAAAAAGCCAAACAGCCCAGAGTTAGAGAGTCTAAGAGACTTGTTCAGAGAGGTAATAAGTGGTAGTGGTGGAATTGGTAAATATTTATTCAGAACTCACAGATAGTTTTGTGTTTAGCACTTGTTCCATACGCTAAGCTTGTAGGAAGTCCATGAAATAAAACTTATTTTAAATGTTCAATTCTGGTTTATTGTCACCGATAAGTCAGTCTGAAGCAATTTGAAATTGTTTCTGATTTTAAGGAATGACAATGATGTGA
Source organism: Homo sapiens (assembly GCF_000001405.40). Classification (NCBI taxonomy): domain Eukaryota; kingdom Metazoa; phylum Chordata; class Mammalia; order Primates; family Hominidae; genus Homo; species Homo sapiens. Next base: position 156,609,510 of record NC_000007.14, on the reverse strand, counting down.
CATGTGTTAAGTCCAACTTTGACATTTTGTGGGAAGAAATCCTAAAATTCTAAACACTAGATTTATGCCAAGAGTAATTACTTCCTAGTGTTCTGTTTATTTAGGAATTAACCAAAAACAGAATTTTCCAGATATACTATTTTCTTTAGTAGGAAAAGAATCACCAGCTAAAACCATTCTCAGAGCCATCTGACCCTGCTAAGATCATGTCATAAATGTTGGGCTTCACTGTAAGCACTTTGGTCCAGAGTTCAGTTTCAAACAATGGGCTGTGCAGAACTGGGCGTTCTGAAATTCTTGACAGCTTTCCTGTTTGCTCACTGGGGAGGGTAGATAAAGACTCGCTTAGGTGCCTCTTATCTCTAGAATTCTGTAGATGTTGTTGGGGGGCTGGGAGCCTGGGAGAGCTCCCCTGGCATGGACCAGGGCTTTTCCTACCTTCCAGTGTGCCTTAGTTGTAAGATATTAAAGAGGAAAAAACCCCAATAAGCAAGGACGTAGTGAGTGCTCGCCCTCCTGTAATACAGATAGGAGGAAAATATGTAACAGAATAAAAATCCCCTTGGGAACAATTAAGATGACTTGGCTCATCGCCCTTCCTTTGTAGAAGAGTAAATTGAGAAGAAAGTAAGTAAATTGGACAAGGTTGTAGATTATGATCAGCACGAAGTCGACTCATCTTCTGATCTAATAATGATTCCACAACACCTTCAAGGGGCATATTGTTTAAATTAAGAAGACTCGTGGCTGGGTGCGGTGGCTCACGCCTGTAATCCCAGCACTTTTGGAGGCCGAGGCGGGCGGATCACCTGAGGTCAGGAGTTCGGGACCAGCTTGGCTAACATGGTGAAACCCCCTCTCTACTAAAAATACAAAAATTAGCTGTGCGTGGTGGCGGGCACCTGTAATCCCAGCTACTAGGGAGGCTGAGGCAGGAGAATCGCTTGAACCGGAGAGTCGGAGGTTGCAGTGAGACGAGATCGCGCCATTGTACTCCAGCCTGGGTAACAAAGTGAGACTCCATCTCAAAAAAAAAAAAAAAAAGACTCACTTAACATCGACAAAACGAGGAATAACTAAGCATCTGTCCATTTGACAGGAAGTCAGAGGGGCGGATGGGTCCCAGGCAGGGGCTTGAGAAAGAGTCTCCTCGGGTGGACGTGTGGGCAGGAATGTCACCGTGTGTTCAGGGCCAGGAAGGAGCCTGGCTGGACGCTGCGGCCGCAGTGGGAGGAACGGCCTGGAGGGGAAGCGGGTGGGGGCGCCGCGGAGCCCACCGGGCTGCAGGGGCTGGGCCTGGTGTCCTCCTATCCTCAGAAGATCGCACGCAGGTTTAGGAGGCATCCGCTTTCTACCCCTCGGTCTCTATATTTCCACAATGATTTGTAAATACTTCTTTTGCCAGTGAACAGACCTTTCCGTTCCGGTTTTCTTTTCATTTTTAAACACATCTGCCTTTCCAGCAAGTCTGGGGCCTCTTGAGGCTGGAGCCCGTCTCCCGTCTGCAGCCCGGTGCGCGGGGGGTCGGGGCTCGCGTGGCCTCGCAGGGGGAGCGCGGGGTGCCCCTGTTGTTGGAGGGTGGGCCGAGGGTGGTCGTGGGGGAGCAAGCCAAGTAAAGGGGGAGGCGCCCGGCCGGATGCACGTCGGCGGAGCGGCGCTTGAGCTCGGATGCCCCGGGCCGCCGCCTCCTCTGCCTGGCTCCCGCTGTCCCGGGCCGCCCCACGCGCGTCCGCGGAGCCTCCCTCCTCGCCGCCGTCCCCAGTCGCCCCGCGCGAGGTTTTTCCAGGTCCCCCGCCTGGGCCGAGCCGCAGTTCCTGGGTCCCCCACCCCCAGCTTCTCCTCCGTGGCAGGTGCGGGGCGGACTTTTCTCCGCAAGGTGGTCCCGGGACTCCGCGCTGGGAGCTGAGTGGGTGGGGGCCACGCGTCCTCTCCCTGCCCGCCTCGTTCGGGGGCGGATCTGGGGGCCTCGGAGGTCACGGCCCAGATTGCCTTTTCGTGGGGTGAGACGGGAGACCCCGGGGCTGGGACAGGAGAGGCGCGGCCTCCCGGAGATTTCGCTGCGGGACTTCGCTCGGGCGCGGGTGGGCGCGGGGAGAAGCGGCCGCGAGGCCTCAGAGGCGCTGGGAAGGTGGAACCCACGGGACCTGCGGATGCCGCACCTGGGGCTGAGCGGACAGGAGGCTTCGAGGGGAGCCCTGGAAGGTGGGCCTGGAGCCAAGCTGCAGGGTACCGTGGGCTGGGTGATGAGGTGACAGGTGAGGGGAGTGGGGCAGTGCCCAGGTGTTGGGGGCTGGGCGGTCCCCTGCTGAGGGGGGGGGCTGGACGGTGCCAAGGTTAGTGGGGGGAGGTGCACAGATGTAGGGGGCCAGGGCGGTGCCCAGGTGAGGGGGGCTTGGATGGTGCCCAGGTGTGGGGTGCCGGGTGGTCCCTTGCTGAGGGGTGCCAGGGCAGTGCCCAGATGAAGGGGGGTGGGGTGGTGGCCAGGTGATGGGGGGTGGGGTGATGCCCAGGTGTGGGGTCAGGTGGTCCCCTGGTGAAGGGGACAGGACAGTGCCCAGGTGCCAGCAGTGGAGTGGTGCCCAGGTGTGGGAGGCCGGGTGGTCCCCTGGTGGGGGGGGCAGGGCGGTGCCCAGGTGCCAGCAATGGAGTGGTGCGCAGGTGTGGGAGGTAGGGTGGTGCCCAGGCGGGGCGTGGGGTGGTGTGCAGGTGTGGGGGGGGTGGGGGCCGTGTCCAGGTGCTAGCAGTGGGGTGTCCAGGTGTGGGCAAGGAGTGGTATGCAGGTGCCCAGGTGCTGAGCCCAGGTGCGACTTGGCTGCCGGAGCCGAGAGATGAGGGTGCTGTGTGAGGAGAGGCAAATTGATTTCTGCAAGAGAAAGTCTTCTTCCATGCAGATGAATGAGATATAATTAATTATGTAGATTATAATTATCTAGTTATAGAGATAAGAATAATTTTTATTCTTTAGTTAAGGGCTCCCAGTTAAAACCAGCTGAAAACAATGACAGTTAAATTCTATATTATGAGATGTTGGCTACTTATTAAATTCATTATAAAAATATATACATACATATTTGCAGTCCAATTGCATTTGATAGAGCACAGGCCTGAGCAGCACCCAGCACTGGCGAGTGTGCACGAGACGCTTGTTCTGCACTTTTGTACCTTTCCATTTCTAATGGCCCAACTGGCCAAATGTAGCAGGGCGGTCATCAACCTCATACAACAGCAGAAGTGCTGGAAATTTTAACTATTTAATTTTAGGCTTAGACTTAGCTATAAATGCTTTCTGATGAGAAGTTCTGTCTTTTCCTTGAATGATTTCAACTCGTTTTGTTTTATGAAGTCTCTGTTCAGTCATGAATATCTTCCCCAAAGTACCTTTGTAAATCATTTTTTAAAAATGCTGTAGTTTACTTGTGACAAGCTATAAACCACATTTGAATTTTTAGGTTAAGTAAGAAACCCATTTTAACTAATATTGCAGCAAAAATACGGAATAGTTCCAAGAAAAAGAGGATAAAGTACTCATTATTCTAGTGATAATACAACTGAATAAGAAAGATTTTCTCGTTCCTTTTTAAACGAGTTCATGAGCTTAGGGAAAGCAGGCTTCCCTCTGCTTCTGGCAGTCTTGGCCGTGGGGTCCCCACTCTCCTGCTTGGGCCTCACCTTGCAGGGGTGCCTCACCTTGTAGGGGCGCCTCACCTTGCAGGCGCTGTCCATTCCACCTGCCTTTCCCTTCTCAGGCCCTCCTGGTGAGATCCCATCACGTCCCCTGGCCTCCAGTGTCATCTGCTCTGCATGATATCTCCAGGGGGACCTCTCTGCTGGGCTCCAGGCCGCATGGCTGTGGGTGAGGCACCTCCCTTTGCACAACTTGTCTCCTGTTCTCTTGGCGTGGAGCCCACAGCCCTCTGGCCTAGACGTGGGGCTTCTGCAGCGGCCCCTGGTTTAGCATCCACATCCCATCCACCCAGCTGCTCAAGTGGTGGCCAGGGGAGGGGGGCCACCTGGGCCTCATCCTTGATACCCTTTACTGAATCCACCGTATGTATGACTCGAACCCTGCGGGTTTTCTCTCTTGAATGTGTCCTGAATCTGCCCCTTTCTCTCCACCGCCCATGGGCTAGGTGACCAGCATCATGTCCCACCGGGTCCCCTGCAGTCCCAGTGCACCTGCCTGCTCATCCAGGGACCTGTCCTCACTGCCTGCTGCCTGCACTGTGTGGAAGGACAGAGGCTAAACGACGAAGCCTCGAGCTCTGGTCTCATGGAAATGGCAGCCTGCCCACCACCCACGCTTGCCCAGCCTTTCTTCACGCAGTGCGTAAAACACTTTTAAAAATACAAGTATTATCCTGTCCTGTTTATGAGTAAAATGATCCCTCACAGTCCTAGTCTTGGAAGCCCCAGGGGCCTGCTCGTGGGCAGCCTCTGCCAGTGTGGGTGCGGGTGATGGAGGCTGGGGTGTGTGGCCGGCAGTCTTGGCCAGGTGGCTGTGCATTCGGCCACAGAGCTCAGATGCAGGGCTGTGGCTCCAGCGCTGGTGGCCGGGGTGAGGGTAGAGAGTAACTCAGAAGCCGTGGCACTCTCTGGCCTAAGTCACTTATTTCAAAGTAGGAAAAAATCTTCTACATGAGGCCAAGGGGAAGGCTAGGAAGAGGGAGAGTGAGAGGAGAGGAACAGGAAGCAATAGACCTTGGGGAGGCTTTGGCGGGTCCACTTTATTCTGCAGGTGAAGGAAGTTAACAGAGGTTCCTTGTCAGGGACTTACTAGAATCAGGCTTGTGTGTAGGTGGACAACCCTGAGATTAAAGCAGGTTTCTGGCAGACGAGAGTGTGTGGCCGCAGCCCTAGGGAGCTCAGCAGCTGCCCCATCCACAGGCATCGCATGGGCTTGGAGAGCTGGGAATTGCCTGATGGGACTGGATTCCTAATTCTGTGTGAGTCATAAGTCCGCAGGCGACTTCCAGGCTGAGGAAGCCCCGGTGCATTGGTGGAGGGAACGTGGGAGGAGGCGAAGGCTGGGGAGACGAGGGGGGGCCTTTGGAGGCTGATGCTGAAGACCAGCTTGGCTTTGGCCTGTTGCGTCGATGCTGGTGAAGATTTTCAGGGCCTCGCTCCCCGCACCCGCTTGTACGTGTTGAAGATCCAGTCCTAGAGCAAATGCATGGGGAAGATAAAATACACAGTCCCTGTCTTCAGGGGACCTGAGGCCTCATCAGGATAGGAGGTCAGCACATGTGAAATAAATAGGAACATGCGAACGTGTGCCTGGGTGCTAAGTCCGCGGTGCTGTGTTTCTTGATGTCTGTTACCTGGAAGATGTAAAGGAACAGACGAAGCCTTTCTTAGAAATAAAATGCATTTGTAAGGTGGAATCTCCTCTTGCCTTACTTCAAGATGCATTAAAAAAATGGACATCATCCTTATAAATCCCCCAATCCACAAATGAGTAGTAATGGTGTATAACACTGGGGAAATGTTATTCCTGGTGTGCACTGGAAAAAAAAATTACTTTATCTCTAGATGGGAGCTATTTTAGAATTTTCTTAAAAAGTTTCCTGGTTTCATGTTGCCCTTTTTCTGTGGTTTGTAGTTAAAACGTGGAGAGTGGAATCTTCTGGGCCCAGGTAATGCGCCTTTGCTCCGACATTCCCTTCACTACTCACTGGCGAGCTCAGTTGGAAATTCACTCCCAATAGGAGTTCCACGGCAGACACATCGTGAGTCATGGCAGAACTTTGTCTTTTAATTGCAGAATGTTAAAGAAAGAGTCACTCAGGTAGCAAAGATTGGCTTTTCAGGGGCGATTTTATGGAGCTATTAACTCAGAGACACCATTACTTAAATGTAATTTTTATTATTACAATTAAAGACTGATTTGATTTTATGAGATCATGCATTTTTATTTTATGGAAGTTTTATAGTTAAATTCAATTTGAAATATTACTCTGTATTTAAAATAAAATACAAGCAAGTACAGTATTAAAATTATGCCATACTTCTCTTGCAACTGATGTTAAAACTCCCATGCAAGTGATTACTTTGGTAGAAACAAATGTTTCCTGATACAGCTAGGTAATAACTCAAGGAAAGTAAACTTGGTTCATTCTGTTTGTGAAGTTACCAGCAGTTGTTGGCTTATTTAAGATACCAAGTCTAATTAAGTTTATTGTCAACTTTTGTGTGTGTGAAACATAAAAGTTGATTTCCTCTCGGTTGATTCTCAGAGGAAGGAGTTTCTTTGGGTCAAAGGGAGCTCTCATTGCTACTTCAGTGTTTGCAGTGTGCAGAGTTGTAAAAGTTGAGACTAGCCACTCAAAATGCGAGCTTCTGGTCCTGACATTTCACGGGGAAAGGAAGGCTCATGAACCGACTGAGACATGGTTGAGCGGCTAAGATTTCTGTAGCTATGATGCTGCCATCCAGGCCGACTTCAGACTTGGGAAGTTTCCATGTGAGTTTTTGGAAGGTTTTGGGGTTTTGTTTTTGATGGAGGAAAAGAATGTGAAAGAGTGTTTGCACCAAATAGATTAAGCTGTTAGTAAACATGCACCCTTTAAATTAACTGATGATAAGGACAAAGAAGGTGCTTTGTCGTCGTCAACTGGATTTGTCTGAGGTCACAGAGACAAACAGGTGAAGGGGCAGTCCCTCTTCAACTCCCTAATGGAAAGCAGAGAGTAAACCGTGAAACGAGGAAAAGTTGAATTGGATTCTTCCTCCCATTTATTTTAGCAAAAGCTTGCTCTTCTTTCTCTCACTTGCCTTTCTTCCGGGGGGGAAGCCTGGTTTTTCCAAAATCAAATGAGCATAGGAACAAATATTGCTCAGGAATGTGCATCCTTTCAAGACCCTTAGCACTTGTGATGAGTAAGTCCCTGTGTGGTAAGTGACTGGAGACACATCCATGTGGCAACCCCAGCTTCTCGGCTGGGCTGGAAGATAATTAATTTCACTATCAGCACTGCTGAACAGAGAGCACTGTTCAGAGTCAGGGATGATGGGTGGGCCAGGCCCTTGCAAGAGGCTGTCCTTGAATTGGGTGCTGGCTTCCTGTCAGCGCGTTGCTTTAACCATTTGTGCCCTCACTAGTTATGAAAAAAACAGAAAAGAAAGGATAGTAGGTTTACAGGGGACTCTTTTGGTCCTGGGAAGAGAATGCAAAGCCTAAAGGAATCCTAAAGGAGGAGAAATGGGCTAGAGACCCAAGGGAAAGGAGGCGGCCTGTCTGAGGAGGAGGTGGGCAGGTTATCTTTTCAGTAGTTTTAGTTTGCAAAATGTGAGTTTTGCATTCAGTTTGGGTTTAAGCTGGCATGTGTCAGAGAAATGCGAAAGAGCCAGTATAGAAATTTAAGATTGGGTGCTGAGTTTCTTCTCCTTTTGGTAGAGGGTTTTTTGTTTTTTTTTTTGTTTTTTTTTGAATAGGGACTTCCAATAACTAAGCAGAGAGTTAGGGTTGTATTTGCTCTTCAAATTTGGGGGTTTACCATCAGAGGTTAAATGTGACAGTAAGGAGGTGTCCTGGGGTGCGGTTTTCAGAAATGGTATGACACTCCTCTTAGGAGTCCTCCAAAGCAGGTGCCTCTGCCAGGCGAGCCTTAGGTGGACGCCGGTCAGAGAACCACAGGGGTCTCAGCTGTGAAGGGATTGAGTGGACCGGACAGGCTGGCCATAGTGCTTAGGCCTCCATTGCAAAGTTACCAGAATTCTGCAGGAATGGGTTGTTGTCTCAGTGCTCGTTAAACCAGTCAGGCAGTGGGTGACCATCACCAGTGGACCTGGCTGTGGGGGCCTTGGCACTCGGGCCTGTGATTTATGTGCCCAGCTCACACATGTCAGCTGCAACCCCTTCACTCGAGTGTTGGGGCCTGGAAAGCAAGGACTGTGTCTTGTTCTTTTGAGGATTCTGGGACTTTTCTAACCTAAGATTCCTCAGTCCTAGTGTGGGCATATTCATGGAGGGGGGCGGTTATGAGTACGAAATGAGGTAACAGTAGGTAAAACACCTATTAACAGCACCAAGCGTAGCGCTTTCTAGAGGCTCACGAAGACGTCCATGCCCTTTTCCCATATCGGAGCTGCTCAGGCACTTTCCCAGGGGCTTTGCCATTTTGCACTGTCCTCACCTAACTCCTGGACCTACAGTGGCAAACCCAATTTGACCAGTTATGATTTGGCGTTGTCCTTCCTTCTTAACGCTCATGACCCAGACTGAGAACTTGAAACCGGCCACTTCTCACTAATGATTCAGTGATTGGCTCACAATGACCTGTGATGGCAAAGGGCACAGGTGAGGTCTCAGTGCCCAGAGTGAGCTCCTTTTTACTGTTTAACTGCTGTCTAAGTGACGCCCCTTCCCTTGAAAGGCCTGGTAGCTATTAAAGTGTACAGATAATGAGAAGGGGTGGTGGAGTTTCCCAGCCAGGCACGGAGCTCAGAGCCTCTTCTGGGCACACAGCGAGGCTCCGTTTCCCAGGGCCCCTTTCAGCTAGGTGAGGCCACCTGAGTCCTCACCAGTGGGGTCTGAGAGGGAGTGATGTGGGCTGCTGCTGGCCTGGCCAGGGACACTTCTCTTGGGCAATCTTTTTTTTTAAAAAATGGTATAAATGTGTGGTGTACAGGTGCAGTGTTGGTACATGCATATATTGCATAGTGGTGAAGACTGGGCTGTTAGTGGAACCATCATCCAAATAGTGTACAAAGAAGCCATTAAGTCGTGTTTAAATCATCCACCTCCCTCCTGCCCCCGCCCTTCCGAGGCTCCAGTGTCTATCATTGCACTCTCGCTACCACGTGGACACTTTCTCTAGTTCCCACATATGAGTGAGAACATGTGGTATTTGGCCTCTGAGTTGTTTTCCTTAAGATAATGACCTCCATATATATACACCGCATTGTCTAATCCTCTCCTCTGTTGATGGATACTTAGGTTCACTCCACGTCTTTGCTATTGTGAATAATGCTGCTGTAAACATACGAGTGCAGGTAACTTTTTGATATGGTTTCTTTTCCTTTGGATCGACGCTCAGTAGTGGGATCACTGGATTGAATGGTGGTTCTACTTTTAGTTCTTGGAGAAATCTCCATGCTGTTTTCGTTTTGTTTTTTGAGACAGAGTCTTGCCCTGTTGCCCAGGCTGGAGTGCAATGGCATGATCTCGGCTCACTGCAACCTCCACCTCCCAGGGTCAAGCAATTTTCATGCCTCAGCCTCCCAAGTAGCTGGGATTATAGGCGTGTGCCACCACGCCTGGCTAATTTTTGCATTTTTAGTGGAAATGGGATTTCACCACGTTGGCCAGGCTGGCCTCAAACTCCTGGGCTCAAGCGATCCTCCCACCTCGGCCTCCAAAATTTCTGGGATCACAGGCATGAGCCACCGCGCCCAGCCTCCATACTGTTTTCCATAGAGGCTGCACTAATTTACATCCTCACCAACAGTGTATAAGTGTTCTCTTTTTTCCATATCCTTGCCAACATTTGTTATTTTTGTCTTTTAAGCAACAGCCATTCTGACTGGTATAAGATGGTATCTAATTGTGATTTTAATTTACATTTCTCTGATTAGTGATGAGCATTTTTTCATATGCTAGTTGGCCATTTGTATAACTTCTTTTGAAAAATGCCTATTTTTGTCCTTTGCTCACTTTTATTTTATTTTATTATTATTATACTTTAAGTTTTAGGGTACATGTGTACAATGTGCAGGTTAGTTACATATGTATACATGTGCCATGCTGGTGTGCTGCACCCATTAACTCGTCATTTAGCATTAGGTATATCTCCTAAAGCTATCCCTCCCCCCTACCCACACCCCACAACAGTCCCCAGAGTGTGATGTTCCCCTTGCTGTGTCCATGTGTTCTCATTGTTCAATTCCCACCTATGAGTGAGAATATGTGGTGTTTGGTTTTTTGTTCTTGCGATAGTTTGCTGAGAATGATGATTTCCAATTTCATCCGTGTCCCTACAAAGGACATGAACTCATCATTTCTTATGGCTGCATAGTATTCCATGGTGTATATGTGCCACATTTTCTTAATCCAGTCTATCATTGTTGGACATTTGGGTTGGTTCCAAGTCTTTACTATTGTGAATAGTGCCACAATAAACATACATGTGCATGTGTCTTTATAGCAGCATGATTTATAGTCCTTTGGGTATATACCCAGTAATGGGATGGCTGGGTCAAATGGTGTTTCTAGTTCTAGATCCCTGAGGAATCGCCACAGACTTTCACAAGGGTTAAACTAGTTTACAGTCCCACCAACAGTGTAAAAGTGTTCCTATTTCTCTACATCCTCTCCAGCACCTGTTGTTTCCTGACTTTTTAATGATCGCCATTCTAACTGGTGTGAGATGGTATCTCATTGTGGTTTTGATTTGCATTTCTCTGATGGCCAGTGATGGTGCCTTTGCTCACTTTTTTAATGGGCTTATTTTTGTTGTTGTTGTTGAGTTGTTTGAATTCCTTGTAAATTCTGGATATCAGTCCCTGGTTGGATGCATTGTTTGCAAATATTTTCTACCATTCTGCAGGTTATCTCTTTACTCTGTTGACGATTTCTTTTGCTGTACAGAAGCTTTTTAGTTTAATTAAGTCCCATTTGTCTATTTTTGCTTTAGTTGTTTCTGCATTTGAGATCTTAGGCATGAATTCTTTTCCTAGACCAATGTGTAGAAGAGTTTTCCCTGGGTTTTCTTCTAGTATTTTTAGTTTCAGGTCTTACATGTAAGTCTTTAATCCATCTTGAGTTGACTTTTTTTGTTGTTGTTTTTGTTTTGAGGCAGCTGTCTCAGCTCACTGCAACCTCGGCCTCCCAAGTTCAAATGATTCTCCTGCCTCTGCATCCCGAGTAGCTGGGATTACAGGTGCCTACCACCATGCCTGGCTAAGTTTTGTATTTTTTTTTAGTAGAGATGGGGTTTCACTGTATTGGCCAGGCTGGTCTCAAACTCCTGACCTCAAGTGATCCGCCTGCCTCCACCTCCCAAAGTGCTGGGGTTACAAGTGTGAGGCACCATGCCTGGCTTTGAGTTGATTTTTGTATGTCGTGAGAGATAGGGGTCCAGTTTCTTTTTTCTGCATATGACAATCCGATTTTCCCAGCACCATTTATTGAAAAGAGTATTCTTTCCCCAGTGTATGTTTTTGTTGCCTTTGTGAATAGTTGGCTATAGATGTACAGCTTTATTTCTGAGTTCTCTATTCTGTTCCATTGATCTATGTGTCTGTTTTTGTACCAGTACCATGCTGTTTTGGTAACTATAGCCTTGTAGTATAATTTGAAGTCAGGTAATGTAATGCCTCCAGCTTTGTTCTTTTTGCTTAGGATTGCTTTGGCTGTTCATGTTCTTTGGTGGTTCTATATAACTTTTAGGATTTTTTTTTCTAAGTCTGTGAAAAATGACATTGGTATTTTGATAGAGATTATAATGAATCTGTAGATTGCTTGGGCAGTATGGTTTTTTTAACAATATTAATCTTAACATCCATGAGCATGGGATGTTTTTCCATTTGTTTGTGTCATCTGCAATTTCTTTCATCAGTGTTTGGTAGTTTTCCTTGTAGCAATCTTTCACCTCCTTGGTTAAATATATTCCTAGGTATTCTGTTTTATTTGTAGCTATTGTAAATGGGATTGTCTTGGGCAATCCTTTTACTCTTTCCCAGTTTCCAGGTAGATGTTGACCCCCTGGGAAACCTTAGAAGCCACACATTGATGATGGCAGAGCCTCCATTAGCTTGAGTCTTGAAATAACAGTGTGTGGGGTAGCTCTCCCCAACCCACCCCTCCATTGCCAGTCATGGGGCATAGCACCCCCCTAGCTTGCCCCTCAATTGCCAGCCATGGGGCATAGCACCCCCTAACTCACCCCTCAATTGCCAGCCATGGGGCATAGCACCCCCTAGCTTGCCCCTCAATTGCCAGCCATGGGGCATAGCACCCCCTAGCTTGCCCCTCAATTGCCAGCCATGGGGCATAGCACCCCCTAACTCGCCCCTCAATTGCCAGCCATGGGGCATAGCACCCCCTAGCTTGCCCCTCAATTGCCAGCCATGGGGCATAGCACCCCCTAACTCGCCCCTCAATTGCCAGCCATGGGGCATAGCACCCCCTAGCTTGCCCCTCAATTGCCAGCCATGGGGCATAGCACCCCCTAGCTTGCCCCTCAATTGCCAGCCATGGGGCATAGCACCCCCTAGCTTGCCCCTCAATTGCCAGCCATGGGGCATAGCACCCCCTAACTCGCCCCTCAATTGCCAGCCATGGGGCATAGCACCCCCTAGCTTGCCCCTCAATTGCCAGCCATGGGGCATAGTGCCCTGGAACCCACCCCTCAATTGCCAGTCATGACAGAATATCCACATTGGAATTGTGGTTTGAGAGAAAAATAAAAATTTTGTCTTGTTAAGCTGTTTAAATTTTGAGGATTATTTGTTACAGGTGCCAATATTTTCCTACCTAAAAGAGGATTCCTTATTAAAGGCTGTGGCACCACCATCCCTCAATCCCTGAACCAGAAAACGAAGGCAACAACTTTAATATTTCTTTATCCTCATTTCCAGACCAATTCCAAAGCCTGATTTTTTTTTTAAACTTTTAACTTTGAGATGATTTAGACTTAAAGAGTTGCAAAATACTGCAGTTACCAATATACCCTTCCCTCAACTTCCTCCAGTATTAATATCTTATATAACCATCATATAGTAATCAAAACTAAGAAATTAATATCGATAAATACTATTAATTAAATGACAGAGTTTGTTGGATTTCACTTGTTGAGGGACCTGGTAAGACATAGTAGGAATAAAATGTGAGACTCTTGTGTACTTTGGCTTACAGAAGCAAAATATGGTTTTTACACAGTTGGAAGACAACCAGCTGCCTGTAGTGTTATCACCAAAGAAAGACTACTAGGTGGCTCAGAACCACAAGTGTATTGATGTGAAACTGGAAGTAACTAGACATGTGAGCCTATTTTTTTTTTTTTTTTTTTTTTTTTTTGAGACAGGGTCTCACTCTGTCACACAGGCTGGAGTGCAGTGGTGCGATCTCGGCTCACTGCAACCTCTGCCTCCCAGGTTCAAATGATTCTCCCTCCTCGGCCTCTCCAGTAGCTGGGACTACAGGTGTGCACCACTGTGCCCAGCTAATTTTTGTATTTTTTGGTAAAAGCAGGGTTTCACCATGTTGGCCAGGCTGGTCTTGAACTTCTGACCTCAGGTGATCTGCCCGCCTTGGCCTCCCAAACTGCTGAGATTACAAACGTGGGCCACTGCACCCAGCTTGAGCCTAATTTGATCCCAGAATTAACACCATAGGCCGAGTGTGGGCTTATGCCTGTAATCCCAGCACTTTGGGAGGCTGAGGCAGGTGGATCACAAGGTCGGGAGATCGAGACCATCCTAGCTAACACGGTGAAACAGCATCTCTACTAAAAATACAAAAAATTAGCCAGGCGTGGTGGTGGGCGCCTGTAGTCCTAGCTACTCGGGAGGCTGAGGCAGGAGAATTGCTTGAACCTGGGAGGTGGAGGTTGCAATGAGCCAACATCGTGCCACTGCACTCCAGCCTGGGCGACAGAGCGAGACTCCATCTCAAAAAAAACAAAAACGAAAAACAAAAGAATACCATAAGACTGTCCCGAAGGAGGTACTGGGGGGAACCTTGGTCAAGTCAAGAGAAGAAATGAAGGACTGAGGATTTTTTTGTATGAGCTTAAATACTTATAAACATTTAGAGTTTTGCATAAATATATAAATCCAAGCCCAATGTATGCAAACTTGTTGGGCACAGGCAGCCTGTTGCTCCTCCAGTGACAGGTCAAAGGACGCATTGGACTCAGCCTAAGTTGCATACCCATTCTTCCTTTCTCTTCTAGTGCTGCCATTGCAGTAGAGGAGAAAGGCAGAAGGGGTGTCTCATGATGGGTGTCTCTCAATTCATGACACATGAATTGAAGCATTATGGAAGCATAATGACACATGAGTTGAGAGAAGGCAGGGCAAGACCTTGCTCTCCCATGCCTTCAGTGGGTTGGCCTGATGTCAGAACAATCAGGGAATCCTGTTGTCTGATTTTGCCCTCTCCCCTGGCTGCTGTCCACAGCGTGAGGTCCACCCAGCCTGGGAGCCGATAGGGGTTGACAGTGCAATGGCTGTATCCTCTGCATGGACATGGTGAGTCCTGCAGACAGTGTTCCATTTGTTCTTCCCATGAGCAACACTCCTCCTCGTCTCTCCTCTCCCTTGGCTCATCCTCTGTTCACATGTGAGGTGCTCATGTGGGAGGTTATACCCATGTGGAGGATGGGTATGTCTTGGGGATGAGGGTGGGGAAAGGGTCTGATGTCAGGTGCTGCAGGGAGGTCAGATGTGAGTGGGAAGAGCTGTCCTCCTTTTTCCCTACGTGCCTAGATGTGAAGGGGGAGCACAGGAAAGGAGGAGAGACAAGCCCAGTAGGTATCCACACATGGAAGAGGACTTCATCTGACAGTGCCACCTGTGTCTCAGGGCTTCTGTGGCAAAGATCACAGACTGTATGAGGCCGAAGCCACAGAAATTTTTTCTCATAGCTCTGGAGGCTGGAAGTCCAAGATCAAGGTGTCAGCAGGGTTAGTTTCTGCTGGGGCCTCTCTGCGTGGCTTGTAGAAGCATCTTTGCCCTGTGTCCTCACAGGGTCATCCCTCTGTGTGTCTGTGTTTGAATCTCCTCTTCTTATGAGGACACCAGGCAGATTGGATTAGGCCCCCACCTAATGACCTCAGTTTGACTTAATCACCTCTTTAAAGACCTTATGTTCAAATACAGTCACATTGCAGGGGCTGGGACTTCAGCATATTAATTTTGAGAGAGGGAGAACTCGATTCAGTCCATAACATCCCATCATGAATATAATGATCTGTAGATTTGAGCCACGTAGCTCCGTAATGATCAGTTTAAATACTGTAGGAGACTCTCTTGCCTGCTACAAAAACATGATGGCCCTTTGGTTCCTGAAGCCTTGGATGCTAGAACAAACACATAAATCAATAAATGACCTCTACCAAAGTATTTGCTTTTTATGTGCATAGTATAAAAAGTCTGACCCAGAGCCACACTCTCAGCATTTTCATTTTTGTCTGGAAACAGCAAAAGGGGAAGGGAAAGAGCATGAGTTCCTGGCCCCAGGTCTGCTGTGGACCAGGTTTATCGCTGTGGACAATTCCCACTTAATTACTATTTTGACCTGTAGCTTCCTGTAACCTGGTTATTAATTATGTCTGCTCTTCTTACCTCATAGATTTCATGAGGATTGAATAAGAGCACAGAGTGAAACCCTTGGCCATCATGGACGCTAATAATTTAGTTTAGCTCTTCAGTTCCATAGATATTTATTGAGAGCTTATTATCTTCCAGGAGGCATTAAGGATATAAAATTGAAGAGAATGGGCCTTGTCTTCAGGAGAAGGGAAAGACAAGGACAAGATGATCCTCATACACAGCTCATTTCAGGAGGATAGATATAGACACGGTGTGCTGTCCAAGCATGAAGGGAGGGTACTTAGCTCAGCCAAGCTGCAGATGGGGCAGTCACGGAAGAATTCTGGCATCCTCTCATCTAATGGATGGCTCCTGGAAGCATAATTTCTTAATACTCTTTTTAAAAACAGAGTCAGGAATGCAACTGAGGAAATCAGTCAGCAAATGGAAAATAGTTCAGATATCAGATTTAATGTGTTCAGATATTAAATATTGTTGATAGAAAATCCGAAAGAATCTACAGGTAAAGTCTTAGAATTCATAGGTAAAGTTTTCAAGGTTGCAGGATACAAGGTTAATAACTGCCTTTCTATACATGGTCATTAAACAAGGAAAACTGGAAATAAAATTTTGCAGGATACAAGGTTAATAATAACTGCCTTTCTATATATGGTCATTAAACAACTGGAAATAAAATTTTGCAGGATACAAGGTTAATAATAACTGCCTTTCTATATATGGTCATTAAACAACTGGAAATAAAATTTTAATAAATGCATCACAGATAGGAAATTTCCATGCATAACTGTAGTGAAAAATGAGGCGATCTCTGTGCTGAAAATTAGAAAACATGATAGAAATAAAGGAAAGAAGAGCTTCATCTATGGACAGACTTGCTGTGCCCATGAACGAGGTGTCATGTTATTGTAAAAATGTCATTATTTCCAAGAACATCTGTAGATTCAATGCAATTCCAACCAAAATCTCAGCAATATTTTTTGGAAATTGATACACTCATGATAAAATCTATATGAAAATAAAAAGGGCCAAGAATAGCAAAGGCAATTTTGAAGAAGAAAAATAGTTCAAAGATGACCCATCTTGTAAATACCCAAAGTTATCATAGATTAAAATGGCCCAAGTATTTATGAAGGCCATGTGTTATAAAACATGTCATCTAATCTCATTATTTTCCTTATCATCATTATTTTCCTTATTCTGCTTTTATCTTTAATTCCATCTCTATTAGTTGGCTCAGGCTGACATAACAACGTAGTGTAGACTGGGTGGCATAACAGACATTTATTGCTCACAGTTATGGAGGCTGGAAGTCCAAGACCAAGGTGGCACATGGTCAGGTTCTGGTGAGGGCTCTCTCCTTGGGTTGCAGACAGTCATCTTCTGTGTCCTCATGTGGCCTTTCCTCAGGGCTCGGTGGGAGGAGTGGGAGGGAGAGTGAGAGAAAGAAGGAGAGAGAGAGAGAGAGGGACAGAGAGACAAAGAAGGAGGGAGAGGGAGAGAGAAAAAGGGAGAGAGAAAGGGAGAGTGTCTCTTCTTATAAGGACACTAATTCTATGGGATCAGGGCCCCACCCTTATAGCCTCATTTAACCTTAATTATTTCCCTCGAAGCCCAGTCTCCAAATATAGCCACACTGGAGGTTAGGACTTCAACATATGAGTTTTGGAGGTAAGGCAGCATAGGTAGTCAAGGAAATAACCATGTCCTTGAGATGTGGCAACCATGGTGACCGCACCACCAACAAAAAAGCCCTGGCATTCGCACTGTAGTCAAACTCACTCAAGCAAAGCTGTCTCCAGTAGGGAATTTCTCCTGTAGACAGCATGTGCATTTTGATTTTGCCTGTCCTCAGACTGACCCTTTGCTCACTATAATAGTAAACTACACACCCCTGGGTGGAGATTTCAGTTGTTAATAAGACATGTGACTTATGAACAAGCATGTACAGCTACTGCACAGGTGTGCCCAGGGAACTGCACAGAGCATGCTTCCTAGCAACACCTCTTCCCATTCCTTTTGAACAATCAGGTAAGACTTCCATAAAGGGGCCCAGTAACTGTCAATGCTGTCTTGTCCTCATGAGGAGCCTGCTCCAAATGCTCTCCAGAGTGTTACTTCCTTGTTTGCACCTAACGCTCAGAGTATGCTTTCTCCCCTGCAATCAGTGGCTCTGTGCTGCACCTCCTTTGATGTGTGTCTCTGGTTTACATTCTTTTAACGAAAAAGAAAAGAACCGAGGTCTCATAATCACAGTCAACAGAGGCACGCAGACATTCCATCCGCATCACCTTCCTCTTCCTTTCTCAGGATTTGCAAGCTTATGTTGGACTCTTGGCTTACTAATTTTAAATTTTTTCTCATACATGCATGTAAGGCTAAATATTTCTCTTTGGGTACTATGAGAGCTGTTTCTCCAAATTTTTGATATGTATTACCCTTCGTTATCATTTGGTTCAAATTAAATTTGTAATTGCCCTGCAAAGTGACATCAGTTGGCAGGGCCATGTATGTCATTCAGCTGTGTGGGTGCAGCAACTTAGTGATGAAATGGACTTAAGCATCGTATTTTAAAGATGACTCCAGAGAACTGCCTGGGTTCAAATGGCAGCTTTATTGCAAAATAGGTCTTTGACAGGGGGTAACTTACGTAACTCCTATGTGGGATGAAATAAGCCCCAGTCTCCCATAGCGCTCCCAGGCTTATTAGGCGGGAATTTCCTCATCCTAATAAGCCTGGGAGCACTATGGGAGACTGGGGCTTATTTCATCCCTACAGCTTCGACCATAAAAGATGGCCACCCCCTGAAGCGGCCATTTTAGAGGCCTACCCTCAGGGATGCGTTCTCTTTCTCAGGGATGTTCCTTGCTGAGAAAAAGAATGCAGCGATATTTCTCCCATTTGCTTTTGAAAGAAGAGAAATATGGCTCTGTTCCGCCTGGCTCACCGGTGGTCAGAGTTTAAGGTTATCTCTCTTGTTCCCTGAACATTGCTGTTATCCTGTTCTTTTTTCAAGGTGCCCAGATTTTATATTGTTTAAACACACATGCTCTACAAACAATTTGTGCAGTTAACGCAATCATCACAGGGTCCTGAGGTGACATACATCCTCCTCAGTTTACGAAGATGACGGGATTAAGAGATTAAAGTAATGACAGGCATAGGAAATCACAAGGGTATTGACTGGGGAAATGATAAGTGTCCATGAAATCTTCACAATTTATGTTCAGAGATTGCAGTAAAGACAGGCGTAAGAAATTACAAAAGTATTAATTTTGGGGAACTAATAAATGTCCACGAAATCTTCACAATCCACGTTCTTCTGCCTTGGCTTCAGCCGGTCCCTCCGTTCGGGGTCCCTGACTTCCCGCAACAACTGTTTCCTCACTTCCAAAGTGGGAAAAACAAGGTGCGTTTTGTAGTGTGTGTGCGTGTGTGCGGTGTTTCCACCGTCCTGGTTTGGTAATTCCTCATTCGAAGTGTTCTCATTTTTGCTCCTTTTGGTCCATGCAGGCTTCAGCAGTTCCAGTCTAAATTTTGAGGTAATTTTTTTGCTTGGAGTTCCTGCTCTCTTCGGGCAGTCACATTCAGACTCCACACCCTTCTCCTGCTGCAGATTTGGAAATTCTGCACCTTATGGATGAGGTTTTACCTCCCCAGACCCTGGGGAGAAAGCAAGCATCTTTACCCTGCCCCATCCATTGATACGTGGCCTTGTGGCTTTGCACATCATCTGCAGAGCTCAGCCAGTCTCCCTGCTGTGGGCACAGGCTGCACATCCGGAAGCTGTGTGAGCTGGACTGCCGGGTCCAGTCTCCTGCCCGAGGCCTTGGGTCACCCATGTGCCGCCTGCTGCTTCTTTCACCCTTGACCTCTGGGGCTTTCTGCTCTTTCTCTTGAGCTCAGCTGTGTCTTTTAAAAATGTTGATTTTGAACTAGTTTTTCTGTGTGACGGCAGTGGGAGAGGCACTGGCTGCATCAATCCAGGCCCCCATATTCTTGGAAACAGGCCACAAAATTCAATCTCACCAGGACTGATGTTCAAGCACAATTTTTGTTTTAAGTAAATGACACCCCTTTAAGTGGCCTGGAGTGAGTCTGGACTTTAAAAAATTAGTTCATGTGATTCATTCAATTATACTTTTCCCCAATGAAATGTTGAACTGTAGCAAAATTCTTGGCATGAGCATTCTTTTCTATTCTTTTAGGCATAAGCTACCACTGGGGGGTGAGCCATCTCCAGCACAGCGCATCAGTCTTTCCAGAGGAGGATGAGGCTAGAGAGCTCAGCTGCTAGAGATTCTCCTCCTCACTGGGCAACTTAGGGTTATAACATTTACAGTATCTGTCTACCGTAACTTTATCCAATAATTTCACTCTTTCTTTCCAGGGATCCTTTTTTAGTTTGTTGGTCTTTCATGTAGTGTCTCTGCTTTCTTTAATAAGTTGATTAAACTGAATATCCATGAAAGACCACTTTTTTTTTTTTTTGCAGCATAACTAAATTTTGAAGATATCTCAGGAATTCTTTGGGATAAATGGATAACTACATAAAACTATATCTCTGAGTATATTGAACAATCTCAAGAAAAATATTGGGCACTGAAAATTATTTGAATTCTCTTTCTTTTCTGTTTTGTTGAATTTCATTAGAAGCTTAAATTCTAAAAATGAAGCATCTATCTTGCACTTTGGCCGAGTGCCTGGATCTGTTCGAAATTGGATCTTATAAATATTCCATCAAGTCCTATGTAATGGGTTTGCTTTTTCCTGGCAGATAGCCTGTGTGGATGGCATCTTAAACATTTGTGACATTTTTGCAAAACTTGACAAAAACATTTCAAGCATTAATAGTTTTGTTAATAAATTCCTCAGCACCCAAACACTACATTAGTTAAGAAAATTCTTGACACCAATCCTTCTACTGTTTTACGTTTGACATTGGGTAGGTGACTGCTAGCCTGCAAAATATCAGTTTAAAGCTGCACCTCAAATGGGATCACTTAGAAAATGCCCAGTGCAAGGTGACTTGGCACTTTCCTAACAAGAAGGGACAACTAATGAAACCAGGTGGTCGGCTCCATTTAAGAACTCATTTCATTCAGAGAGTCTGACTGGGCAGTCTTTTTTTAAAAAAAATAATATGCTGGGGTTTTTTTGTGTTTTTTTGTTTTGTTTTGTTTTTTGTTTTTTGAGAAGGAGTCTCGCTCTCTCTCCCAGGCTGGAGTGCAGTGGCGTGATCTCGGCTCACTCCAACCTCTACCTCCAGTGTTGAAGTGATTCTCCTGTCTCAGCCTCCCGAATAGCTGGGACTATAGGCGTGCGCCACCATGCCTGGCTAATTTTTGTATTTTTAGTAGAGACAGGGTTTCACCATGTTGGCTAGGCTGGTCTTGAACTTCTGACCTCAAGAGATCCTCCCACCTCAGCCTCCCAAAGTGCTGGGATTACAGGTGTGAGCCACCATGCCCAGCCTGGACTGGGCGTTCTGTACTAGAAAACTTCCTCTGCATGCCCAGGCAGGACTCAGCACCACAGGACCAAACCATGTGCATTAGTATAGTGTTTATGAATATGTATATTCATAGATAATTTAAACTATTTGTAAAGGTAGTGATAACAATAACATCCTCGAATTGCAGTGTATGCTACATTTTAACACACTGGAAAATAACAAGCCATTAAGACATTACTTTGTGCTTCTAGATTAATTTCTTTGGGGAAGACTTTGAAATGAAGATAATCCTGTCATTTTGGGGTCAATATTTGAACTTCTTCTAATCCATTATTAATTTAAAAGTTTTATCTCTATAATGATCTTTCTTGGAATTTAGGCTTGTGATTCTCACTTATGTCAAAGTCTGTAAAAGACAGTGTTTCCAAAGCATTACATATATGTGTGTATAGATGTGTATGTATGTGTGTGTGTGTGTGTGTGTGTGTATTTATAGTGGCAATACTGGCTCAATGAATGGCCACACAAGCTTTCACGTTTACTTGACATTTGATCTAGTGACAGCTTATCAGTCATTTGTATGGTAACAAGTGAATATGCATCTGGCCATCGTGCCCTTATATTTTTGCTACATATGGTAGATATTGTACGCCTGGGGTTGCTTTACATATTTTTATAGTTTCCTACTCTTGTTGCAAATGTCTGGGTCAATTTGATTGAAGAATAGCCAGATTGCAAGGTGAAATGTTAAAAACCCATGGTTATTTTCAACTATGTAGGGCAATGTGCAACTCAAACAGAATACCAAAGGAAGCAGGATGCAGAGGCTGGTGAAATATCTGCAGATGTCATGAGCAACTCCTGGTTTCTGTGTTTATCAGCATTTGTTGTGTTTTTCATTGATTTCCTTTATAATAGGAAAATATTTCCTTTATAATAGTGTGTTCGTTTATATGTTTCCACTTCCAATATACTATCACTTTTGTTTTGTATGTTGGAGTTCTGTGTACATATTTTTACTCCAAAGAGCGTTCTGCTACTAAAGATATTTAAAAACTGATAAAATGGCAAGAACATGGCTAGGAACTCAGGAAGAGTTAAGTTTGACTTTTGGTTCTAAAACCTGCTAGACCTATGGCCTGGACCAAGTCACCTAATCTCCCAGAGACTCAGCTTCTCTGTGGGTTGAATATGGGTAGGACCTACTTCATGGATTTGCAATGAGGATGGAATAGATAACGTAGGAACCACTGAGCACAGTGCCTGACATACCCTTGATGGACACTATATAGTATTGATTACTGTTCATTTATTGCGATGTGGTAGGATTTTTGGCTTTAAGACAGAATAATCAAGAGTCAGGAGCTCTGGACTAGTGTGTGGAGAAGTTCGAAAGCTGGCTGGTTGTGAGGAAACATGGTGTTAATTGAAGTTTAAGTAAGTTTAGGAGTGAAGAGAGGTAACAGACGTGGTGTGGAATGAGACTAGTTTTATGTACCTTGTGTTTACGTTTGATAAATACCATTTGGCTTTCAAATTATGAAACAATATTAATGAAGGCAATGGGAACTTGCTGTATTTTATATTGTCTCTGTGTTCACACTCTCATATAGGATTGAATCGCACAACAGAGTTATATATATAGATTCAATAATTATTGTTTTCATCAATCTAGAACTTTGAATTTGGAGAGGATATGAGAGATTACTTAGGGTATGTCTGCTCACTTTATAGACGATGAAACTGAGGCCAGAGAATTGGGGAATTGTGCATAATTGTGCATAAGAATTACCAGCTCATATCTGCAACCTGGATTTCCTGGTGCTCAGGCCAGCGCCCATGTGGTCGTCCTGACCTGGTAACTGTTACACTCTGGGCTTCCAGGTTGATGTGGTTCCATATATCCAGGTCCTTCCTCAAACTTGGTGCCAAAGTTCCAGATTCTGCGTGTCATGATTTTTGGGAGTGAAGATTGGGTCCCTGTAGATTAGATTACTTTTAGGACTTTCCTTCATAGAGCATACGATTCTCTGTTAGTGATAACCCAATTTGTGAAGCAGTGGGGTGTGTACTTTTATGCATTTCCTATTTTCCATCACTGTGAACAAGGACAGAAAAAGCAGACAGACCAGTCCTTAGAAGGGTTGGTGAATGGCAAGGCAGTGAAAGATGAATTTACTGATAACTAGAGACAATTTCTTCATGGAGAATTTAATATTAGATTAAAATCTATGCTTTTTCCTCTCCCTTTGCAGCTTATATAAACCAGACCTGGCTGTATGGTAGTCACTCATTAAAAGAAAGCTGGGCATAGATGTAGGTGAAGACAAAATTCAGCATGCTTAGAGTTTTTATTAATTGGTTTATTAGTTTATCCATCCATTCATCAAGTGATCATTAAGGACCTCCTATGTATTGAGATCACAATGCCTAGCATACAGTAGGTGCTTAATCAGTGGTGGATATTATTATTTCTATCATTTCTATAGTAATACAAATACTAATGAAAACAACCCTATGCTGAAAAATGCTGAAGCAAATTAGGTTTCATCTTTGCAGAGCTTCAAGTTTGGCAGGAGTACTGTGATCAGCCAGGAAGACAGAAAGCATGATCATATTTGTAGACATTTACTTGAGTCTTGATTTTTTTAATCCACGCTGACAATCTCTGCCTTTTAATTGGTGTATTTAGACCATTTACATTTAAAGTGATTTTTGATCTAGCTGGATTAATATTTACCATGTTTGTAACTGTTTTCTGTGTGTTGAACTTTTCCCCTTCCCCTCTTTTACTGAGTTCTCTGGCTTTAATTAAGCATTTTATATGATCTCTCCTTCTCTCTTCTTTTGGCTTATCAGTTATAATTATATCTAAATATTTTCTTAGTGGTTACCCCATAGTTTGCAATATACATTTACAACTACTTTAAGTTCACTTTCAAATAACAATATGCAGTTCACGAGAGTGCAGGTAGGTAACTTATAACAAAATATTCCCAATCCCTTCTGCCCATCTCTTATAATGTTGCTGTCATTCATTTTACTTATCCATATACTATAATCAACCAATACGTTATTACCATTGTTACAATGAAAAAATAGTTACTGATAAGAAAAGATTAAGCATAAAAAATATTTTCCTTTCATGTATTCCTTCTGTGATGCTCTTCCTTTCTTTAAGTAGATCAGAGCCGCTGCCCTATATTATTTTCCTTCGGTGACAAAGGGAGCCAGAGGGGGCTGGAGATGGGTAGTTGTCCTCCCTGCAGGTGGTAGGTGAGATTAGTCCCTGGTAAAGTCTTTTCCCTGCAGAGGAGGTCTTTGTGATGGAGAATGCCCTGGGTGTCCTTTAAAATGATTACTTTCCCTTCTCCCTGCCTAAAATACAAGGGATTTTTTTCTTGGCTCTTTATTTGAGAACCTGGTGGGGTTCCTGGAGGTAAAACCACGAGAGTGTGGGCCCCCCCTAAGGTTGGGCCCCAGGAATTTCTCACTCTCAGGCTGGGCTATGTGCAGCCTCCAGCAGTTCATCCAAATCACCATCTAATATTCCTGCCAGCTTGGGGCTCCTGCCCTGCAGCCCCGGCTCAGCTGACTCCAGCAGTGATCCTCCGTGTATTGTCTCTCTGGTTTTCAGAGCAGCGGTTTTCCCTATGACCTCAATTCTTCAATGGATACAAAAAAGGTCCTTGATTTTCAGGTTGTTCAGTCTTTTCCTTGTGTTAAGGACAAGAGGGAGATCTAAGCTTTTTCCATATTGGAGTAATAACGATTAGTAAGTGGTTAAGGAATTGTTTTAAAGTTCCTCATCTTTGTTTTACACACACTTTAATAATTTTTCTTTTAAAATATTTTCAAAAGCTTTAAGCTAGGAAGTTTGTTAAACTATCACAAATATTACCATTTTTAAAATTAATTTTTGCAGAAAAAGGGTGTCAATATTATTTTTCTATAAAATACTACCACATCATTCCAGCTCTGGGAGTATCACTTAAGAATATAATTTTACAGAATAAGGCTTTCTGCACAAAGATATATATTGTAGTAATATGTATAGCATGTCTTTTGGGATTATAATCTAAATCATTTGTCATTTGTCTTACGCTTAATCTATGCTGTAAATTGTCTTCCGTTTGTGATGTCTCATTAGTCGATTGGGTTTGTGAACTCCTGATGACGGGGAGCTGACTTATACCCCTTTAAATTTGGCACCCCCGACCCCCCCACCCAAAAAACTCAGCATACCTGTGTTTTTGGTCAACAGAGATTTGTGCCCTTGGCTCTGGACGATATGAAGATGAATAAGAAAGAAATGGCCCTCACCCCCATGGGACTTAGATTACAGTGGAGGAGACAGACTTTACTTACAAAACTGTACGAACCATTTTTAATTAAGATGGAATAAATACCAGGAAGGAAAATACTGTTTGCAAAATTTAACAGTACGGAGTGACTTCCCACAGAGGAGGTCGGCAGAATTTATTGATTTATCCAGAATGAGCTCTGAGGACGCGTTTGCTTATGTAGCAGGTGTAATTTTCAAATTCACCTCAGCCTGACTCACGTTGTCACCAGAGGATACAGGTGAGATTTTCAGAAACAAACTTTTCTTTGCTTACTAGCAAGTGTTTCAGCCCGTGTGCCAGCCACTGATGTCACCACAAAATCTGATATCCATTTGGTAGACTATCAGAAATGTGCTGCGCGTGCAGTGTGGTTTCTATTAGTGTTATTAGGGGTTGTGTGGTTGAATTCCATTTCACCCTTCCAGAAAAATATCCTCATAGTAAGTGATCCCTGTGAAGCAGAGCACTGGGAACATGGCTTTGGCATTGTCAAGTGTGGTCATGTCGTTTGCTCTTGTTACTGTTAGCATTTGTGTTTTACTGCAAATACTCCAGATTGAAATAATAGGGATCTGGAGGTTTTGAAAAATCAGAAGAAAAAACAAGATGTTTTACTTGTGCTTCTGATTTTCAAAACGGTACATCAGTGCAGTAAAAATTAGTTTAACCGCTGTACACTTTGCCACTAACCTGTGACCAGGCTGCTAATAAGAGACGTTTGAAAGGCAACTTTTCATTTTCCCTCTTCCATGTGTGTGTGGACTTACCCTGCAGCTAGAGGTGGGGCACTTGCTTCTGCCTCCAACTCATGGCTAGTTTGCAACGTCCTTTCTGGCTCTTGACCTTTGGAAGTGACAATCCTCAGCACTGAATAATTTTTAAAATAGTTTATAAGCATTGTCATTTAATTTTGCTTTTTACACCAATTCTGTGAGGTGTAACACAGTTGAATGTTTCTGTGGATTGGGTTGGCAAGATGTTATTGTTCCCACAGATGAGGAGCCTGAGAATTACTGAAGATGCTCACCAGGAAGTCTTCTGTAGAAAATAAGTAGGAGAAGCTGGGTGCGGTGGCTCATGCCTGTAATCCCAGCACTTTGGGAGGCTGAGGTGGGTGGATCACCTGAGGTTAGGAGTTCGAGACCAGCCTGGCCAGCATGGTGAAACCCCATCTCTACTAAAAATACAAAAATTAGCCAGGTGTGGTGGTGGCATGCACCTGTAATCCCAGTTACTTGGGAGGCTGAGGCAGAAGAATCACTTGAACCTGGGCGGCAGAGGTTGCAGTGAACCAAGATCACGCCACTGCACCACTCCAGCCTGGGTGACAGAGCAAGACTGTGCCACAAAAAAAAAAAAAAAAAAGAAAATAAGTAGGAGAGCTAAACTCAAATGTATATCTGTGAATTCAAGGACTGTGTGTGTGTATGTGTGTCTGTTTGTGTGTCTTACCCCATTCCATCTCATTCCTGCACCCCAAGTCACAAACTAAAAACCCACGGGGCCCAGCAGGTGGTGCCCGTGAGTGAGCTGGCTGTGAGGCAATGGAGAATGGCAAGGCTTGTGTAGAAGTGGAGAGTCCACGCACCATCTAAGGGCATTCGATATGAATCTTCAAAATTCTGTGCTTGCTACAAAGCACGCCTGCTGAGGTATTTTCCTGGGAGCCGCCTTATGTAAAAATTTGGAAAAGCAGCGGCCTGGGCCTAGGGCTTCCATGTTCATTGCAGCACGGTTCACAGTAGCCAAGATATGGACGTGACCTATGCGTCCATCAGCAGATAAAAAAGATGTGTGTGAGAGAGATATACACACATATGTGCGTGTGTGTGTACACACATATATACACACAAAATGGAATATTATTCAGCCATGAAAAGAAGGAAATTCTGTCATTTATGACAACCTGGGTGAACTTGGAGGACATGGAGTAGAATAAGCCAGGTACAGAAGAAGGACAATTCTGCATATTCTCACTTAGATGCGGAATCTAAAAAAGTTGAACTCATAGAAGCAGAAGAATGGTGGTTACCAAGACAAAATCTTGATATTATCTTGGTTCTTAGAAATGCAGGATATTCACCTAGACTGTCATGATGTGGTTAAAATGGGTGAAGATGCTGCGTGACACAGGGAGAGGCAGCAGGACTTAGAAATGTGTAGGCTTTATAAGTTTGTAAAAGATTAAAATATTATCATTATTTATAGAGCATTACTTAGTGAAATACCAGTGAGCTCTCTCTCTCTCTCTCTCTCTCTCTCTCTCTCTCTCTCTCTCCCCCTCTCTCTCTCTCTCTCTCTCTCTCCGTCTCTCTCTCTCTCTCTCTCTCTCTCTCTTTACATTAATACTAAAGTTCCAGCTGGGCGTGGTGGCTCAGGCTTGTAATCCCAGCACTTTGGGTGGCCGAGGTGGGCGGATCACCTGAGGTCAGGAGTTTGAGACCAGCCTGACCAACATGGAGAAACCCCGTGTCTACTGAAGATACAAAATTAGCCGGACGTGGTAGCACATGTCTGTAATCCCAGCTACTCGGGAGGCTGAGGCAGGAGAATCGCTTGAACCTCGGAGGCAGAGGTTGTGGTGAGCTGAGATCACGCCACTGCACTCCAGCCTGGGCTACGAGAGTGAAAATTCTTCTCAAAACAAACAAACACACAAGCACACTAAAGTTCCACACTTTCAGTTAACTATATGTGGGCATGGTCTTTGGGCCCCGCAGAGTGCAGTTGTGCACACAGCTATCTATCTGTTTGGCTCCACGTCTTACCTTTCTGATGGATGAACCTAAGTCTAGAGTTTAATGGAGATAAAGCATCAAGATGGCACACAGTATCAAGAAACAGTATGCAGAGACTGTGTAAGGAAATACTCCTTTTTACAAATAAAGTATACTATATTTGGATGATTATGTAACTTTACAATTCAAAGATGGAGTTACAAGAAACATTTTGTGTTATGGCAACACGAAACTGGCTTTTTCTCAGCCTCTGTTGGGCATTGTCATGTGTGAGTATTCACATTTCATCGAGTTTAATTTCTTCTGTTGAGACTATCATAAAACGGCATTAATTTCTTCCTCACTTTCTGATTTTCTATCATTTTTTCACCTTTGCCATGTTCCCCTGGACTCCCTCCTAATGTTGGAGGAGCCCATGCCGAGGTGCTCCCACGCCACCCCAGGGCCTCATCTGTCTGCCTCCATCCTCGCCCTGCCTGAGGCTTTCTGCCTTCTGGTCTTTCTTCCTTTCTTCCATCTACACAGGTGTGCTGGGTAGATGCGCCTTCCTCTCTCCACCTGAGGCCCCTCCAGCTGCAACACTCTCTCGATGGCCAAACTTCCACAAAGCATTGCCTTCCTTCCCGTCTCCCACAGATGCTTCACCACGTCCGGCCCCCAGCTCCTCTCTTCCTCTGTCCACAGCTACTGCTCATGGACTACAACATGCCACGTCTGCATTTTGGATTTTGACTGTCTTGAGCTTGCCGCTCACATCTGTGGTTACCTCCTGGACATCACTGCACATGCTGCAGCATCTCAAACTCATTTCACTTTCTTCAAAACACCCCCTGATGTTTCTTTCAGTGAATCCTCTGTCCAGCTACATGTATTGCTTATGGCTGACACCCATCCCTCACCACGTACCAGCTGTAGCCTTGGGAACTACATTTGATGCGTCTGGGCCTTAGTTTCCCCATTTGTAAAGTGATGATGAAAAATCATACTCATTTCGTAGGGCTATTGTGAAAATTCAGTGTGTTAATATACGTAAAGCCTATTGAAGAAGGCTTGGCATGTTGAAAGGGTTCAACATGTGTTATCATATAGCTTTGATTCTGGTTTTACAAAAGTAGATCATACTATGCTATCTTTTTTTTTTTTTTTTTTTTTGCCTTTGAGACAGAATCTTGCTTCATCTAGGCTGGAGTGCAGTGGTGCAATCTCGGCTCACTGCAACCTCTGCCTCCGGGGTTCAAGTAATTCTCGTGCCTCAGCCACTCCAGTAGCTGAGATGACAGGCATGTGCCACCACGTCGGCTAATTTGTGTACTTTTTGTAGAGATGGGGTTCACCACGTTGGCCAGCCTGGTCTTGAACTCCTGGGCTCAAGCGATCCACCCACCTTGGCTTCCCAAAGTGCTGGGATTACAGGCATGAGCCACCGTGCCCAGCCTTATGCAATCTTTTTAAATCCAGTATTTTGTGGACCTCTTTTCAGGTCATGTTACCTGTTTTTCAAAATGTTTGTCCAGTGTTGCATGGTAGAGATGCTTGTGAAATGCTCTTCCTGTGCGTCGATGACACGCCTCTGATTTCCTCCCCCATCCTCTGGCTGTCCTTGTCCAAGGGTCCTTTGTGGGGTCTTTGTTTTGGGTCCTACCTGGAACATTCTGATTGTTCAGGGTTTTGTTCCAGACCTTCTTCCCTTTTCTCTTTATGCACTTCCTTGTTTGTGAGCTCACCCCACCACCCTGATGTTAACATACGCCAAGTCTCCAAAATCTGTATGTCTAGCGGAGCTCTCTCCCCACCTGCCTCTGGTCACCTGCACTTGAATGTTTTCAAGGCACTTCAACTTCTACAAGTCATTTTCACCCAGGCATGACACCTCATCCCTCTGGCTTTCCCGCAGAAATTCAGGAATCACACTTGCTTTCTCGCCTGCCGCCCCTCCCCCCACCACTCACAGACACACCACCACCCCATGGACTCGCCTCTGAACTTGTCACAAGTCCCTCTCATCCCCATTGCCTTGGCCTATCCCCTCTCACATGGTGGCTGCCCAGCTGGCCCCTCGTAACCCTTCCTCACCCTGCAGGCACAGAGATCCCCCTCCAAAAAACCGGGCTGTGTCTTTTCTTTCCTTAAAACCCTTCAGAATCTCCCTGGCACACCGAATGCTCACAGCTCTTGGGCTCTGCCTCCACGGAACCCTCCACTTTTGTGTTTGGCCGTTTCCTGTCATGGAACTATCTTCCATTTCTCAGTCTCTGGGCGGCTCTCACCTCTGGGTCTTCATGTGTGTTGTTCTCAGACTGGACCCTTCTTCCTCTAGCAAGCAGGGGAGCAGATTCTTGGCATCCTTCAGATCCCAAGGTAAACGCCGCCTCCTCCAGGTCTTCCTGGGTCTTTTCTTTCTCCGTAGGGCAGCTGCCCTTGTGTTTGTCCCCACTCCCCCCCGCCCCCCCACCACCTCCCCGGGCTTCCCTAACCCAGCTGTGATCATGAGGACTCAATTGCTTGTCTGTTTTGGTCTCATTCACCATTGTCATCACGCCCTCTGGGCTTAGCAGTGTCTGACGCGTTGTGGGACTCACAGCCTTTGCTGAGTTGAATTGCTTTTGGAGTCAGTGCCCATTTGCAAAGGCTGTGGAGCCTCCTGTGAGGAAGATGCACAGATGCATCTGCTCCCCAGTTACTGGTGACCTTGGTGTTCAGACCCCCTGAGCCCAGGCTGTGAACTCCGGTCCTGGGGCGTCACACGTCTCTAGGGTACACACACTGCGTGGCGGCCAGCGCGGGTATGTCCTCGGCCCCCTCAGCGCTCCGTGCCCCTTCAGCACAGAAGCGAAGGGTCCAGCGCTGTTTTAGGCACTTTGTGTGTGTCATACCGTGTAGTCACCATGGATGAGATGTGTACCCAGCTTGCAGGTGGAGAGCCTGAGGCACAGAGAGGGCGAGTGACTCCAAGGTCACTCGGGTGGCCGTGGGTCAGCCGGGATGGCAGCCAGCGTCCGCCCTGCTGGCCAGCATGCAGCACTGCCCCCCGAGGACACCCAGGGCTGCTTGGCGTGCGTGGTGGTGGCGGATCACGGCGAAGCCAGGGGTCTGTCTCTGACCAGTCGTATTTCTCCTGTAGAACGCTGCCGAAGCAGTGTCAGGCACAGGTCGGGCTGTCAGGTGAATATCAGGCTGGGAGGAGAAAATGCTCAGAATGGATGCATGCCCTCCTTTTCCTCCCTGGCAGGTGTTCTAAAGAAAAAGAAATTAGGTCTGGGCCAGAGGATGTCCTCAGCGCCTCAGAGGAGGAGGAGCAAAGCAGGGGCCGCAGGAGCAGGACCGCTTGTTCCCGATTCCGCAGCTTCTGAACATCATGAAGACTGAGTGCATTGAGATGCATAAAAAATACTTCTGACCTTCATTGTCATTTGGAGAGATGCTTTTTTTTTTGTTATGAATTCCCCCTTTTCTGACATTTCGTCTTTGGTAAGTTAGATAATGCAGACAGCTCTTCCTACAAATCTGATGTTCTATTATTACCCCATTGGCAGCTCAATGTGGAGCAGTCACCAAAGGGGACAATTGACAAAGGCATGTCTGTCTTGGCCTCTGTCCAAGGGGCTTAGTTCTTTAAGTGTGAGGACTGTAAGACGGCCTTATTAATAAGGAAGATGAGCTTGGAGGATTGCCTGCTCACAGCTGCTTGCATCTCATAGAGGTTTTAGCTCTGTAAAACAACTAAGCAGGCATTGCTGTCTCTACTGACAACTCTGGAAATTAAGAAAACAAGCTGGGTGTGGAAGTGCGCGCCTGTGGTCCCAGCTACTCGGGAGGCTGAGGCAGGAGGATCACTTGAACCCAGGAGTTCGAGGTTGCAATGAGGCATGATTGCATCACTGCACTCCAGCCTGGGCAAAGAGCAAGACCCTGACTTTAAGGAAAAAACAAAATAAAACAACACAGAGAAGTTAAAGTGATTTGTCCAGTTATGAAACAGAGAGATAGCATAAAGGTTAGGAACTGGGTTTTATGGTGCCTTCCCCTTTTATTTAATCTCCCTCAGTCAGCGCCTTCCAGAATGTGGTAAGTGGAGAGGCCCAAATTCTAAGATGAATGATTCATGGTGTGTGTGTATACTTGTATGTATTTATAATTGAGATCATTTTACATTCAATAAGATGCGGAGATCTGAGGTGCTCAATTTGAGTCTTAACACACACATATCCATGTAGCCCTGCCCCAAACAAAATGCAGAACCTTTTTATCATCCCAGAAAAGTTCCCTCATGACCCTCTTTAGTCATTCCTCATTTCCTGCTCCCAAATCAGGCAACCACTTTCTGAATTCTGTCACCATGGGTGAATGTTGCCTGTTCCTGGAGTTGATGGACAGCATAGACTCTCTTGGGTCTGACTTCTTCCACCCAGTAACGCATTTGAAATTGATCCCCACGGTCATATACATCAGTAGTTCGTTCCTGTTTATTGCTGAATAGTCCTCGGTGGTATAAATATGCCACAATTAAACAAATATGAATGAATTACTTTTGACTTTACTTTTTCCCCTTGCATTGAATTGTTTTGTGTTGTAGGATGGTGCTACCTGTATGAGAAGCGCAGCGTGTGCCTTGCTATGCTATGTTCTGTCTGAGCGGCTCATCTCCTTAGCCCGTCCCTCATTGCATGATTAATTAACCGACCCTCACCTCCCCAGACAGATGCTCACTGACACCCATCACACACCAGGCAGTGGTCTGCACCTCAGAGATGTGGTGGTATTTTAAAACGCCCACATTCCTGCCCCCGCAGAGTGGACAGTCAGGTGGGGAAGACAGACAGCAGGAGGTGTTGGCAGAACGTGCGGCCTGTCCTGGGTGATTAATGAAGGTTAGGGAGGAAAATCAACTTGGAAGGGAATAGAAAGTAACGGTGTAGAGTGCAGTTTCAGAGCGAGTAACCGGGGAGAAGCATGGGAGAAAGACCTGAAGAGGAAAGGGAATTCCGCGTGGATATTTTGGGGAGCACCTTCCAGGTGGAGGGGAAACCAACTGCAAAGGTGCGAGACAGGAGCAAACCTCAAATTCAAGAGCAATTCAAGAGCAACGCGTGCGGTTGGTGTGTGGTGGGTGTGACCAGAGTGAGCCCAGGGGGAAGGGGAAGGGTGGACTCTAGGACCCGGTTAGGGACTTGGGTTATTTGCTTGGAAGCTCAATGCCATCTTCCTATTTGGAGGGGACAAAGCTCTGGCGAACATCTTGTTTGATAGCCAGATTTGGGATGTATTAATTAACGGAGGGGATTGCATCATCTATGTCCCCCAGGTGGCAATGCTTGAGACACAGGAGTCTCTCATTTGCTTAGATAAACCAGAAATCAAAGCAAAATAAAACATATGAGTTTTGAAAACAGAAAGCAGATTGGTCTTATTGGCAACTTGAGAAATCTTTCTTGGTCCTAGAGAAGGATATTCCTTTAGTGGCTGGCGTTGGCTTCAGTCGCTACTCCCTAATGGAAGCAGCTGGCTCAGTGCCTGGGCAGCACCTCTCACTCAGGGCTGGAGAGGACTCAGCAGGATGGGTCTAGAAAGTTCTGGGGAAGCCAGAAGCTTATACGATTTTGGGAATGCTTTTAAGTAAAAGGACATAAAATTATGAAGACAAATTGCTGGGACTCTCTTGGAGTCTTGGAAGGACCCGGGGAATGATACGTTCCTTTGCTTCAGGGAGAATGTGTCCTGATGGGGAGGGGAAGATGGATCCCAGGAGGGGCTAAAAAGGTCCGAGTCATATTTGTATGGAAGCCATTTATAAGCTCTTCTCACTGCCCTAATACAATTTACATGAATGCAAAGTTATGAAACTACCCCTTTCCTTTTTCGTTTTCCCTTTCATGTTGCATTTTGTGATGTTTTGCTCCTAAAGGGAATTTTCTAAAAACTAAAAGTAAATTTATTGAAGGTTTGCATAACATAAAATTAACCAATTTATTAATTTTTTTATTTAAACATACTCAATGTATTTCCATCTAGTTTTGTTAATTTCAAATTGTCCCAAATTGTTCCTGGGAACCTTTTCGCATAGCATTTTTTTTTAATCCTTCACGCCCTTCCACCCTTCCCCCTAAGTCCTGAAAGTCCATGGTATCATTCTTATGCCTTTGCATCCTCATAGCTTAGCTCCCACTTATGAGTGAGAACATATGATGTTTGGTTTTCCATTCCTGAGTTACTTCTCTTAGAAGAATGATCTCCAACTCCATCCAGGTTGCTGTGAATGCCATTCTTTCTTTCCTTTTTATGGTTGAGTAGTATTCCATGATACATATATATATGTGTGTGTATATATATATATATCTCACATTTTCTTTATCCACTCAGTTAATAGGCATTTAGGCTGGTTCCATATTTTTGCAATTGCGAATTGAGCTGCTATAAACATTCATGTATAAGTGTCCTTTTCATATAGTGACTTATTTTCCTCTGAGTAGATACCCAGTAGTGTGATTGCTGGATCCAGTGGTAGTTCTACCTTTAGTTCTTTAAGGAATCTCCATACTGTCTTCCACAGTAGTTGCACTAGTTTACATTCCCACCAGCAGTGTAAAAGTGTTCCCTTTTTTATCATATCCATGCCAACATCTGTTATTTTTTGATTTTTTGATCATGGCCATTCTTGCAGAAGTAAGGTGGTGTTGCATTGTGGTTTTGATTTGCATTGTGATTATTAGCGATGTTGAGCATTTTTTCCTATGTTTGTTGGCCATTTGTATATCTTCTTTTAAGAATTGTCTGTTCATGTCCTTTGCCCACTTTTTGACAGGATTATTTGTTTTTTTCTTGCTGGTTTGTTTGAGTTCCTTATAGATTCTGGATATTAGTCCTTTGCTGGATCCATAGTTTGCAAATATTTTCTCCCACTCTGTGGGTTGTCTGCTTACTCTGCTGATTGTTTCCTTTGCTGTGCAGAAGCTTTTTAGTTTAATTAAGTCCCATCTGTTTATTTTTGTTCTTGTTGCATTTGCTTTTGGATTCTTGGTCATGAACTCTTTGCCTAAGCCAATGCCTAGAATGGTTTTTCTGATATTATCTTCTAGAGTTTTTATGGCTTCAGGTCTTAAAGTCCTTGATCCGTCTTGAGTTGATTTTTTCTATAAGGTGAGAGATGAGGATTCAGCTTCATTCTTTCACATGTGACTAGCCAATTATCCCAGCACCACTTGTTGAATAGGGTGTCCTTTCTCCACTTTATGTTTTTGTTTGCTTTCTTGAAGATCAGTTGCCTATAAATATTTGGCTTTATTTTTGAGTATTCTGTTCCATTGGTCTACATGCCAATTTTTATACCAGTACCATGCTGTTTTGGAAACTACAGCTTTGTAGTATAGTTGAAGTCAGGTAATGTGATACCTCCAGATTTGTTCTTTCTGCTTAGTCTTGCTTTGGCAATGCAGGGTCTTTTTTGGATTTTGGTCTTTTTTGGATAAAATGCAGGTTCCATATGGATTTTATAATTTTTTCTAGTTCTGTGAAGAATGATGATGAATGTTGATGGGAATTGCATTAAAAGCTCCACTTAAAAGATACAGAATGGAAGAATGCATAAAAATCTACCAACCAAATATCTTCTGTCTGCAAGAAACTCACCTAACACATAAGGACTCACATAAACTTAAGATAAAGGGGTAGAAAAAGATATTCCATGCAAATGGAAACAAAACGTGAGCAGGGGTATTCTTATATTAGACAAAACAGACTTTAAAGCAACAACAGTTAAAAAAGACAAAGAGGGACATTATAAAATGATAAAAGAATCAGTCCAACAGGAAAATATCACAATCCTAAATATATATGCACCTAACACTGGAGCTCACAAATTTATAAAACAATTTTACTAGACATAAGAAATGAGAAAGAAGGCAACACGATAATAGTGAGGGACTTCAGTACTCCACTGACAACACTAGACAGGTGATTAAGACAAAGTCAACAAAGAAACAATGGACTTAAACTATACCTTAGAACAAATAGACTTAACAGATACTTACAGAACATTCTACCCAACAACCACAGGATATAGAGGACCTAAGAGAAACACAGCGGGAGCTCTGAGCTGCTTTGAGGGGAGTAAAGAAAGAACAGGGGTCAGAGCAGCTGTAGGGGGAGTGAGTAGGCTGCCCACGGAGCTAGAGAAAGGGAGGTGGGGAGGGAATGCTGGCGGGGCTCTGATGATTGTGGTGGGACATAACTGAGTCGGGGTCATCATGGAGGGGAAGCAAGTGAGGCAGGAAGACTCAGTGTCATGGAAACTCGGAGGGGAGACTTTGGGACGCACGAACGGGGTGTCCATCAGCTCAGATGCTTGGGGAACTACAGAGGAATGAAGACTGAAACATGGGGATTGAATTTGGTAGGAAAAAGGTTGAGAACTCTTAGGGGCGCAGAGCCAGTAGTGTGCTGGGTGCAGGGCCGGCGTTGGCACAGGGAGGTTGGCCGACAGGGTGTGAGGGAGGAGGCCGAGGTCAAAGGAGGCTCCGAGCCCTCTGCCCTCCATTGCCGCAGGAACCGTAGATAACCTGGACACGAAATAGAAAAACGACACGAATTTAGAGAAAGACCAAAAAGGAAAAGAAAATATGTAAGATGGGCAGGCATCATCCGATCTGCACAGCTCATGGTACGTGGCGGGCACTCGGTATTCAACAACTCAGGGAGGCATCCTTGGGTGTTTGCAATCAGCCGGTCTCTTCCCCTTCTTTGGTGGACTGGATTTCCTGGAGCCAAGCTTGCTCTTCAAAAGAGAAGTGGGAAGCTCACTCACAGGGAGGAGGAGAAGACAGGGCTTCCCTGAGCCGTGTGCATCTTCCCCAGAGGGAGGAGGCTGTGGGCGCCCAGGTCCCGCTCCCTTGGGAGGAGGAGGTGAGCCTGGGTGTGGCCGCTTTATCTCTTCTCCTATGTGCCTCGCCTTACCCTGTGGTCCCCAGCTGTTTGCCACCCTCTCCCCCTACCTCTTTCACCCTTTCACCTTTTCTCCTCCTTATTTTGAGTAAACTCCAGTTTACTCCTATTTTCTCAGTATTGACTGACTTAAAATTTGAATCTAATTCTTATGTGCACAGTAATGGCTTTGGAGTAATTGAAGAGATGATAAAGGCCTTCAAATATATGGCAAATAGACACAGCTTCTGGAATGCAAAGTCAATGAAAACTAGCATATATAATATTTGCAGGGCTAGAGAAATAAGAATATAAAGTCACTTGGGAAAAAGTGATGAAGAATAGAGAGAAAATCATTACAACAAAATGGAGCCTATAAAGGCAGTCGATCTGAGCAAACATCAATTTCAATTTCTTGTCCAAATGGGCATGAATACCAGAAATTGGTGATGTTATTTTTTGTGAAGCTGTTTTATTCTTACTTTGTGGAAGAACGAATCCATGGTGAGAAAGATAGGTGTCTGCCTCCTTATAAAATGTAGAAATAGTGAACTCTGAGCTTTTCTTTGTCATTAATTTCGAGAGAGGCTTGTAATAATCTTGTGACCATCTATTCTCCCTTGAGGTGGGAATGGAAAAGTCTCTGCATCCTGAAATTCTGAAAACATGAGCAGCAGTTCTTCAACTGGATCCCTCACTTCTTCAACCATTTGCTATATTGCCTTTTGGATTTCAGACTTTTTTCTTTTAATCTGAAAGTATATGAGATTTGAGAAGATTTTGTTTATTTCTGTTTTTTCTTCATGTTCCTTTAGCTGTTTTTTTCTATACTGTATCTTTTTTTTTTCTTTTTCTGATGTTCTGAAGTGCCTTGAATTGAACCCAAATGAAAAGACTTAGGATCCTATTTGGTAAAGAGAAAACAAACTCTGTTTTTTAATGCTTGGTGTTATTTTAGAATTGCGTCTTTTCCGAGACATAGTAGTCATGGGAAACATTTTGGCAATAGCAAGGCTGATCATAATAAGCACATTGAGTAGTGATTTTATATCTGATAGATGACTTAATAGTAATTACACTGAAGTTGCCATGTAATTAGATGTTTATTTGCCATGTAACTTTTATGTCATCAAAATGATGTGATTTAAACAGCAAAGATAATTATCCCTTGATTATGAGGCTGTGACCTTGAACTCTACCTTAATTAGTTCTAGGTTCTGAAGTAATTACATTGTTGAACCAGATCTTGCTGGGTGAGAGGGCAACTAACTGCATGCAAATCAGTGCTCACGTCCTTGGGAGGAATGATAGAGAATTGTGCACCGTCTGTCCACTGAGACGCGGATGATAGAGAATTGTGCACCGTCTCCCCACTGAGACGTGGATAATAGAGAATTGTGCACCGTCTCCCCACTGAGACGTGGATAATAGAGAATTGTGCACCGTCTCCCCACTGAGACGTGGATAATAGAGAATTGTGCACCGTCTCCCCACTGAGACGTGGATGATAGAGAATTGTGCACCGTCTCCCCACTGAGACGTGGATAATAGAGAATTGTGCACCGTCTCCCCACTGAGACGTGGATGATAGAGAATTGTGCACCGTCTCCCCACTGAGACGCGGATGATAGAGAACTGTGCACCGTCTCCCCACTGAGACGTGGATAATAGAGAATTGTGCACCGTCTCTCCACTGAGACATATATGAGTGGACTGCCTCTCCTGCGGATGTGAGCTCGGCCTGGTACTCACACTGCTGTGTGCTATGGACTTTGTTTGTCTCAGCCCATGTTTTTACCGTTCCTCAAAAAGATGAGCCCACCGGGCATCACACTGCAAAAGTCTCCATGCTTAGGCCTGGACTTGACTAATTCCAGTCTTCCTGCTGACTGGTTTAGGAATCAGGTTGCGACCCAATTTGGGCCGATGAAACTTAGGAGAAGTTTCCTGGGGACCTTAAGGAAAGCTGTTTCTCACTTTTTAAAAAGAAATTTAATTTTAATTTTATTTTTCCTTAAGTGATTGGGGTACAGGTGGTATTTGGTTACATGAGTAAGTTCTTTAGTAGTGATTTGTGAGATCCTGGTGCACCCATCACCTGAGCACTATACACTGCACCATATATGTTGTATTTTATTTCTCGCCCCGCCCCCCCACTCTTCCCTGCAAGTCTCCAAAGTCCATTGTGTTATTCTTATTCCTTTGTGTCCTCATAGCTTAGCTCCCATCTATCAGTGAAAACATACGATGTTTGGTTTTCCATTCCAGAGTTACTTCACTTAGAATAATCGTCTCCATTATCATCCGAGTCACTGCAAATGCTGTTAATTCATTCCTTTTTATGGCTGAGTAGTGTTCCATCATATATACACCACAGTTTCTTTATCCACTCGTTGATTGATGGGTTACGGAGAGTCACAGAAATCTCTCCTTCCACGATATGAAGAAGCACACAGCTGGGGTTGCTGTTGGGAGGCTTGTTGCAGCCGTGAGAAAAGCAGCAGTGGGGCAAAGGGACACCGTGGGTGGCTGCAGGGAAGGTGGTCACTCGGGCTTGAGCAGAGGCTGCCGAGCCACTGGGCTGACCTTTGAAGGCCTGAGGACTCTGGACTTGCTCTTGTGTGATCGAATCCATTTTCTTATTATCTAAGCCATGCAGCTTCTGGTTTTCTGTTGCTCGAAGGCACAGGGATACTAACTGACACACACACCCAGCCTGTCCTCTGGGGACTACTGATGTGTGAAACGTACCCTTGGTTCTCAAGCCTCCATATTTGCTCCACTGGCCTATGTGTGATTTCTGGCCACTTCCACATTAACTAAACTGTAAATGGGAAGAGATTTGACATCCCTGAAACCCTCAAATGAACTTCCCAAGGACACTTCAAAAGAAGCGTTTCAAGCAAATTTCAACCAGTGTGTCGAGGTAGTGCCCGTGTCGGGGAGCCTGCCTAGGTATGTGTTCCGATCACTCCTGTCAGTATCCATTGTTAAATAAAGCTTACTTAGCTCATTATTCACCAGACCTTTCTGATTAAAAAAAAATTCCCAGTGTAATTGGACCGGAAAGCATTAAAAACATCAGAATTTTCTCTGGGAATTCTTTACTTATTTTTAAGGATGGATCACATTATCAATTTTTTCTTTTTTTTTTTTTTTTGGGATGGAGTCTTGCTGTGTCACCCAGGCCAGAGTGCAGTGGTACGATCTTGGCTCACTGCAACCTCCACCTCCCAGGTTCAAGCAATTCTCCTGCCTCAGCCTCTCGAGTAGCTGGGATTACAGGTGCATGCCACCACACTAACTTTTGTATTTTTAGTAGAGACGGGGTTTCACCATGTTGGCCAGCCTGGTCTCGAACTCCTGACCTCAGGTGATCTGCCCACCTTGGGCTCCCAAAGTGCTGGGATTACAGGTGTGAGCCACCATGCTCAGCCTACATTGTCAATTTAAAAAGTATTATTTACCACTTTGTGGTGGTGAACTTTATTTTTTACTGAGAAAATGTGATCTTTTTCACAGTTTTCATATATTTTATTTAAACCTTGGTTCAACTAGTGATTTCAATTTATCTAATGTAGCTCTCTCATCTTTCTAATTGTTGACACTGGAGGAAACTCCCCACCAGGATCTACTTGTTTCTAATTGCTCACAGTAGTTTATGTTTCCAAATTTATGAAAACATTTACTGTGGCCCATCTATTTGATTAGGCATATTCTCATGATCATAATAGTGCTTCAAAGATTAATTTACTAAACATATAATCTGATGCTTTTAATTAATCACATGCCATAGTGTAAAGCTCATGACATAACCTAATGGTCAAGACCTGCAATTGATGAGCTATTAATTACCCATTAACTCATCCACTCACACGACCTGTAGATCCATCAGCTTGATTGAAAGTAGAGACCTAAATGATCCTAAAAGGTATTTTATATAACTTTCACAAAGAATTCCAGGAAAAGTTGATTCTTGCATGAGCAAGAGCGCAGAAAAAAAAATGACGAATTTTCCATGCATGTTCCTGCCCTCCACTCCAGAACAGGGAGCTAGTCATTAGAATAGCATGATACCTTTCTTAGTTATTCCCTAGTAACACGGTTAAGTGACATGACTAACTCTTTTTTCTTATCCTTAAGAGAAGGGGAGGAGGAATCAAAAGTGATTTTTTTCAGGTCCTTGGAATGCATGATATCAAGCATAAATTTTAATTGGCTTCATTTACTAAGTGTTGCATTACCTCATCCTCCAGTTTTAACTATGGATTTTCTATAAATCTTCATACGACTAAACATGATAAACTGCTCAACATATCACAGAACAAGGCAGTGCTTATTAGCACTTGAGAAGTTATTGATTCTTTGTCTTGATTAATCTTTTATTGGTCTCTGGAGTATTAATTCCAGAGAAGAGACTGTAGGTTTTGCCACAACAGAGCTCATTCAGAGTTTCTACTTCAATTACAAGATTTTTGATGTCACAGCTATTAGTCTAATTATGACTTTTCTGGCACAGATACTTTTTGTGTCTATCAACAATGAGCACTTTTAAATTTATTTTAAGATGTGCCAATAAAATATAGCCAACAAGTGTGTTTTATACTTAAGGATTAAAAAATAATTTTTACTTCTGTTTTAAAATAAAGTTTGTTGTTCTTGATTACGTAAATTACATGTATACATATGTAACAAACCTGCACGTTGTGCACATATACCCTAGAACTTAAAGTATAGAATATATATATATATATATATATATATATATATATATATATAACTTCTGGTGAGTGGGCTTTTTAACACAAAGAATCAGCTTTATTATTTTTTGAACAATTTGTGATACTTTGATGCTGACTTTCACTATTGATTCTGCTTGAATGCTTTCTAAACTAGAAATCTATTATGACATTATCAGATGCATGTGGAAATTTTAATATTTTTACAAATGGTCCTGGATGGTGCAGTGGAGGCTGCAGAATTTCTAGTACAGAAAGGGTTGGGTTGGGGGAGCCCTCTGGTTTGGTGGAGAGATCTTGGGGAAATGATCTTGAAGCTACATCTACACAGCATTTGCTTTAAGACAGGAGTCCTGGTGGAGTGGAGGGCATAGCTGGTGCCCCCACTTCTGTTTCATCACTGCCTTGGGAAGGGACAGACATTTGACCTCACAGCAGGTGAGGCAGGGTCCTAGCCCTGAGATTCAACACCATCACAGCAACGTCTTCCTCAAGTTTCCCACTAAAGGGCAAGTCTCTTCTGGGTGGGGCCTGAACTTAAGTTCCTGCCAGTTAATGCTGAG
Source organism: Homo sapiens (assembly GCF_000001405.40). Lineage (NCBI taxonomy): Eukaryota > Metazoa > Chordata > Mammalia > Primates > Hominidae > Homo > Homo sapiens. The sequence goes on along the minus strand of NC_000007.14, from coordinate 156,567,485 downwards.
CCTACACATCACAGCACTCAATAACTCTTTATTTAATTCAACTGAACCAACAGCAAGAGTTGGTTGGTTAATGAGTTAACACCTTTGGCAGGGATAGCGTAGGGTGGAGGCTAAAACAGAACAGAAGGGACGACAGCTGCTTGCTGGGGAGAGGCGGAGCCCTGAGCTCCTGGCAGAACCTGAAGGTATGGTGGGGCCAGGATGGCCCAGCGCTGGCTCTGCTGATGGCCTTGTGTTTTAGGAGTTACAGTGATATGATTTAACAACAGACAGACTCACCTGTGCTAGATGTGCAAGGTGGTGTCAAAATCCTGTTTGTGATTGTTGCCAATTTCTATGAAGCCATATAGGCTCAAGAAGGGTCATTTCTGGTAAGGAATTTTTAGGTAGTCGTGTTTGCCAACCAGTGTGTGAACACCTTGGTCTGAAACACCTCATTTCCTGTTGTCATTTTATCCATCAGGGGAAGATGAAAAATACATGCTTTCTTATCCTGCGGAACAGGTGAGCAGGCTCAACAAACGGAGCTCATGTGGGAAAGGCAAGTGATTGTGTACATTCACAATTTAGTTTTAAAAATGTGTACTTTAGAAAGTTATGAGCTTACGTTTTCAGCCCAGTTAAGCCTGTTGGTTTATTTAAGGTCACATGTTTGGGGACTGGGGTATTGTGTTTTTTATTTTATTTGTATGCCCCAGGGAATACAAAGGGCATTGTGTTTCAGTGAATGTTCTGATTCATTGAGAGTTAACCATGGAGGATTATTCTTTTTAAACTCAAAAATCATTTTGACCCTTATCTGAAATTGGAAGGATCTGGATTTGAGAACCAGCCATCATTTACCAGCTTTTTGAACTTGGGAAAATTACTTAATCTCTTGTATTCATCATTCTAATCTCTGCCTCCAAGGGTTCTTGGAAGGACTAAATTAGGAAAAATGTGTCCTAGCACAGAGGAGATGCTCAAAAAATTGTAGTTATTTAATGATCTGAAGTTTTATTGCAAGCTTTAGGATGATGTAATAAAAATAATTGAATCCTTCAATAATGACTGATGTTGAATTAGCTAATATCTATGTACCAGAAATGGGAACAATAAAGATGAAAAAGTTCCCACTTTCTGAGAGCCCACAATCTACAGGTAAATCTTCTCTGAAGTAGTGATTTCCAGATGAATTCTCCTTATTCAGGTCTGGAGGTGTAGAATAGGAAGAAGAGGCTGCCTTTGGGATGGCCAGGTGAAAGGTGGAAGGTGAAGACTTTGAGATTTCTGTTCTCAATGAAATGTCATAACTCTGATAAAAGTGATGCAAATCAAAATATTTATGTCAACTCAGGAATTCTGGTTGAGTTTCACTCATCAAAATTTTGACTTTTGTGATTAGTATTGTAATGAAACATGGCAAACTATGATTCCTGAGATAAACTAGCTCCTCACATAAATATGTGAATAGAGAATATTTGAGCACCTACTTTGTGCAAAATTTGATGCCAGGTACTCTTGGGACCATAAGGACATCAAATACAAGTCATGGTCTTTGGGCTCTGGAAGCTTACAGCACGACTGGGGGAAAGCCACAAATAGGTAAAAGTGAAATTACACTCAGGAGTTCAATAACAATATAAGACCTCCCAAGTAATTGGTACAGAGAGGGGTGATAATGAGCACAGAGGGAGAGATCACTTTTGGTCATGGCGATTAGGGCATTCCAAGGGGAGGAAGCAACAACAGAAAGAGGACAGAGGTATGCGATTTCAGGATTTGTTTATAAGGCTGAAAATTAAGAAATAAATTCAACTCAATGAAGTATTGGCTCAGATGATTAATTGGGAAAATAAGCTAAAAGAGAATGTCAGTGTCTTGAGTTATATCAACAATGCATTAAAATGCCACTCAAAAGCAATCAAGTGTGAAGGCTAGGATCACCCATAATATAACAAGCATTCTGTAGTTCCCCCACCCACTTCCTTCCTTTGCTCCTTCCCTCCATGAGCACCATTAGTGCCTACTATGTGTCAGATGACAATATTCAAATTCTCATGCAGCTCACACTCTAGTGAAAAACAGACTCCCTGATATGATTTGGCCCTGTGTCCTCACCCAAATTTCACGTTGAATTGTAATCCCCATGTGTCAGGGGAGGGACCTGGTGGGAGATGACTGGATCATGGGAGAGGATTTCCTCCATGCTGTTTTTGTGATGGTGAGTGAGTTGTCACAGGATCTGATGGAGATGAGGAACTTACTGGGAACTGGAGTAAAGGTCACTCTTGCTATGCTTTAGCAAAGAGACTGGTGGCATTTTGCCCCTACCCTAGAGATCTGTAGAACTTTGAACTTGAGAGAGATGACTTAGGGTATCTGGTGGAAAACATTTCTAAGCAGCAAAGCATTTAAGAAGTATACTGGCTGTTTCTAAAAGTGTACAGTCATATGCTTTCACAAAAAGATGATCAGAAATGGAAACTTATGTTTAAAAGGGAAGCAGAGCATAAAAGTTTGGAAAATTTGCAGCCTGACCATGTGGTAGAAAAGAAGAAAACAATTTTCTGGGGAGAAATTCAAGTTGGCTGCAGAAATTTGCGTAAGTGGAGGAGCCAAATGTTAATAACCAAGACAATGGGGAAAATGTCTCCAGGGAATGTCAGAGACCTTCATGGCAACCCCTCCCATCACATGGCAACCCCTCCCATAGGAGGGAAAAATGGTTCTGTGGGCTGGGCTCAGGGCCCTGCTGTTATGTGCAGCCTCAGGACATTGTGCTGTGTGTCCCAGTCACTCCAGCTCCAGCTGTGGCTAAAAGGGGCCAAGGTACAGCTCAGGCCATGGCTTCAGAAGGTGTGAGCTTCAAGCCTTAATAGCTTCCACATGGTGTTGGGCCTGTAGGTGCACAGAAGGCAAGAGTTTGGGAGCCTCTGTCTAGATTTCAGGGGATGTATGGAAATGCCTGGATGTTCAGACAGAAGTCTGCTGCAGGGGTGGAGCCCTCATGGAGAACTTCTACTAGGGCAGTGTGGAGGGGAAATGTGGGATTGGAACCCCCACACAGAGTCCATACTGGGGCACTGCCTAGTGGAGTTGTGAGAAGAGGGCCACCATCCTCCAGACCCCAGAAGAGTAGATCCACTGACAGCTTGCACTATGTACCTAGAAAAGCTGCAGGCACTCAACACTAGCCTGTGAAAGCAGCTGTGAGGGCTGTACTCTGCAGAGCCACAGGGGTGGAGCTGCCCAAGGCCTTGAGAGCCCACCCCTTGCATCAGCATACCCTGGATGTGAGACATGGAGTCAAAGGAGATTATTTTGGAGATTTAAGATTTAATAACAGCCCAGCTGGGTTTCGGACTTGCATGGGGCCTGTAACCCCTTTGTTTTGGCCAATTTCTCCCTTTTGGAATGGGAGCATTTACCTAATACCTGCACTCCCACTGTATCTTTGAAGTAACTAACTTGTTTTTGATTTTACAGGCTCATAGGTGGAAGGGACTTGTCTTGTCTCGGATGAGACTTTGGACTTGGACTTTTGAGTTAATGCTGGAATGACTTAAGACTTTGGGGGACTGTTGGGAAGGCATAATTGTGTTTTCAAATGTGAGAAGGACATAAGATTTGGGAGAGGATGGGGCAGAATGATATAATTTGGCTCTGTGTCCCCACCCAAATCTCATGTCAAATTGTAATCCCCATGTGTCAGGAGAGGGACCGGGTAGGAGGTGATTGGATCATGGGGGTGGTTTCCCCCAACTCTGGTCTCATGATAGTGAGTGAATTCTCACAGGATCTGATGGTTTAAGAGTGTGGCACTTTCTTCCTTGCTCTCTCTCACTCCTGCCACAATGTAAAACGTGCCTTGCTTCCCCTTTGCCTTCTGCCATGATTGTAAGTTTCCTTAGGCCCCTCCAGCCATGTGGAACTGTGAGTCAATTAATCTGTTTTCTCTATAAATTACCCAGTCTCAGGTAGTTTCTTATAGCAATGTGAAAAAGGACTAATACACCCCCCTTTCCCAAATCAGGTAGTGGTAAGTGCTATGACAGCATGTCTTACAGAGTGGGCAGGAGGTACTTACATTGGCAACTCAGGGAAGACCTCCCGAAAGCGTGATGTTTAGCTGATGTGTCATGACTGTAACATCCAGCCAAAGGAGAAATCCTTTCTTCCATAAAACAGGTTTTATTTCCTTCCCCTAAGCACAGCTTCTCATTTCTGTCTCCTCAGTTTCATTCCTTCTGTTTCATCTGTCTGAAATCTTCTCCCTTTCTATGTATTTTCTAATTAAATTCTGTTTATAGGAGGATTGGGTTGGAGGATTACCCCTAAAATCACCATCTTTAAGAATTAAATATATCCTGCCTTCTCTCTGTAGCCATTTATGACTCTAATATTACCATTTTATCCCAATAATTCTTAAATCCACTTATAGTTCCTGCCTTCATTATCCTCTGAAGGAAGAGTTTAATCAGTGGATTGCCTGTGAGGCTTATGGGACTCATTGATGGCCCTTGAAGTGAGCCTGGTAGGGTTGAGAGAATGAGGGAGAAGAGGGAGCAGCCGGCATGGTAAGGAGGAAGTCCATCTCCATTCTCCATCACACAAAAGGATGTGTGTGATGTAATTTTCTAGGACAAACAAGTATATTTTCATCAGCCTTGCCAATTTCCTCTTCCTCATTCTGATCAATCATCTTGAAAGCCCCTTGGAATTACTAAATTCGTGATGAATTTCCCATGATTATTATGAGTGTGAATGATGAAGAACAAAATAATTGCTATTTAATTATTTATCCTGATTGAACATGAGTGATGATAAGAGCTTCACACAGGATGGAATTGGGCCATCTTTACCCATGCTCCTCACTGTTTAAAAAGAGTTAAGATGCATGTATGCTAATAATCATAAGGAAACAAGAAAAATAAACTTCTCCATCTTCTCATTGATGTAGGCATAAATAATTACAGATGTTCCTCAATTTATGATGAGGAACCCATTGAAACTTCAACTTGAAACCCATTTCAAATTGAAAATATCAGAAGTTGAAATTTCATTTAATATACCTACCCTCCGGAACACCACAGCTTAGCCTCGTCTACCTTAATCATGCTCAGAGCATGCTTGTTAGCCCGTAGTTGGCAAAATTATTGAGGGTAGGCTGCTCACCCTCATGGCTGTGGGGCTGGCTGTCTGGGAGCCACAGATGCTGCTAGGCAGTGTAAGGGTATCCTATGGTATATTGTTAACCTGGAAAAAGATCAAAATTTGAAGTGTGGTTTCCACTGAAGGCATCTCCCTTTTTACACTATTGTAAAGGTGAAGAATTATAAGTCAACTGTTGTAATTTGGGACCTGTCTGTATTTCAAAATGTACTTTTCCCATAATGCTTTAGGGAAAACTATGAAGTAAATGTCGGGAGCACTTGCTTAACCCCTGAACCAGCTGCTTTCTCTGAGCCCTGACCCATCAGTGATGTTCGACTTGTGTGATCTGATGGCCATGGCACAGCTGAGTGGACCAGGGTGGGTATTGACCTAGGCGGAGCCGATCAGATTCTCTGAGAGATTTGACATTGGGCCTCCCAGCCCCCGCCAAGTTGTTGTCTGCTTCTGTCTGGAAATGCGGGAAGGTCTCCTGAGCTGCAGAATGGCCAAGCAAAGGAGGTCAGAGAAAGAAAGGAGAGAGGAGAGGAGAGTGGGAAGGGACGGGGAATCAGACAGTTCTGTGACCCACACTGTTGTGACTTTGTGTCATGGGGTCCGAGTTTGTGTTACGAAAATTCAAAGATGATGGTTTCTTCATTCACAAGCACGACAGAGAAACATGTCGTTTGAATGTGGAGTGCTCTTTCCATAAGAAAGAACGTGGGCTAGAGGAGGGCAGCATCACCTATGGCTGCACTAAATTCATTTTCACCTGCAAGGGCAACCATAATTCCCACGAGCTTTGGTTGGGCTTAATGTTTTCCTGTCTTCTAATGGACAGTAATTGAAATGGATTTATTATCTAAATTATTCCTTAGTTCAGGATATCACTTAGAAAAATGGGACTATAAAATGAGATATTCATGGTCAAAAGCAATCTGTAGGAGCTGCGAGTTAAGGCAAGATTCCTCCAGCCTGACTCTTCCCTAGAGAATATAAAGTAGTTTTTCAAATTTGGAAAATTTATTATATTATAAATTGGATTTAATATCTTTCTTTACCCAATTTAGAAAAATTGTTGGGAGAAAGTGTGTCTGATTTTACAGGTAATTGAAGACTTAGGCACTTTTGCAAATGAACAGATACCCAGGCACACTTGCCCTGGATGGATGGCTGGCCCCTGGAATTTTCTTTCCTTCCAGCAGTCACACAGTGACTTCCTGCCTTCTGTTTCCTTCTTCATGGCAGATCCCGCAGATGCCTGGAGTTCATCCCCCTCACTCTCATTTTCACGCCTTTCTCACACACTGCTTCCTGAGAGGCTCCAGCAGTCAGGACAGGGGGGAAGAGGAGAGGGAGAGGGGGGAAGAGGAGAGGGAGAGCGCGGAGCCCCCTCCTCCCCATGGCTCCGGTGTTGGTCGGGTGGAAGCTCCTTCAGGCCTCATTCCGCCTCCTCCAACATTTCACTCCTGGTGCTGTGAGGAAACACTCAGGAGACTCACTGCATTTGCATTTTCCTCTGACACATAGATAATACATCTTGCTCTAGCTATTCACTTCACATTTGAGAAACACCTACAATACCTGTACTTAGTAGGTTGCAAATCCCAGGCATCTAAAAGTTATAGAATTGCTCATCTCTGGAAGCTCACTATCTGGGAGGAGACAGATACATTAAATATTGTAATAAAATGATGACGACGGAGGAGATGGAGACAGGGAGGGCTCAGGTGGCTGGGGCAGTGGGATTGGCCACAATAAAGAGGAAGTGATCTTGCCAAAACCTGAAAGCCGAGGGAGCCTGTGGCGTGGAGATCGGGGGTAGGTGTTTTAGGAAGCCGCAGGCTAAGGACCCACTTGTGAATAAGGCTGTGTGCGTGCGATGGGCGGATGCACACTCATGGGCAGGTGTGTGGGGTACAAGTAGTTGTGAGTTGCTGGGAAGTGCAGCATAAGAAAGCTGCGGTCTGAGGCCAGGAGCTGGGCTGAGCCAGGTGACGAAGACCTCAATGCCGCTTGCAGGAGTGTGGGTTATCCTGGGAGAGAAAGTCACAATGTTCCCAGACTCGTGGCAGCCTCTAGGGGCGGCCAAGGGAAGTTCTGCTCACTGTCTCCCAACAGGTCTTTAGGGATGCCATCATGATTTCCTGGCGCTCTGGGTCTAACCTGAAAGTCTTGCCAATCCCAGGGACAAACTTATCCTAAATGAACTCATGAGACACATGCATGAAATCAGAATGCCACTTTGTTGTTGTTGTTGTTGTTGTTTGTTGTCTGCTTTGTTTTTTGATACAGAATTTCACTTTCAGCCCAGGCTGAAGTGCAGTGGTGCGATCATGGCTCACTGCAGCCTCGACCTTCCAGGATCAAGTGATCCTCCCTCCTCAGGCTCCCAAGTAACTGTGACTACAGGTGGGCCACCACACTCAGCTAATTTTAATTTTTTTTGAAAATTTTTAGCAGAGATGGGGGTCTCACTATGTTGCCCAGGCTGGTCTCAAATTCCTGAGCTCAAGAGATCCTCCTGCCTTGGCCTCAGCAAGTACTGGGATGACAGGTGTGAGCCATCATGCCTGGCCCTGCTTTATTAATTTATAAGGCGAAGCAACAGTGGAAGGGCTCAGAATACCAGGGGAGAGTGTGGAGTGAGTGCTCTGTTCGGTGAACAGGAATCCCAAGAGAGAAGGAGGTGAATGCTGTCCTCAGGGGCTTTATTGGCATCCAGTGGGGGTGGTCTCACTCCTGGGATGAGGACACTGGGACCCCACTGCCTGGAACCCCAGTGCCCAGCTCCCCTTTGGGTTGCCTTTCTCGAGAGGTGTGGGGGTCTCAAAGTGTCCTCTCTCCTAGACAGTGCTGGATTGGCAGAGTCCACATTTATCTCTTACCTTTTCCTTTTACAAAGTCAACCAAGCTTGGAGATTCCCAAATTCATCCTTTACACACATCAGAATGTTCTACAAAGGGACAGTCAAACATGGTTAGCATGGGAAGCATTCTCCCTCCCTCTGGTGACACGAGTCACCATGCCTGGATAAGAAGGCCATCACCTGGCTATGGCAGCCCAGGCGATCAAGGACAGGAGAGGCTCCAGTTGCCCATTGCTCTGAAGGACAGCCTCCCTGGCACGGACAGATGCGAGCTGTGGCCCTGGTCATGCCTGTGGCTGAGTCATCATTTTCAGGTTGTTGTAGCTCTCAGTGAAGAAGCTTACTGGAGTCCAGTTGGCCAAAAGCAAGCAGCTTGTGCATTGGAGTGGTCGCCGCGCCTGAGCAGGTCCCTGTCTTCTTCCCGGATGCACCCCTGAGCCACGCAGACCCCCCCCCACCCCTCTGTTAGAAATGGGCCTACTCATGACCTGGTCACCTGGCCTAGGCTGCTCACACCAGAAGCTGGGGCTTAGCTCCCCAAGATCCCATCAGAGGCCGGGAATCTATTTTGATGGCTACTTTATCTCATTTGAGGATTTAGAATTAAAAATGATAATGTTCCAAGCATTCCTCTGAGCGAGTCCTGCTGCCTCCACAGCGGTCCACGTTTATATGACTCTGAAACATACATGGAACCACTTTTGGTTCTGCTTTTCAAGGGACAAAGATCACCTTTTGTGGGAAATATTCTAATATATCGGCTAGCAACTTCTTAACTTTATTTTCTAAGATTAGATGATCATAAGCAGAACTTCAATTGCACCACTGCACTCCAGCCTGGGCAATGGAGTGAAATTCTGTATCAAAAAACATTTAAACTAAAACATTACTATAATATGTACTCAGGAAATTAGAATGCTTTTATGAAAAAAACCATTATACCTAAGATTTTTTTTCCTTCTGTACTGCTTGGAATGTATTTATTTCTTTTCTTTGCGTTGACTCTAACATTGCCTAGCGTCTCATCCCTGCTCAAGTATGCATCCTCACAAGCTATGATATCACAGCTCATTAACCAGGCAACAGGCCAGTGTGGATGAGATCAGAGCATGGGATGAGGCCAGGGTTCCTGAGGTCTGAATCACCAGGTGTGTTCATCATTGTGGGCACAAAAGAATAATAGGAACCTGGGAGGCTGAGGTGGGCAGATCACAAAGTCAGAAGTTCGAGGCCAGCCTGGCCAACATGGTGAGACCCCGTTTCTACTAAAAATACAAAAATTAGCTGGGCATGGTGGCGGGTACCTGTAGTCCCAGCTACTCGGGAGGCTGAGGCAGGAGAATCACTTGAACTGGGGGGGCGAAGGTTGCAGTGAGCGGAGATCGCGCCACTGCACTCTAGCCTGGGTGACAGAGCGAGACTCCCTCTCAAAAAAAAAAAAAAAAAAGAATAATAGGAATAGACTACAATCTGTTGTTAAATGTAAAATGTTTTACAACACGAACTTTTGTAAGGAGTTGATGTTGGAGAGGCAAGAACTTGAGCCTTCTCCAGCACATCCTGACATCTAGAACTACAAATGCAGATTAAAAATTAACGTATGATCATTATAAAAAGTTTATGTGACAGAGACAGCTTTAAAGTGAAAAGTAAAAATCACTCAGATCTTACTGTCCATTAATAATCATTATTATCATTTTGGTAAAAATCCCTTCAGATTTTTTTCTTTTGCCACAAAAACATACAAATGCACTTTCAAAGAAAATTAAATTTGTTTATAGCAGGTATGCTATTTTATAACCTGGCTTTTACATATCATAGTTTGAACATATTTCTAATTCAATAAATATAGATTTATACCATCATTATTGACTATCAGTCATTCCATTGTGTGAATGTCATAGATGTATTCTAATTTAACTATATAATTTTAATATTATATTGTTTTCTTTTTCTTTTTTTTTTTTTTTTTGAGATGGAGTCTCGCTGTCACCCAGGCTGGAGTGCAGTGGCACGATCTCAGCTGACTGCAGGCTCCGCCCCTGGGGTTCACGCCATCCTCCTGCCTCAGCCTCCCGAGTAGCTGGGACTACAGACTCCCGCCACCTCGCCCTGCTAATTTTTTGTATTTTTAGTAGAGATGGGGTTTCACTGTGTTAGCCAGGATGGTCTCGATCTCCTGACCTCGTGATCCGCCTGCCTCGGCCTCCCAAAGTGCTGGCATTACAGGCGTGAGCCACTGCGCCTGGCCTTATATTGTTTAACATTCAGTTTGTTGCCAGCTTTTATTTTTACAAATATAAACAATTTTGTAATGGCTATTCTTAAATGTTCATACTTGTCTAGTATTTTGTTTTTTGTTTTTTTCCGAGAGAGAGTCTTGCTGTGTCTCCTAGGCTGGAGTGCAGTGGCTTGATCTTGGCTCACTGCAAGCTCTGCCTCCTGGGTTCAAGTGATTCTCCTGCCTCAGCCTCCCAAGTAGCTGAGATTACAGGCACCCGTCACCATGCCTGGCTAATTTTTTTTGTATTTTTAGTATAGATGGGGTTTCACCATGTTGGCCAGGCTAGTTTCGACCTCCTGACCTCAAGTAATCTGCTCACCTTGGCCTCCTAAAGTGCTAGGATTACAGGCAGGAGCCTCCGTGCCAGGCCCAACTTGTCTAATCTAAGGGTTAATTCTGAGAAGTGTAGTCACGGTTAAAAGATTATACAGATTTTTAAAATTTGACATATATTGTTAAATTTTTCTCCAAAAAAGCTCGTAACAATTTTCACTCCTTCCAACAACATAAAAATGCCTATATCTTCAAGTTCTTTCCCATTATTTTAGATCTTTGCCAGTCCAGTATAACAAAAAACGATACCCTGTTTTATCTTCTTTATTAGTAATGTTGGACCTTGTTTCATATGCATAGAAATTCTTTTGTAAGAATTTCTTGTTTCTTATGCATACTTCTTTTGTAAACTGTTTTTTCATGTATTTGTCATGATTTTTATTTGTTGATATATTTGTATTTTTTCTATCCTATCTTTTTAAATTTGAAAAAATAAGGTATTATCAACATCTGGTTAAAAATAAAACCATATATAAGGCTTTATGAGAAAATGCAGCATCCCTTGCTAGTCCTCCCCAGCTCCATGCTCCTCTCTTCATGGCAGATACCTTCAGCTCTGCTCTCTCTCTCTCTCTCTCTCTCTCTCTCTCTGTCACTGTTGTGCTCTCTCTCTCTTACTCTCGCTCTCTCTCTCTCTTTCTTTTTTAGAGACAGGGCTCGCTCTGTTGCCCAGGCTGGAATGAGTGCAGTGGTGTGATCATAGCTCATTGCAGCCTTGAACTGCTGGCCTCAAGTGATCCTCCTACCTTGGCCTCCCAAAGCACTGGGATTACAGGCATGTGCCACTGTGCTTGGCCTCAATAGTTTTGACTTTGGATTGTGATAAATATTCCCAGTAATATCATAACCAAATAATAAGCATCTGTTGAGCTGGGACTATCTTATGCAACTCTATGAAGTATATACTACGGCAGACTTCTTTTTCAGACCAGGATACTGAGGCCCAGAGAGGCTAAATAACCTTTCCAAGGTCATACCATTACTAAGTGGTAGCCCTGGGACTCAGACAGGGGGTCTGCAGGGCTTATGCTCTTTGCCTCTATGCTACAATTGGCACCCCCCCATCTCTAAATTGTGGGCTTAAGCTGCCATTTCTTTCATTTTATAATTGTACTGCTTACACATACCATTTTGTGAGCACCTAATACATGTCAAGTACTTTACATATTTCTTTAAAAAATACTATATTGAACTATAACATATGTACAGCAAATGCATTCTTTTTTTTTTTTTTTTTTTTTTGAGATGGAGTCTCTCTCTGTCGCCCAGGCTGGAGTACAATGGTGCAATCTCAGCTCACTGCAACCTCCACCTCCTGGGTTCAAGCAATTCTCCTGCCTCGGCCTTCTGAGTAGCTGGGATTACAGGCGCCTGCCACCACGCCCGGCTAATTTTTCTGTATTTAGTAGAGATGGGGTTTCACCATGTTGGCCAGGCTGGTGTTGAACTCCTGACCTCAGGCAATCTGCCAACTTTGGCCTCCCAAAGTGCTGGGATTACAGGTGTGAGCTACAGCACCCGGCCATGCATTTGTTTTGAGTGTACTAATACGTACCCTGGTGTAACCCCCACTGAAATCAAGACTTAGAACAATTTCATTACTGCAGGAGACACCCTGGTGCCCCCTCCCTCCCATCCAACCCTGGGCCCACCCTGGTCCTGGGACGCCACTCATCTTTCTCTCTCAATCAGATTAGTCTTTACTTTCATACAAATCGAATCATATAGCATGCCATCTTTAGTGTCTGGCCTCTTTTGCTTGGCATCACGTTTTCAAAATTCATCATATTGTTGCATATGTCTATAGAGTTTCCCTTTTTATTGCTGAGCAGTGTGGCTATACTACAGTTTTAAAAATCTATTCAAATGTCGGTGGACATGACTGTTGTTACAGTTTTGGGCTGATACGAATGAAGCGTTATGAACACTTGGGCGACAAGTATTTGTGTGGATATTTTTTCTTGTTTTAGGTAAATACCCAAGAGTAGAATTGCTAGGCTGCATAGTAAGGGCACGTTAAAACAAACAAATGAAAAACCAAACAAACCTGCCCATCCATTTTGCAAAGTGTTTGTCATTGTTCTTTCCCGCCTGTGGCATATGCGTGTTCCACCTGCTCTACCTCCTCAGCAGTGTTTGGCGCTGAAGGGTCTTTCCATTTACCCGTCCCGCGGCTGTGTGGTGGGATCCTGTCACAGCTTTAACTCACATTTCCCTAGTGGCTGATGACGTTGAACATCTTGTCATGTGTTCATTGGCCATTTGTGCATAATATCTTCTTTGGTGAAATATCTGTTCAAGTCTTTTTTCATTTATTTTTAAGGGTTACTTATTTCCTTGTTATTGAATTATGTTATTCTGAAATTCTATCAGGTCTTTATCAGATATATGTATTGAGAACAATTTCTTCCATCTGTGGTTTTCTGCCTTGTTTTCTTAACAATGTCTGTTGATCAGTAAAAATTTATAATTTTGATGAAGTCCAATTTATCATATTTTTTCTTTTAGAATATAGGCTTTTTGGCCGGGCATGGTGGCTCACGCCTGTAATCCCAGCACTTTGGAAGGCCAAGGCGGGTGGATCACGAGGTCAGGAGTTTGAGACCGACCTGACCGACATGCTGAAACCCCGTCTCTACTGAAAATACAAAAAAAATTAGCTGGGTGTGGTGGCGCGTGCCTGTAATCCCAGCTACTCAGGAGGCTGAGGGAGGAGAATCACTTGAACCTGGGAGGTGGAGGTTGCAGCGAACAGAGATTGAGCCACTGCACTCCAGCTTGGGCAACAGAGGGAGGCTCCATCTCAAAAAAAAAAAAAAAAGGAAAAAAAATATATAAGCTTTTTGTGTTTACTAAAACTTCTTTGCCTAACCAAAGATCATAATTATGTTATCTTATGTATTCTAGAAGAGATGTGAATTTAGTTTAGGCTCAGGTCTATTCATTTTGAATTAATTTTTATGGGGTGAGGTAAGGTCAGATATCCAGTTATTTCAGCATCGTTTCTTGAAGAGATTTTTTTTTCTGTATTGAATTGCTTTAGCCCACTGGTTGGAAACCAATTGGCCATCTTAGTGTGTTCTCTGAACTCTGTTATGTTTCCTTGATCCGTATGGCTATACTTAACATCATTACCCTACTGTCTTGGTTATTATAGCTTTATAGTAAGTATTGAAATCAGGTAGTATAAGTTCTTTTGTAAAGTAGGTCCATTACATTTCCTTATAAACTTTAGAATCAACTTGATAATTTTTAAAAAGTTGGAATTTTGATTGGGATAACATTGAATCCATTCATCAATTTGGACAGAATTGCCATCTTAAGCCCTCCAGTTCATGATCACAGTACAGTTTTCCATTTATTTTGTTCTTCTTTAACTACTCTAAGTGATCTCTTAGAGCTTTCAAAGTACAAGACTTGTACTGATTAATCTCTAGGTACTTCAGATTTTTGGATGTTCTTATAAATGGCATTTAAAAACTTTAAAATTTTAATTGTTTATTGTGTATAGAGATGCAAAATTGATTTTTGTATGCTATCCCTATATCCTGAGACCTTGCTAAACTCACTTGTTTATTTTTCCTTATAGATTTTCCACGATTTCTTACATATCCAATAATGTCATCTGCAAATAAAGAATTTTCTTTTAAACTTTCAATCTGTGTGCCTTTAATTTCTCTTTCTTGCCTGACTGCAGTGGCTACCACCTCCAGGATGATATTGATTAGGAGTGGTACCAACGGTTTCCTTGCCTGGGGTTGCCAGTGTTAAGGGGAAGGCATTCAGTTTTTCAACATTATGATAGCTGTGGGCTTCACCTAGACATGTCCAAGCAGGTAGAAGAAGGACCCTTCTGTTTCTAGTTTTCTAAGTGCTTATTATTATTTTTGATATTGATATTGGCCAGCAGTGTATTACTCTTTTTTCCTACCCCTTTATATATTGCTGAATTAAATTTGCTAATATTTGGCTACACTTAAACTAGGGATATAGTCTGTAGTTTTTTCTTGTAATGATATTTCTGGTTTTGATTTCAGGGAATAACTGGTTTCACAAAATTGAGTTGGAAAGTGGTTCTGTTTCCTTTATCTACTTTCTTAAAGGTTTGATAGAATTTACCGAAGTTTTGTAGGTCTGGGAGTTTGTAGAAAGGCTTTGTAGGAAGGCTTTATTTTTTAATTTTTGTTTGTTTTTTTCTTTTTTTGTGCTTAAGTTTATGGAAGGCTTTAAATTATTAAATCAGTTTATTTTTTGCATCTCTTTACATTTTATTTATTCTTAAGTTGGTAATTTGTGTGTTTCACAGAGATCATCATTTTTACTTAAATTGTTGAATCATTTTGATAAGGTAGTTCATACTAGTCCCCTGTTATCTATTTTATATCTGTAATATTTATCATGAAATTTCCTCTTTTATTCCTGGTATAGGCAATTTGTGTTTTCTCTTTTTTCTAACTAAAATTAATAAATTTTACTGATCTTTCAAAAAAACCCTGATTTTCCTTTATTGTCTGTCTATTTTCTGTTTGTTTTTAACTCTTTATTTTCTTCTACTTTGGATTCAATTTGATTCATATGTCTTGCACACCCAAAACTATTTTCTGATTACATCATAGTATAATATTGTAAGACATCTTCCTTGTAAAACATTTGGACAAAAGTATTAGGAGAAAGTGAATTTCACCTAGATATGCACCACCTGTGATAACAAACATCAGCATTCGGGAGAGATTCAAACTTGTATCATTTTATGCAGATGAAATTATTTCATGCAACTTCATATTTTTTCTTCTACTTCCCTGTTCATTTTGCATCTTAATATCCCTCTAAAATTCTCTCTCAGCGCCACACCAAAATTATGAAAACTATAGTGTGTAAACTTTCATCTATTTCTCTATGCACACTTAATATGCTGGTGTATGTATTTTTTAGTTCATTCTTTTATAGAAGTACATTCATATTATAAGCATTTCACTACATCTTATTTTTTCTTATGCTTACATAAATTTCTTTCTTTCTTTTTTTTTTTTTTTGAGACAGAGTCTCCTTGTCACCCAGGCTGGAGTACAGTGGTGCGATCTCCACTCACTACAATCTCTGCCTCCCGGGTTCAAGTGATTCTCCTGCCTCAGCCTCCTGAGTAGCTGGGATTACAGGTGTGTGCTACCATGCCTGGCTAACTTCTTTGTATTTTTAGTAGAGATGGGGTTTCACCATGTTGGCCAGACTGGTTTCGAACTCCTGACCTCAAGTGATCCACCTGCCTCAGCCTCCCAAAATGCTAGGATTACAGGTGTGAGCCACTGTGCCCGGCATATAAATTTCTTATAATAAATATGGAATGAAAAAAAATAGACACAGAAATTCCCCGAAGCCCATTGGCATAGTTCTGTCTCATTCTGTGTAGTAGATGCCATGGCATTGTGCCAGAATCTGTCATCTCAGACCCAGTTTTATTTTACTTTCGATTCTTTTTTGGACACTTAAAACTAGGCTTATAAGACCCTCGTGTTTGTACACATCGAGTACTTATATAAGGTGCGTTTTGCTTTTTGGGATAGGAAAAGATAGAAAAATAGATGGATATATGCTTTTCTATATGTTGCTAGATTTAGTGAAGAAAATGGTAACAAGCCATACTTCTCACACTTCCAGCGGTGAATGAGCAAACCTTCTTCTCCCAGTGCTGAGGTAACACTCCCTTTCCCCCAGTCCTTGCTATCCGAGTATTCTGCAGCTCCTTGATTTTAGCAATTTGGACAATGTCTTTCCACTTCCTCCTATGATTGATGAGGATTTAATGATTTTGTATCACCAGGCCTTCCCTTTCAATATAGTTATATGACTATTTGCATTTTCATCAATAAACAGTGTTTTCTTTTTGGCATGCAGACGTTTCACATTTTCATGTCAACCAATATGTATGGTTTCTGCTTTGATGTCAGTCTCAGGGAGCTGTATTTCCTCCGCCTGTTCTAGACTGTTCCAATGTGTGGTTTTATTATCTGCTGGCACCACTTTCCCTAATTGCTCTTCTTTTTGTATGTATATAAGATTCCTGAAGAATTTTCAAATCTTTTTTTTTTTCAAATTCCTAAAATAACTTCATTAAGATTTGGATAAAAATGATGTTTTTAATTTAAGGAGAACTGATATTTTAGACAGCTGAATTTTGGAACAACAGGTGTAAATGCTCTTAAGTCTTCTTTCACGTCCTTGGGTGGCATACAGTGTGTAATGGAATGCCTCAGCGTGGGGCGGGTGTGTGTTTGTGTGTGTGTGTGTGTGTGTGTGTGTGTAGAGAAAAGATGTGCTAGTTGCTTTTCTTTATGGATAGATGCAGGAGATTGCCATAGAGGAAATCTACGTTGCCTTATAAATTGATGTCTCTTAATTAACCCCCACCTTGGCAAAATTAACATTCAGGACCTCAGTCGGACACATCCACTCAGCTCTTCCTTGAGAATGCAGGGCCTGGGGAAGGGGGTTACTATATAGTAGAAGGAGTCCAGGGTCTCCTGGTGTGGGGGAACCAGCACCTCAGCCTTTTCCTCCCTGGATTTGGGGCTGGGGAGATCTGTCAGGGCTTAGCAAGTTGGCACCGAAGTAAGTCAAGGGTCAGAAGAGGTAAGTCCCTGAAATAACTTTGTCCTGGTGGCAGAAAGAGATGGATCAGTAGACGAGGAGGAGAGGGGCAGTGGCCGTGAGCCTGGAGGAGTCAAAACCTTGATCTGTGTAGCCCATCTCTCCTCAGGCAGCCTCCTGGGGAGGGGATATGACTGTGGGATGGAAGAATCAGCCCCATGGTACTTCATGTGGACTCCTTCCACCTCTCTTCATCCTTCTGGTATCTGCAGTGGTTGGAAAGCTGACTGCGTTTCTAAGACACACATGCAACTGGTGTAGCCATATGACTGTCTGGGCTGGTGAGAAGGTAGAGGTGACATCTTGCCTGGATGCCTGCTTTTCCTTTCGGCTGGTAGGATGTGGAGACAGCTGTAGCCTCCACCCAGAGACAGCCATGCGCCCAGCATGGCAGAGCCGCCGGGCCAGCCTGGACCTCCAGCAGCATCATGCCATTGTCATGTACCTACTGCGGAGCTCTGGACTGTGACATGAGCATGATGTACACTGATAGCTCATTCATCTCGCTGTATTTGGGGTCAGTAACCTCATCAGAAACGTGAGCCTGCGGATGGGGATCTGCTGTAATAAAACCTTACAAAATGTGCGTTGGCCCAGCAGCCAGGGGCAAGCATGAAGAAACAGACATTGTGGGCTGTGAATATGATGGTCTTGTGAAGTCCTGGGAAGACGTTTGGTGGAAGTGTTACCCACATGGTCTGGAACCCGGACAGGAGGCTGTGGCTTGTGGAACCCATTGTTCCAGGAGAGGCAGTTCTGGGAAGAAGAAAGGCTTTGGTGAGTCCTGGTGTCTTCTTGCTGCTTCCAGCCAAGTACTGGGAGAGAAGGAGCCCAGGAGGGGACTGGGCGGTGTGCGGGCAGATGGATGCGATGGCAGGTGCTCTCGGTCCTTGGTCCAGTCATGTGAGGCCTCCCAGACTTGGATAAGAATGTGATTTGCCTGTCTTTTAAAAATCGATTTTTCAGCTTTAAAAATATATAATGTGGTTTTTCACCTTTCGTTGGTTTCAGGGGTTGCAAAAATCCCAGGCTGTGGCTTGTTGGTTTCCGCAGGCTTTTGCTGCAGGCTAAACCTTTTACCTGTCAGAGTATGTGTGGAGGGTTTCATGTCTTTACCCTCTATTTATCCTGGTGGAATTTGTGGAACTTTATAAATGTATGGCTTGCCTTGATGATGTCTTTCATTAGTTTTGGAAAATGTTACCGATGATCTCTTTAAACAGTGGTTTTTCTGTACTCTGGCTTTGGTTTCTCTCTGGATCTGCAGTTTGAGGCATGTTAGGTCATTTCCCTGAAGTCCAGCAGGCCTATCATGCTGTCTTCTGCAGTCCCCACCCTTTTCTTCTCTGTGCTTTAGTCGCGACATTTTCCATTGACCTGGACTCTAGTTCATGACCCTTTCTTCTGCTGGGTATCATCTGCTGTTAAACCCATCTGTTGAGTTCTTAATTTCAATTATTGTATTTTCCAGTTCTAAAATTCCCATTTGGTTCTTTTTAATAGATGTCAATTCTCTGGTGAGATTTCCCATTTTTCATTATTTTCCCCATCATTTCCTTGAACATATCCATAAACTATTTTAAATTCCTTACCCGGTAATTTCAATATGTGCATCAAAGGTGGGTGTATTTCTGTTGACTTGTTTCCCCTGACTTTTGGTCACTGAGTTCTGTCACGTTAATGTGCCTGGAATTCCCCTGCCCGCCCTGAATTCTAGACCTTGTATATGAACAGTTGTGAGATCTCTGGGTGTTGTCTGCTCCCAGAGAGGGTTCATGCTTTCTGTGCGAGGCAGATCAAGGAGGCGATGGTTGCCTTTCCCTCGCTGTGGTCTAAGCTGACTTGAGGCTGGGCCGTCAGCTGGGCTCTGTGTGCCTCTCCCCTCCTGGGGTCTCAGCCAAAGGCCGTGGGGATCAGCAGGCTCCTCTTCTCGGCAGGTGCTAATCTCCAAGCCTTGATTTTTCTAGAACTTGCTAAACATTCGCTACTGTGGCTTGGGGCTTTCTTTTTGGCTTGGTGCCTTTCCACCCCTTGCAGCCTCATAAGGCAGCGTATGTGTGAAGGAAAATGCTGACACCCGCCAGGACTGGTTTATCCCTCCCCTTCTCAGGGGGAACCTGGTCCCTCGAGTCTCTCATTTTAGTTCTCCATCCACATGAGCCTGCCGAAGCCTGGGTGGGGTCTCTGCCTCTCAGTCGTGGCCTCAGGACCGGCCCTTTGTGCAGACCGCAGTCTCGCTCTATATCAGGCTTGATGGGAGAAGCTGCAGGACGTGGCCCCCTCTCTGGGGAGCTTACCCTTCTCCGTGGTTTGGCCGTTTCAAGTCCTGTGGTCTCTGTGGTGCTTCAATGCTTTCAAACAGATCTTCGGGGTGTTTTTTTTTTTTTTTCCCCAGATTTTCTGTTTAATATTGGCAGGAGCACTGGCTCACCACAAGCAACCTCCTACATCAGCAACTTGAGCTTTTTCCAAATAAAAAAAATTTAAAACATCAATAATAAATAACTGTCCTCTTGGAAGCTGCAAGGGAAAAGCAACCCTATACTGATTTGAAGAATTAGACAGGCACCTAGCAGTGAGCTGAAATTTCATCATGCCCTGCTGTGAGTTTTTGATTCTTCCCCCGACCCTTTTTTTTTTTTTTTTTTTTGGAAAAAAAAAAGTCAGGTTAAGAAAGTTCCTTTCTATTTTGTATATTGTTTAAACACATGAATGATTGTTAATTTTATAAAATGATTTTTCTGAATCAACTGAGGAGAGCATATGTCTTTTCTTCTTTAATCTGTTAGGTTAACTTAGTAGTTACTTTGTAGATATTCTGGTGTTGAACCATTTTCACTCTTGGGTTAAATCCCACGTTGCCATGATAAATGATCTGTATACACGGCTGATGTGCTAATATTGAGTTTGGAATTCTTGCGTGTGTGAGCAAGAGCAGGGATGGCAAGTGACGTTTTCCTGCATTTTCCCGCTCTGGTTCTAGTGTTAATGTTGCTGGCTGCGTTAAACGGGTCGGACCCTCCTCTGGCCCTGCTCGTCTGTGAGCCTGGTTTACCTGGTACCTCGGGGATGCTGTGTCATGGTTGTCGTGCTGTTTTCAAACTCCACTACTCTCAGGTTTCCTTTTTTTTTTTTTTTTTTTTTTTTTTTTTTTTTTTTTGAGATGGAGTCTCGCTCTGTTGCCAGGCTGGAGTGCAGTGGCGCCATCTCGGCTCACTGCAAGCTCCGCCTCCTGGGTTCAAGCAATTCTTCTGCCTCAGCCTCCTGAGTAGCTGGGATCATAGGCATGCACCACCACGCCCAGCTAATTTTTGTATTTTTAATAGAGATGAGGTTTCACCATGTTGTCCAGGCTGGTCTTGAACTCCTAGCCTCAAGTGATCCACCCACCTCAGCCTCCTAAAGTGCTGGGAATACAGGTGTGAGCCACCATGCTCAGCCAGCTTTCCATTTTTGTATCACCTTTGGTTCATAGAGTTATTTAGCTAAATTTGAGCTTGATCATGTTTTTTTTTTTTTTGGCAGGGGGTGGGGCGGGGGGTGGTGTGGTTGGTAGATTTTATCTGTCATGGTAAATGTTTGGGCCTGAGAGGGAACCTCAAAACTGATGCTATAATGACATCTTGGCAAGAAGCCCGCAAGAGGACATTTATTTATTTTTGAATGTTTTAAACGTTTTTGTTTGGAAAAGGCTCAAGCGCAGCAGGAAGGTTGAAGAATGCTGTGAGGAGCACACGGGTGCAGATAATCGTTGGTGAGCGTTCTTGCCATGTTGAACTGATGTGTGTACAACTTCTCTGCTGAACTGAGAAAAGCACATTTTGGATGTTGTCACTTTGCTCCTTAGTGCAACATGCACCTCCAAGAGAGTCTTTCAGAGCTTGGAGAAGACCCAGTTTCTGATGGATGAGAGATCTCGCCGTGCAGCCACCCCTTCCCTTCATCCTCATCATCATCCGTGTTCACTTCCGTGATTTCTAACTGCTGGAAGGACAGCAGTTGCAGCACAGGAGGCTTTCCAATGATGACGGACCGGGAGGCAGCCCTCCCGTGGTTTTCTGCTGCTGTGTCTGTTTCCTGGGCAACAACAGCTTTGTGCCACGTTTCTCAGTCTCCTCCCCAAGAGATCCTGTGTGCATTTCATCTGTTACTCTACAGGGAACACCTGAATTTAAAATTGTTAAAACGCTGTAGTAATGAGTTTTCTCAGGCCTGTAACTGATGTCAGGAGACCTTTCCGGCCCATTCACGAAATGTGTCAGATATAGAATAAGTCTAACACAAAATTCACAAATATATGCTTGGATAAAAAGGCCATCATACTGAGAAAAAAAATATTACCTCAGTGCCAACAAATTAAAAATAATTTTATATCCAAATTGTTGACTAAGGTATTCCCAGGTTTCTCACATCCAGGTTTTTATGCTAAAGTTCTTTATAAAAAGAAAATTTTTAATTTTTTTTACTTCGGAATACACACCTGTTTGCTTTACTCATTTGAATTTGATGATGTGTTTTCAAAGAGTGATTGAATGAAACCTGTACTTATCTTGTGTGTGTTTTCTGGTGTTCTGTGTAATGAGCAGGAAGCCTCATTAGTATTGAATGCATATGCCCCCGTATTACCTGGTGTGATCTCTGGCCAGGCGGTGCATGTCCAGAGGCCTGAGTAGGAGGTGGGTAAACCAGTTCCCCGATTCTGGCCTACCACCAAGGCTTGGTCAGACAGAGTCAAAACAAATACTTATTAAATTAAATCAAATAAGTGGGTTCTGGTAGTTGGGTTGGTTGGAGCGTTTACTGTGCAAGGAACAATGGAAATGCAGATGGGGTCTCTGCATTTCCGTTCACTTTTCTCCCAGTGTGGAGTGGTAGATTGCCTTCCTGTTCCCTCCTTTACTCCTCCTTAGACTTCGGGTTATTCACATGACTTCACACATGTGACTCTGCAGCTCCACCTGCTGAAGGGGTGCTTTGCATTTTCCTGCCCTGGACTTTGGATTCAGATGTGTGAGTTGCATTGACGTATGGAACGGGGCATAAGCCTAGAACTCAGAGGCCTTTTTTCCCCCAGCCTCTTGCACTTCTTCCTTTGTGTTGGGGACTTGCCCAGGATAGCCCACTTCCTTTGAGTTGGGACCTGGCCCAGGATAGCCCACTCTTCCCAGGAAGAGACTGGAGGAGCAGAGGTGAGCTGCTCTAGCTGAACCCAGCCTAGATCGGCTGACCCCTAGCTGACCTTCAGGTGTGTGGGAGCCACGGAAGCGCCTTCTGTGTGCTGTGCTGGAGTTCTGTGGTTGCCTGGGTCTGTGCCTACAGGTAACTGTTAGTGTTAACCGAGGACGCCTTGAGACAGAGAGGCACTGTCTTTGTCTTAATGTGATACAAAATGTGTTAACTGACAATGCGACAGGCTTTCTATTTCCTTTTAATAGTCTTCCTAATGAAAATAATCCAAGAACTGTAAATATGAAAAGTTTGACCTCAGACTTGAGGCCTTTACTTTACAGAAGAAGAATGGGCTCGTGATTTAAAGTTGGCCTGAGTGGGGCTGGAACCCTGGCCCTGGAACGCCTGGAAGCTGCAGACTCTCTTGTATGATGAGAAAAGGCGCTAGGACCACCCAGTTGTGTTCTGCACATGGAAAGTCTAACTCAAAAAGCAGCCTCCCTTGCTGGAGTCCGTCCGTCTATGGAGGAACCGTCAACGTTTTAAATAGTTTAGTCTTTGTGCGCGGTTGGCCGTGTGCTGGTTCCTGGGGCCCCAGGTTTGACCCGAGAAGTGGCAGGGCTGTGCTATCTCCCGAGTTCCTAGGCACAAGATGTCACTATTGTGCTGACTGTGGAGATAACGTTCTTGTTGAAATTTTAATGCCTTTAATGGTTTGCCTTTTTAGCCCAGAGTGAACTAATCAGACAGCCTCTGCTAGGACATAAATCATAGCATATTTCTGAGGAAACTCGGGTGAAATAAATCAAGGAATTTTTTTTTTAATCAGCTCTTCAATCACTCTTTTTAGTCACGTAGAAAAATGGTCCATGCTGTATTTACAGTTTGATGGTAAGGAGATGTTTAACATCAATGTAGGAGATTAAAAATGACAAGTTATATGGTGAAGAGTGTGAAAAGGTGTTTACACTGACATGCAATATCTCGGCTGATCTACAACTCAATAATAGATACCATAAATCTCACCGCAGGCCCATGAGGCTGCGCGCGGGAGAAGCAAACATGACGGGTCGGCGGCTCTCCCACCCGTGGGCAGGCCTCGCTGCCCAGCTCCAGCCAAACCTCGCAGAGCCACCTCGCAGCTCTCCGGAGCGGGCCATGGCGCAGCCTCCCAGCGGCCACAGGCAGCGCTTCTCACATGTGCGCGTGCCCGGTGCAGGTTCGCCCACTCTGCCTCTCCTTTCAATGAATTGGAATGCCTTCCTGATTCTGTGAGTGAAAAATCAACCTGAGAAAATAATGTTTTATTCCACCTCTAGTCCCAAACACATTCTAGTTCTTTGTTTAATCAAACAAAAATCTTCATCAAAAGTGTACTTACCCTACTTTTTTAATAGACATTACTTTTTACATTATTATTATTATTATTATTATTATTATTATTACTATTGAGATGGAGTCTTGCTCTGTCGCCCAGGCTGGAGTGCAGTGGCACCATCTTGGCTCACTGCAGCCTCCACCTCCCGGGTCCAGGCGATTCTCCTGCCTCAGCCTCCCAAGTAGCTGGGATTACAGGCACCCGTCACCACACCCAGCTAGTTTCTGTATTTTTCAGTAGGGTCAGAGTTTCACCATGTTGGCCAGGCTGGTCTCGAATTCCTGACCTCAGGTGATCTGCCCTCCTCGGCCTCCCAAAGTGCTGGGATTACAGGTGTGAGCCACTGTGCCTGGCCACATATTGTTTTTAATTGACAAATAATTGTGTATACTTTTGGGGTAAACTGTGATGTTTTGATCTAGGTAATACATTGTAGAAAGATTCAATCAAGCTAATTAACATATCCATCACCTCACCAACTTATTTTTTTGTATGTGATAAGAATGTTAAAAATCTATTCTTTTAGCAATTTTGAAATATACAGTATGTTATTATTAACTGTGGTTGCCATGAAGCACATTAGATCACTAGAACTTCTTCCTCCATGCGAAGGGAGACCTTGGATCAGCATCGTCCTCTCCCCACCACCACAGCCTCTGGGGCAAAAATCACCTTTCTGCTTCCAGTGTCTATGAGACTGACTTTTTAAATTTCACTGTAAGTGAGGTCACACAGTATTTCTTTCTGTGCCTGGATATTTCCCTTAGCATAATGTCCTCCTGGTTCATCCTTATTGTTGCAAATGACAGAATTTCCTTTTATATTTTCTTAAGGCTGAATAATATCCCATTGCGTATATATGCCACGATTTTTTTTTTGAGCGGAGTCTCACTCTGTTGCCCAGGCTGGAGTGCAATGGTGTGATCTCGGCTTACGGCAACCTCCACCTCCTGGGTTCAAGCGGTTCTCCTGCCTCAGCCCCCAGAGTAGCTGGGGGTACAGGTGTGCGCCACCACACCTGGCTAATTTTTTGTATTTTTAGTAGAGACGGGGTTTCACCATGTTAGCCAGGATGTTCTTGATCTCCTGACCTCGTGATCTGCACGCCTCAGCCTCCCAAAATGCTGGGATTACAGGCGTGAGCCACCATGCCCGGCCATATACCACGATTTCTTATACATTCATCTGTCGATGGACACTTAGGTTATTCCAAATCTGGACTATTGTGAATAGTGCTGCAATAAACCTGAGAATGCAGGTATCCCTTCTGCATACTGATTTCATTTCCTTTGGGTCTTTCCCCCGCTGTGGGATTGCTGGATTGTATGGTAGTGCTACTTTTAACTTTTTGAGGAACCTCCATGCTGTCTTCCAAAATGGCTGTACTAGTTTACATTCCTACACACAATGTGCAAGCTTCCCCCTTCCCTACATCCCTGCCAACACTTGCCATTTGTGTTTTTCGTAATAACCTTCTAACAGGCGCGTGGTGATATCCAGTGGTTTTCATGTGCACCTCCCTGCTGACTTGAGAAGTTGTGCATCTTTAATGTACCTGTTGGCTGTGTGCATCTCATCCTTTAAGACGTGTCTGTTTGGATCCTTTGCCCATTTTGTAATCAGGTTCTTTGTTTTCTTGCTGCAGGGTAGCTTGAGTTCCTCATGTATTTTGGATGTTTAGCCCCTCACCAGATGGATGGTTTACGGATATTTTCTCATTTTGTGGTTTGCCTCCTCACTCTGTCGATCGTTTCCTTTGCAGCACACATTCCAGTTCTTGCAAAAGAATTGTAGATGGTGGATGGTTTTGGATTTTGATTTTATTTTAAAAATGAGTGATATTTATTATATAAAACATTCGATGTAAAAACTTGACAAACCCCAGGATTATTAAAATGATATGTAAAGTAGAAATAAGTTTACTGTAAGTGAAGCCTCAAGGGCTCGCTTACAAGCTTTTATGCTTTAGCCTTTTAGGGCCATCCTTTCCCCATTTCCCTTTTCAACAAAAATGAAAATCCTATAAACAAAATCAGCATTTACTTTCACTTGCACACGTGCACATACGCGCGCATGCACACACACACACACACACTCTGGCATGTTTCCTGGGTCACACTGTGTTACAGGCTGATGTTTTCTGAATTGGGACGGAGAGTGGTTGGTATCAGCCTATTCACATTCTCTTGGCCGCCGTTGCACTTGATGCCAATAGGAAGGAGTTATGAGAGAATGATCGAGGTTAGTAGTAGGTTCCGGGTATCAATACTTTTTAGAATTTTTGATTGTATTCGGTAAGTATTTATTGAGTACCTATCATAGACACAGCCAAATAGTAGCTGCTGTGAAGAATGTAAAAGCCATGAAGCCACGGCTGTTGTTCTAGGAGGTTGTAATTCGTTGAGAAAGGCTATAGTATAGTGCTAATCAAATCACATTAGAACCAACTAAGCTGGCTTAAGCCCATCAACAAAATAAAAAGATATGACCATAGAAGAATAATGACTATAAAAAAGGATTTTTTTCTAATAGCACATTATAATGTTTTAAAACTCAACTTCATAATAGCATACAATGTAAGGATTTCCATAGCATATCACTTCTATCCTTTCCCAACTCTCCTCCACCTGAAAATTCCACTTAGCACGGCGGGAGCTGGTGATGCCAGTGGAACCCCAGGGGCTGGTGTTTGGCGTTCTGCTCTCTGGCTGGCCTTCATGCCAGCGCCCTGCCACCTGCTTCCTGGCCTGCCACACCACCTTGGGAAGAAGCCTTCTGTGCTTCTGACTTTCTGCTTCGTGTGGCTACTATGTGAAACCTGGGGTCTCCAGGGGCCTGCTCCCACAGGCTCAGTGAGCAGAGGGAGTTTCCCAGCCTGCCCATGACTGCCCCCACCCTCTCCCTGCTTCTCATGGGGTCTTCCCAGGTCTGGAGTCGCAAGCTGGTCCTCATGTCTTAGCTTGTCCCATCTATGCTGTTAGCTCCATTTACCTTGGGTTGTGATATTATTTCCCAATTTCCTGCATGGTATTTAATAGCGAAACATTAGAGAAAATCCTGTTAAAAACATAGAAAAACACGAATGCCTAGGATTCCCGTTATTATTTATTACTATTCTGAAAAATCCAAGCAATTGCAAGAACAATGTGGTAACTAGAATAAAATTTTAAAATGGAGGAAAAAAGGAATCAGTATTTTAAATATTAGGACTGAAAGTTCTAAAAGGAATCAAGTTAAAAATGATTGAATTTGATTGCTGGATGTGTAATAACTACACAGATGTCAAGATTATTACTATATTTGGGAACAACTTGTGGGTAATACAATGAAAGATAAATCCTGCTATGATAAATCTTTGTGTGATGTCTAGGAATGCCATTAGCCACGTCTATCATTTTCAGACCTATTGACTGCACTTTTAAGGGCCCTGCCGCCTGTGCGTTGCCCTGGCAGGGGCGACCTCGGCGTCACATGATGCAGACACCACACTGCTGCCTGGCGGCTCTCCTGCACCTCCCTCATGTCCCAAACCGATGGGTCCCGGAGCGAAGTGGCTGACCCACACCTGCCACCAATTCTCTCTCTGCTGAATTTGAATGAAGAGACACAGAGACTATACAGGCTAGTTCAGTGGTGATGGTGGGGGGGCGTGGCACGGAGGTGAAAATTCATGCAGAGTTGGTGGGAAAATGGACCACAACAAATCAAATCCCCGTGCCAACTAAATTCACAGAGAAGCAGACACCTCGAGCAAGCCGAGAAGCTGGTCTGAAGAGAGACACTCAGGACCAGAGTGGATTCACCAAGCAGAGCAGAGACTGAGACGTTGTGTGTGTGTTGCTGGGTGGAGGGGGAAGAAGGGGAGAGGTGGGGAGAGAGAGAGGGACAGAGAGAGAGAGAGAAGGAGGAGGAGGGAGGGGAGAGAGAGGGGAGGGAGAGGGGAGAGAGAGAGAGAAAGAGATAGAGAGAGGGAGAGAGAAGCAGGGGGAGGGAGGGGAAGAGAGAGAGAGAGAGAGAGAGAGAGAGAGAGAGAGAGAGAGAGAGAAGAGCTTTGGCCCTGGCTATCTTGTTCCAGCCCCTGGGGTGCTTGTCTATATTGTGTGTTCTGTCTTTGAATTCCTTGAGTTCCATGAGGTATATTCTACAATAAAATCTCTTTTTCTTGTTAATTTGAGTGGCTTTTCTTGTTTATTGAAGCCAAAGATTTTCCTGCCTAAAATAATATTAAGAAGGAAAGTATAGAACATATTAGAGGAAAGCAATCATTTATTTTAAGAAAAGATAGAAACAGAATAAATGGAGAAGCATTCCATGTTGATGCAGTGGGAGATGAATACTATGGAGATGGCAGTTTTCCTAAAATTAATTGTTAGGACTAAAATAATCAATGAAAATGGGATTAAGCTTCCTCTTCTTCATGTTTTTGAGATTGCCAGAATGATTTTAAAGTTCATCTGATGGAATAAACCTAATAAGAAATAATGCTAATAATAACAATGAACGTTTACTTAGTGACTACCGGTACTAGATTCTTTTTAACTAATTTCCATGTGTTCAGAAGAGAATGGCCATGAATAAACATGACATTTTAAAAAAGAAAGGGCGGTGAGGAGACACAAATGCTACAAAATATTAAAGCCTCTATAAAGGTGGTAATCAAACATTTGTGGTATCTGTTCAGGAGAATAAGTTCAAAATCAGAGAGTCTCACAAGTGCTCATTTTGAATTTATTTATCTTTATATTATGTAAAGGAAAATGTCATATATTCTATATGTTGCAGTTGGCTACTAATTTTAAATATTGTCTTAAAAGGTCAACTTAGATGCTGACTTTATTCTCCCAAATGAATTACATTTAGATGAGGTAAAAATGTAAAAAACATCAGGCCATAAAAAATGGAAAAATACTCTCATGGTCTCCCCCAAATCTTCTCTGGGCCACACATTTCATTTCAGCTCAGCCACTTTTCATTAATTCTGATTCCCAGACTTTTCTCCATTCTGACTACACCATAAAGGGACTTTACCCCTCGATGAATGACTTTAGCTATCATCTCTCGAACTGTTTTAAATAGGCAAATGTCATTGAATTATCACTCATTTGCAAAATGGAAAGTGACTTGGAGGTGGATTATACTGCAGGCAGAAAGACCAGCCAGGAAATTACTGTAGTCCAGGAAAGCCAGTGGTGGCTTGGGTTAACGTGCAGATCATGAACACACAGAAATATTCAAGAGTTTGTGAAGGATGGGACATGAGGTTCTGGAAGAGGGAGGAGCTGGGCAGCTGGGAGTAGTGGTGCAATTCACCAAGACAGGAAAGGTGCAGAAGCAGGCTGGGTGGAGAAGCTCATGTGTTCATTCTTCGACATGCTGAGTTTGAAGTGCTCTGGAATACCCAAGTGGAGACATGTAATAGACAGCTAGACATGTGTGTTTGAGTTTCAGGAGACCAGTCTTGAAAGGAAATATAGATTTTGGAGTTACTGGCATATAGATAATAACGGAAGCTTTGGAGATTGAGTGGCAGTGGTTGAGGTGAGTAGTAGAGAACCCACAGAGCTGGGCCCCCTGAAAACACACACTCTGGGACCTTAGCCGTGCAAGGTAAGAGCTGCCATGAAGCATGCAGTGGCAGAGATAGGGGCTATTCGTGGCCCCACTAGCAGGAATTCCTGTTTGCCAAGGTGAATTTGGTGGCTGATGTTCCAACAGCCAGCAAGAAAAGTCATGGGTGAGCCCCTGATGTGACTCTGTTCCTCAAGGGACCTCTGACCACCTGGAGACAAACTGGCTTTATTGCACCCTTTCTGTCTGGGAGGAATGGCAGCTTGGCCTCATGGTAGCAGTCACCCATCCTGGGTGCTGGTTTTCTGTTCCTTCTTCAAAGCTTCAGGCAATACCACTGTCTGAGTATCAGGGGCACAGGCAGGGACTCTAATGGAACCTCAGGGAATCACAGGGAGGGAGGGTGTATTAGTCTGTTCTCACGCTGCTAATAAAGACACACTCGAGACTGGGTAATTTATAAAGGAGAGAGGTTTAATGGACTCACAGCTCCACGTGGCTGGGGAGGCCTTACAATCATGGCTGAAGGCAAAGGAGGAGCAAAGTCACATCTTACATGGTGGCAGACAAGAAAGTGTGTGCAGGAGAACTATCCCTTACAAAACCATCAGGTCTCGTGAGACTTATTCACTATCACGAGAACAGCACAGGAAAGACCCGCCCCCATGATTCAATTACCTTCCACTGGGTCCCTCCCATGACACGTGGGAACTATGGGAACTACAATTCAAGATGAGATTTGGGTGGGAACACAGCCAGACCATATCAGAGGGGCAGGAGGGCCCCTGCCACAGGACCTACTGGAAGCATCATGCACCTGTCCACGTGCTTGAGGCCTGATAGAGCTGGGGGGTGTTGGCTGAAACCCCAGCTCGAGGGCAGTACTCTGTGAGGCGGCAGGCTATGCCCAGAATCTGAGCTCTCTCTGTGGCACTGTGTTCCCAAGGGAGCCCAGGAACCAGGGGTGGAGAAAGGAGTAGCCCCACTTTCATCCCTCCTCTTGGCCCATTGGGAGACTTGGTGCTTCCTCTTCTTGCCACTGTTCATCTGATGGAATAAACCTAATAAGAAATAATACTAATAATAACAACGAACATTTACTTAGTGACTACTGGTATTAGATTCTTTTTAACTAATTTCCATGTATTCAGAAGAGAATGGCCATGAATAAACATGACATTTTAAAAAAGAAAGGGTGGTGAGGAGACACAAATGCTACAAAACATTAAAGCCTCTATAAAGGTGGTAATCAAACATTTGTGGTATCTTCAAGGCTAGTTCTAGTCCCCCAAGAGTGAGAATTCTTGCTAGTGGTCATAGCTGGGGTCCTACTGGATGATAGGCCAACAGCTCCCTCTGTGCCATTTTTGCACAGGCTGGCAGAGACTCTCGAGCTGTGCGGCAGCTGTGGGACCTTGTGCCTCCAGCCTCCTTCCTCATCCTGCAGCAGGTCAGGTCTGCAGTTCAGCTGCAGGCTCTCCCCTCCTGCTCCTGCTCCCTCTCTCTTACTCACAGGCACTTCCCTGATCAAACTCACACACTTCCAACTCTACTTTTGATTCAGTGTCACCGAGGCTGTGAGCTGACCCAGCTGGCTAGGTTGACATTGGGACATAGTTTTGTATCTCTGAGATGTCCTGAAATGAAGGAATTGCTTTGAATAATAGGAAGATATTATTCTTCTTCCACCAAACAAATTTGAGGAAAGTTTGCTCTGGGGAAGATTTTCAATGTTCCATTAAGGAGCATCATTTGAAAAGATACAGGGAACATAAACCCTTAAAAAACTCACAGTTGAGGGAATCTCACTGAAGCAGAAAACAGGCTAAAACCTGGGGAGGGTCTTAACAAGGCTGAAGTTTGCCAGGCATGGTGGCTCACACCTGTAATCCCAGCACTTTGGGAGGCCAAGGCGGGTGGATCACGAGGTCAGGAGATCGAGACTATCCTGGCTAACACAGTGAAACCCCGTCTCTACTAAAAATACAAAAAATTAGCCAGGTGTGGTGGCGGGCGCCTGTAGTCCCAGCTACTCTGGAGGCTGAGGCAGGAGAATGGCATGAACCTGGGAGGCGGAGCTTGCAGTGAGCCGAGATCACGCCACTGCACTCCAGCCTGGGTGACAGAGCAAGACTGTCTCAAAAAACAAAAAAAACAAGGCTGAAGTAGGGCAAGAACAGGCTCCATGCTGCATGGATGGGAAGTGCACTGATGGGGCTGGTCTAATCATGAGATGCAAAATCAGATCAAATGATTGAGCAGCAGGAGGAATTTGGGCCTCCTTGAGCCAAAAATACTTCCATCAAAACTTTGCCTCTTCTTTTGGGTTTCTACCCCAGTAACTTACAAGTGTTTATCTGGCTTTTGACTTTGTCTGGATTCTTGAGTTTTAATTTTGTGGGTAAGGCCAGAATGCTTCCTTCAGGAAGGGCTTGACTCCAGGGAGGTAGGACAGAGCTGTGTCCTGCAGGTGGGTTAGACTGAGGACTGTTCTGGAAGACTCCTGAAGATTCACCGAGCCTCCCGTGGGAGCCCTTGGAATTCTCGTATCAGACACATGTTACGTTTTCCACAATTTCCTGGTGAAATGCAAAAAGACCCCTATGTATCTCAGAGAAGTAGCTGCATTGACATCCACTGACACCTCAAGAGGACTTGGGAGGCAGAGGACTGTTGATATCAGGTCCTGAAGGGGAAAGATACAAAAGCCCACATTTACCGATCTCACACCTCCCCACTCCACCTGAAGCTTCAAGCTGCTTCTAAACAGCGAGGATATCAACCCCAGAGCTCTCAAAGCGAAGTCTTGACTAACTCAAACTTTGCCTTTCCTTTGAGAAGTTAGAAGCCCTTCCTCAATGAACAGAATTTGTCTTTATAGTGTATTTGTGAAACGGAATGTGATGATGCATGATCCCCATTTTATAGTTGAGAAAGTCAAGTCGTCAACAAGCCGAGTCACTCTTGGGAGTCTTGGATTTTACCCAATGCTCTGTCTCCACTAGGCGATGCTGTCTTGTCACATGTTCAAATCTAGTGCCTCAAAAGAAAACACACTTAAAAGAAGAAAGCACCGAGGCAGAGGAAACATCGGGAGGTGTTCTGGAATACAGCATGATACGTTTTAAGCAGATTAGGAGGATTCTCTGCTAATGAGGGGAATTCCAGGCGTGCCCAGGAAACATCTTTCATAACCTGCCTTTATGTTTGGCCTCATGCGAAGTTTTGTTTTGTTGCCAGAGCATTTTCTAGGGTCATGCCAACTCTAATGAAGGTAGCCCGTGATCTGAAAACTTTGACGGTTGATGAATCTTTCTGATGGGAACACAAAGGCACAGACACTCAGAAAATCCTCAACACAAACGATGAAGGTAAATAGCATATCATTTCCTAAATTGCTTAATAGTATTTGGTCATAAATATCTTGGTAAGTCTTAAAAGATTTGCAAAGAGTTCACAGGAAAATCAGGAACCTGAAACTTATTGCTTCAAGCAAAAGTCTCTTTTCCTAGTAAAGAAACCAGGAGATCGTCTTTTTTTTTTTTTTTTTTTTTTTTTTCCTGCAGACTAATTTCAGCCCAGAAGTAGTAACTTCTTTATTTCACCATGGTATCAGGTTTGTTTGATTTTCAAAAAATACATTTTAAAAATTTTCATCAAGTCTACAACCAACTTGTTTGTAAGTGGTCTGTAACCTTTTGGGCAGAGAGGCTTTCTGACCCACACTGGCTTTGCTGCACCTGCTGAGGCCAGTTGCGTTGAATGAAAGGCTGTTAGAGGCACACTGGTGGGATCTGAGGCCTCACTGCCACTCCCTAAAGGGACACAAGGGTCTTTCCCGACATGGGAATCACATGTCCAGGTGGAAGCTGAGGAGCCAAGCCTCTTGGCTGAGGGTTCCTGTTTGGGCCCTGGCCCAGTGCCGGGAGTGGGATGGTGGAGTCAGGTCGGCCTTGGCCAGCTGGTCTTGCTGTGGCGCTATGCAGTTCTCTGGGTTTTGTGTAACAGACCATATATCAACTTAAGGGCATTGTTATGAAAGCAGAGACTGCTGCCGACTGTGAGTGTCCGAGACATGGCTTTGAAGAGTTCACATCCCGGGATCGATCTCTTCATTCTCTTAGAGATCTGCATTAATAAGGTCTGTGTGCATTTTGCCACATTTTTTAATGTAGAACCTGGTTTATTTGTAATGAAGCAGTGAGAACATGGTCTGTTGAGTGGAACTCAGGTCTGAGGAGCCCTCTTCCTTCTGCCTTCACTGCCCCAGGTGAGGTCCGGCCGAGACAGAACACAAATACAGGGCCCATTTACAGAGGGACGGGTGAGTTTAGGGAACAGACACGAGAAACTGAGGCACCCAGAGAGCACTGGAAAGGGTTCTGCTCCCCAGGGCTGGCCTGGCATGGAGGGGACAAAGTGTGCGGAGCCCAGGGAGGGCCGTTCGCATGAGGCCCAGTCTTGGATGCGGCACTTGGTCGTCTGCTGCCTGTGTCTCCCGTTGGACTGGACTAGCAGCCCGAGGTCCCGGGGGTCCAGGTGATGCGGCTGTAGAGGTGGTCCTAGGGGCACAGAGCCATCAGAGGAGGGTCAGCATGGGTGGAAAGAGGATGCCAGGCCACAGAGGAGGGTCAGCACGGGTGGGCAGAGGAGGACAGGCCACAGAGGAGGGTCAGCACGGGTGGGCAGAGGATGCCAGGTCACAGAGCTGATGGGAAGGATGAGGCACGGACGCCGTGGTGGCCTCAGGAATGGAATGATGGCCCCGTGGGCCCATTTCTAGCGTCCTTTGCACACCTCCTGTGCATTTGTCCCCACAGATAAACTAGCACAGGGACTCAGATTCTGCCTAAAGAAGCAGCGTTCTCCACCTCAAAAGATTTTTGCCTGGACTTCAAGGTCCCTTTCTGTTCTCAAATCTATGAGATCCTGAATTCTAATCCCAAAGCACTTTTCAAGTGAGGCTGTAACTCACACAGGTCCTGCAGCTACACTTGCAGGTGTGAAACCCTCTCATAACACCCCAGTGAAAACTGTTTGCGTTGCGTTGTGGCCTCTGTTCCATCCTCTCAGCCCAAAAACAAAATGCTAATGAAGACCACTGAAGAGGAAGTCATCACCATTTAGAAAACCAGCATGGTATTTTCTTTTTTGCTGAAGGACTTAATTATTATGAGAAATGATAATTAAAATTGTAGTTTACCTTGGAAGTATTGAGAGATTTTTAGTTCTCTCATAAACTTATGAGCAATTAGATAGGAAAGAGTCTCTTATAATGACTTTTAGTAAGAAGAGAGAGTAAATTCAACCTGGTACTTAAACAAAATTAAAAAAATTATTGATTTTTCATCCATATAAATGAACATGGGGCTAGGGAGAGCCACCCCCTTCCCATGTTTTCCCCTCCTTGTGTTCCAATGTGCCTGAGCCCCCTCATCATTCATTCACATGGGCTGCTGCTCCCATCCTTCAAAAAAGGGAAATGTCATCTGGTTGGGCTGGAGCAGCTGCAGTTTCATGTACATTTTGGAAGGCGTGGACTGAGGCTTGTCTGTGTTATTTGAGGAACATGTTATGGATGGAATGTTTGTACCCCACCCCCCAGATTCCTATGTTGGTGCCCTAACCCCCAATGTGACTGTGTTTGGAGATGGGGCCTGTGAGGAGGTGATAAAGGTTAAATGATGTCATCAGAGTGGACCCTGGTCTGACAGACAGGACTAGTCCCTTCTAGCAAAAGGAAACATCAGAACTCTCTCTGCCAGGTGAAGACACAGCAAGAAGGTGGCCATCTGCAAACCAGGAGAAGAGCCCTCACCAGGAACCACCCTGGCACTTGGACTTCCAGCCCCCAGGACTGTGAGAAAGTAAACATCTGCTGTGTCATCCACTTGGTCTGGGCTACTTCATTGTGGCAGCCTGAGGTGGCTAATACAGAAAGATAAAGAAGTTCACAGAGTCAGATGCAGATAAAGTGGAGATAAAAGAGAAGAGACTTCTGCTCACTGGGAAGGATATGGGCTCCCTGTGGAAGTAAGGAGCACACATAAAAAACCATGGAGATGCTAACCACGGATCATACAGTTTTCTATAGAAACCCTTTCATTTCTCAGCCGAGACCCCCTATCTAAGTAGGCCCCAGTCTCTGATCTCTCACCTTCCCACACAGGCCCCTGCTGCTGCACTGGCATAGCGGAATCTGTTTCCACATCTCGCCATATTGGTCCTCTTATAGGCCTTGGTGGTTACACGGCCCAATTCATCCAAGGCAGAGCAGGCTGCATTTACAACA
Organism: Homo sapiens; assembly: GCF_000001405.40. Lineage (NCBI taxonomy): Eukaryota > Metazoa > Chordata > Mammalia > Primates > Hominidae > Homo > Homo sapiens. The sequence continues at coordinate 156,531,810 of NC_000007.14, read as the reverse complement.
ATTAATAAATTCTTTTCTGTTTTTCCACTTTCATTATTAATCTGATGAATAGTTAACTATTCCTGTACCTGTATGTGGTTCAAACCTTACTCCAAGAATCCAGAACTGTGTCTCTGTTTACCTCTCTAAATGGAGATGTGTTCAATTTGTCCATATTCACCTGTTATGGGCTCAGTCATGGCCCCATAAAATTCATATGTTGAAGTCCTGATCCCCAGGACTTCAGAAGGTGACTGTGTTTGGAGACGGGTCTCTACAAAGATAACTAAGTTAAAGTGAAGTCACTGGGATGGGCCCTAATCCAATCTGACGGGTGTCCTTATAAGAAGAGGAGATTAGGACACAGACATGCACAAGGATGACTATGGGAGGACACAGGGAGAGGACGGCCACCTACAAGCCAAAGAAGGAGGCTTGGAAGGAACCAGCCCACTGAGACTTTGATCTTGGACTTCCAGCCTCCAGAACTGTGAGAAAATAAATTTCTGTTGTTTGAGAGCCCAGTCTATGGAACTTCATTATGGCAGTTCTAGCAAATGGATGCATTATCTTACAGGAGCCAGCTAACAGGGAGCATGGCATGTCACATGGTCCCTGGATATATGCCATCTTTGGGAGTTACTCAGATTGGTTCATTTAATCATTTATCCAACAACTATCTATGATATATCTGGCACTAGTAACATACAGTGAACATTACAGCCAGAGGCCTCTGTGGGGCTTAGTATTTTTAAACTTGGTATTTTTTAGTGACTAACTCACATCAGGCAGCACATAATATGGACTTGTACTTAACCACATTTTGTGAAAAATCAATCTGAGGTCATTTATTATAGCCATTTTAAATTACTATTTAAAAATAGAACCATATATAGGTTTATAAATGTATTTTTCATTTTAAACCAGTAAAAAATAGGGCAATGGGTCTCTTTATCTGTCACTACATTATAAGTAAGCAAAATACTTCTAATCCTAACGTTTCAGGTTATTATCTCAAACACATCAATCTAGTTATTGTGAGGAGAAAAACATGGCCCTTAACACACAAATGCACACACGCAGCTTGCGCTATATACACACTTTACACAGCATCTACTGCCTAGCATGTACTAAACATGAATGCACACTTTGCAAACACATACATGTACATGCATATGTTTTCACTTTTTGTTTTCAGTATGCAATAATGTCATGTCAAAATAAACTTGCTGAGTATGTCTGAAATAAATAGCAGAATTTTAAACTGTCCATGAAATTAATTTCCTAGAATATATTCCAGCCCTTTCAGCCTGTGTAGCATGGAATTTTCCAGTTAGTCCTTTTCATGAGCCAGGTAACAAGGTTGAATTGGTGCAAGCTAGGAGGGAGATAGGAAGCCAAAACAAGGGGCCCGGCTCGGCTTGGTCAGGAGGTGGGCGACTGGTAGCACCTTGAAGCAGATTGTGTGGTGGGGGAGCTGGAGTGGAGGGACAGCTGTGGAGGCTGCGGGTCAATCTGAGGCTAAAAATGAAAGTATGCAACAAGAAGACCAGGCTGAGGCTGCAGCTGGGGACAAGGCTGGCCAGTGGCCGTTGCTTGTGGACGGCGCTATTTGCCTTGGAGCCTTCTGAGGGCTTTCTGAAATGTCATTCTCAAGGGCAGGCCTTTGTCTGGCTTGAAGCTGTTGCTCCCTCAAAGGCAGTGGCTGATGCAATTTAGAGACTGATCAGCAAGGAGACTCTGCATATCTGGACTCAAGCGGAATTGCTCTTAGTTCCTCCTTCATTATTAATAATTTAAGAAATTAAGGTGTGTGCACATCTCCTCTTGCCACTCTTGCATACACAATTAGTTGCAGCAGAGCTCAGGGTCTTCTCCCATCATTGACACATCCTGGTACCTGTGGCTGTGTGCCAAACATCATGGATGGACTGTTTTATCTTTTTCTTCTACATGAATGGGTTCAAGGGTAAAAAAGAGGAATAGGACAGTGGAAACCCATGTCTAGCTGCTGCATACCTTAGTAGTTGGCAACTTGTTGCCGTGGCATTTTTGCTGAAGCATCTAAGATGAATTAAGGATGTTATAGATGTCACGGCACCTGGTCCTATAGAGCTGCAGCATTTACCTTTCCAAAATCAGGAAGCCTTCCAAGGTAAACACAATGCCACTATCACACTGATATGGTTTGCTTTGTGTCCCTACCCAAATGTCATCTTGAATTGTAGTTCCCATAATCCTCCCATGTCATGGGAGGGACCTGGTGGGAGGTAATCGAATCACGGTGGTGGATACCCTCATGCTGTTCTCATGATAGTGAATGAGTTCTCATGAGGTCTGATGGTTTTATAAGGGGCTTTTCCCCCTTCGCTCTGTACTTCTCCTTGCTGCTGCCGTGTGAAGAAGGATGTGTTTGCTTCCCCTTCCATCATGATTGTAAGTTTCCTGAGGCCTCCCAGCCATGCTGAACCGTGAGTCAATTAGACATCTTTCCTTCACAAATTGCCCAGTCTTGCATGTCTTTATTAGCAGCATGAGAATGGACTAATACATACATCAAACAAAATTCCCAATTGCCATCCCATACTCAGTCTATATTCACATTTTGCCCATTGCACCCTGGGGTTGATTGATCATTCATTTTTGTTTCGATTCTGTGTCTGGTATTGTGACTTTGGACAAATTCACTGGGCCTCATTTTTTTCCTGTTACTTGCTAAATGGTGATAATAATGTTTGTGTTTCCTGTCTTAGAGGAATTTCGTGCAAATATGAAAAAACAGATATGGAATCCCTTTGGCAGACAGAAAGTACTATTCTAACTTCAGGGATTATTTTTATTTGAAGATGAGATTTCTTTTTTTTTATTATTATACTTTAAGTTTTAGGGTACATGTGCACAACGTGCAGGTTAGTTACATATGTATACATGTACCATGTTGGTGTGCTGCACCCATTAACTCGTCATTTAACATTAGGTATATCTCCAAATGCTATCCCTCCCCCCTCCCCACACCCCACGACCGGCCCCGGTGTGTGATGTTCCCCTTCCTGTGTCCATGTGTTCTCATTGTTCAATTCCCACCTATGAGTGAGAACATGCGGTGTTTGGTTTTTTGTCCTTGTGATAGTTTGCTGAGAATGATGGTTTCCAGCTTCATCCATGTCCCTACAAAGGACATGAACTCATCATTTTTCTTAGTGATAAAGAAAGTGGAACTTCTCACACTAGCTGTCACTGCAATGGAGATGATATATGTTGAAGAGCTGCCTGTGTGTTGGGGGACTCAGGTAGCCCACACATTGCTTCACAGAAAATGATCCCCCATGCTGGAGGGGCACAAAAATGGAAGCCAAGGAAAAAAACCACAGCTTCATGGATGTTGGCTCACAGCATGGTCTGATTCCTGTTACCCTGAACAAACCATCTGGGTCTGAAGGGTGGTGACAGAGCACCTCAACACTTTTGTTCAGGTTCATCCTTCTAGAGCTTCTCCAGTTTTGCTTCCATCAAGAGAAAGCCTCCAATCACACTAGCCCACAATGGTCTCCCCAACTTGAACACAAGTTCTTCACTTTAACTCAGAAATGTGACATTTACCATAAAAGTTTACCTTATGAAATCTGGCACACCTCAAATTCTGCATTTTTTAAATGTTCAGGGTGTCGTATCTCTGCAAATGAACTATCAGCCCCCAAAAGGCAAGAGGTAGTTCCATATGCACTTTTTATGTCCCAGAAAGTCTCCATGCTGATATGAGTATGTGCTAGTTACAGCTCATAAGTATTGCTCAGTAAGTGAGAAAGCCCTTCTTTTCATTTTTGAATAGTGAGCAAAGAATGGGAGAGGAACTCCAATCTCATAAGTAATTTTGATTAGTGTCATCCTTAAAAGAAAAACCTAAGGCTTTTTAATGACAAAATGTGGCATAAGGCACCTGGCTTCTGTCATCACCGTTCTTCTGGGAAATATTTTGCAATCTTTACTTCCTTGAAGAATTTGACCTCAGTTTAAAAATCAGAGGCATTAAGGACAGGAGACCAAAGTCTCTGTGGAACCCTCCCACTGGCAGAGTTTCAGAGGAAGAGCAGCCCGGCCAGGTAGAAATGCAAGATTCAGGATAAGACCAAGGTCTTTTAATGATTAGCTCGGCCCAACAGCACACTTAAATGGAAAACCAAGACAGTCTCTAAGCTGTGGCCAATCTTTTCCCTGTTTTGCAACACCTCTTCCTGTTATTTTATCCTGTGTCACTCACCATCTGTCATCATTAACATTTACTGAGCACTAAGTGGGAGAGACAGCCGCACATTTGTGTGTGGGGACTGAGTGCTTGGATTGGGTTTGAGTATTGTCCACAGCTTTCTAACTGCCCAGCAATCTTAAGGCTCCATTTCCTCAAATGGGAAATGGGGATAACAATAGGGCCCCTCTCGTAGCTTGTTGAGATCATTAAATGAGATAATGTGGGTGAAATGTTTAGTATAGTGCCTGGCACATAGTAGATGCCCAGCGAACATGAGCTGTTTTCATTATTTGAAAATGAAAAGAAGAGTTTTCTTACTTACTGAGTACATGTGTGGCACTGGATTGTAGCCTGAAAGGGGCTATGCCAAGCATGGCTGAGCTAATTACAAAGTAGAGGGGAGCCAAATGGACTCAGGAAGGTGGACTATTCATGGAGGATGAGGGGGAAGGTGGAGACCTGAGTTTCAATCCTGGGACCGCCGATTATCCCTGGTCCCTATTTCCTCACTCTCAATGTAAAGGAGCAGATCTGAGGAGTGGTTCCCAAATGTCTTCTTTGCAACATTAGCCTGTAAGATGTTTCGTGGAAAAAGAGTCTCATGATCAGATAGACTTGGGAAACGCCAAACATTTTATCTTCCTCTTGGAGAATCACAATGTCTTTAAATGTCCTGAAATAGAGAAACCTGTATAATTTGGTTAAGCTCAGAATTTTTCAAAATTATTTGCTTGTTGATCCCTGACCTCTCTTGAGTGAGTGAGTGAGTGAGTGAGTGAGTGAGTGACTATGGTATCCTTTGACATTTGTGGAGTCTAGTGTCTCATGACGCTTACTTTCAAAATTGTTGGACGGAATGATCTGTAAAGTCCCTTTAAGAAGTCTATTTTTAGCATAATCCAAGGTTAATGATAATGATTCTAGCTTATCTCCCTCATAATTCTTTTTCTTTTCTTTTCTTTTTTTTTTTTTTGAGATGGAGTCTCACTCTGTCACCCAGGCTAGAGTGCAGTGGTGCAATCTCGGCTCACTGCAACCTCCACCTCCCAGGTTCAAGCAATTCTCCTGCTTCAGCCTCCTGAGTAGCTGGGATTACAGATGCCCGCCACCACACCTGGCTAATTTTTGTATTTTTAGTAGAGAAGGGGTTTCTCCATGTTGGTCAGGCTGGTCTTGAACTCCCGACCTCAGGTGATCCGCCCGCCTCAGCCTCCCAAAGTGCTGGGATTGTGTCCTGTTTTAGACGTCAATGTGTACTTGGGCCCCTGTAAGTGCCTGGCCCAGGGTAGGCACTTAACTTAAAACCAAAATTGGAATTAAAGTTTGTTGTGAAGATCTAAAATCTAAACTTCTTGTATGGCCTCCGAAATTATGCTACTATATCATCTTCAAACATCGTGTGGGTGGCTGGATTGGGGAATCTTTTTTTTTTTGAGACAGAGTTTTGCTCTTGTTGCCCAGGCTGGAGTGCAATGGTGTGATCTCAGCTCACTGCAACCTCTGCCTCCGGGGTTCAAGCGATTCTTCTGCCTCAGCCTCCCGAGTAGCTGGGATTACAGTCATGTTCTACCATACCAGCTAATTTTGTATTTTTAGTAGAGATGGGGTTTCACCATGTTGGTCAGGCTGGTCTCGAACTCCTGACCTCAGGTGATCCACCTGCCTCGGCCTCCCAAAGTGCTGGGATTACAGGCGTGAGCCACCATGCCCAGCCTCATAATTCTTTTTCTGATTTTCTTATACACTGAGTATCCTTCCTAGTACTTATGTCTTCCCCATAACTTCAAGGTAAGCTGCATTTCCATTTTATTTTTATTTTTTTACCTTTCTTATGGTGCTGACAAGAAAGTTCCTAGAAAGTTAAGTTATACCATCTTTCAATCTCTTGTTTAGATTTTGCAAAAGTATATGTAATATTAGGGCTTCTAAAAAATAGAATTATAAAGCTATTCTGAAACATAAATGGAATTATTAATATTCTATGGAGATGAAATTGGGACACAAAATTAGCATCAGCAAACAGCCTGTGAATTGAAAATCCACTTGTGTGGCCTGCCACATGGCAATTGAGAGCAACAGCGGGTAATTAGAATAATACTTACTTTGTTCTTAGGAGTCAGAATTTCGAGGGGAAAAGAGCAATGGATCTAGTTATTAATAAAGGAAGTTATTAATAACTAGACCCTTTATTAATAAAGAAATTAATAAAGGAAGTTATTAATAACTAGACCTTTTATTAATAAAGAAATTAATAAAGGAAACTATTAAAACTTCCTTTAGCTGGAAACACAGTTTTTAATGTAAAGGTTTAACTAGTAAACTAGTGTAATCATCTTTAAAAACTCATGGATTACCACAACATATTGGAGATTTAAATTACTCTAATTTTTACAAAAAGCCAAGAGGAGAAGCTGCCAGGTCCTAAGGAGCTGACGGCGGAGTCCAGTCCCAGCACACGAGCCCGACGTCAGCCTTGTTGAACCAAACACAGGGAGTGCTCCAGCCCCTACATCTGCTGGAGCCGAGGGGTGACCAACCAGGAACCTGATTTTTTTTCTTCCTTAGTTGTAAAACTTTGTCAGAAGTATGAACTCTGCTGTTATTTTTGTGATAGGAAACACTAGCCAGTGAGCAAAGTCCTGTCTTTCTCGTGTTACCGAGAATCTTGCAGTTTGCCTGGGTCATGATTCTGGAAGCAAATTTCATTTTGTCTGTGAGTTCGCCCAAACCAAGTATGCTTGGGGTGGGCTGGCCAATGGGGATAGAGTCCTCCCTTGGGCACTAAGGAAATAAATGGGACAAACCTCGAAGCCTCAGTTTGCCTGAATAGAAGGTGGGGAGAATAAAAACTCCAGGGCTCCATGAGATGGGCACAGGCAGCTCGCAGCTCGAGATGTGGCAAACGTACTTGGTAAATGCTAATTATCATGATGATGATGATTAACTCGGATAGAAAGAAAAACAAAAATGCAATAGGTAACACACTTTGCTGAGCAGAGGCTAACCTCTTTCTAATAAAAATGGAGGCCCCCCAAATTATGTTTAGTTGAAATACTTGCTTATTTGAATTCTACATTCTCTATAAGGAGAACTCAGTGGTATCCCAGCCCTAATAAAGATGAAAAGAACATTATATGTTAGCCAAGAAATATGAACCAAGGAGCATCTGCTAAAGAATATGTTTTTTTGGAGACAGGGTCTTGCTCTGTTGCCCAGGCTGGTGTGCAGTGGTGTGATCATGGCTCACTGCATCCTCAACCTTCTGGGCTCAAGTGATCCTCTGACCTCAGCCTCCCAAGTAGCTGGGACCACAGATGCCTGCCACTATGCACAGCAATTTTCATATATATATATTTTTTTGTAGAGGCAGGGTTTTGCCATGTTGCCCAGGCTGATCTCAAACTCCTGGGCTCAAGCGATCCTCCTGTCTCGGCCTCCCAAAGTGTTGGGGTTACAGGCGTGTGCCACCGCGCTCTGCCAGAACACAGAATATCTCCATGTAAGTTCTTCCTGTAGAGGTGAGTTGCGGAGAATCGAGCAGAGAGAATCCCCGGTCGCCTGTTTGGGCTTGGGAGTGTGACCCGGTAGACACCTTCCACCAAGGGAGGTTGCCCTGTGTTCCCGATGGAGTGTGGTCAGCACAGTACACGTTGTCACTGTCATTGCTGACGGCGTCGTGAAGTGCATGTGGCCTGCTCTCTGTTCCTTAACACTACCCTCACCTGTTCCCACTCTTGGAGATTTTTCCTTCTGGGTTGGCTGCCCGGTGACCACTGGCTCCCTCACTTCCCGCCTTTTATTTCAGAAACGAGGTCACTGGCTCGGTCTTCTTCAAGGGATTCTGCCACTCACACTGCAAGGACACAGACAGCGGGATCAGGCAGGAAATACATTTGTGGGAAGCCACTCTGATTAAAGAAATCGCACAACTTCCGGCGGGAGGCTCCTGGGTTGAGTTCCGCCTTCCGCCTTCCGCCTTCCGCCTTCCGTCTCGAGCCTGTGTTTCCTGCCGTCTCTCCTGCTCCAGCTTTCAGGAGGAGGCTGGAGCTTCTTGTCTTCTCTCCCATCATTTTCACATCTTTCTCATTTTCCTCTGCTCTCCATCCAATTTGCTCGAGTTAATTAAGCTTCAAGTCTATGCTGAGTACAGTGCCTGGTGCTATCCGAGGATATTATGATTCTTATGACTATTTATGATTTAGCCTGAGCAGGACAAATATAAATGAACTAATTAATAGGAAGTACACGGCACTATAGAATCAAGTCCTAGAAACTGCACGGCATTTATCGCCTCTAAAACTGGATAGGGAAAAAGTGGTGAGCATTTTCTGGTCATAGAAAAAATAAAAACGCTTACATTCAGCTTTATTCATTTTGGCACTGGAATGTGTATTTGCGGGGGTCCGGGTTACAGTTATAAATTGGACATTCTGCCTTCTGGCGGAGAGGACACAAATCCTGGAGACATCTGTCAAGGTCTTGCAGGACCTGTGCCCCTGGATCAGCGGGGCCGCCTCATTTGCAAAGTTCCATGTCTACCTGGTCCTCAGACGCAAGTCGTGATGCCAAGAAATGCTGATGGCGTGTCAGGGCCCGCCTGCCCACAGCCTGCTTCCGTAGCACCAGGCATTATTTCTGCTCTTAGGCCACCCATGGGTCCCCCTCCCACCAAGGAGGGCCCAAAAATGCAGATGTCATAGCTCGTGGCACACGCACTGTGCAACACAAGGCGTCATTAAAAGCTCGGCATCCCGTGATGCTGCCTGCTGTGCTTACGGCTCGCTCTGTGTCTGTTTGAAGATGGCGTCGTCATTGAAAGGGCCCTCACCAGTCGCCCGTCACAGGAATCCCCTTTCCCCTCCTAGAATAAGCCTTTCATTTGCTGCATTATTTCTGTGATTGTTTCTTTGCACAGTCATCTTTCAGGAGACCACTGCTCAGGGTGATGTCTCATGGGTCTGGCACAGAAGAGACACTAAGAAATGTGGGTGAAAAGGATGCATCCAGTACTTCACCAACCCAGAGAGGTCGCCTGACGGTCAAATGAGATAATATGTTTGAAGGGATTTGAAATTTTAAAGATACATGTAAATAACTAACATTTATCGAGCACTTACCATATGCCATATATTGTTCCAAGCACGCTACAATATTAATCGTTTAAATTTTATTAATACAATTACCACCTGTTTCATGAGGAAGCACTTTGAAAATAAAAAGCAAACTGATGGCAAGGTGTCATTTTCACGTCTTAGAAATTCTAACTTTCTGCAAATATAATTGTAGAAAAGCAGTCATTGTTACTCAAACTCTACCAGGATTTAATACATTCTTGGGAGATTTGATGCAATTTTCTTCAATCAATATTTTGCATATTTACTAATTTCCCACAATGTAGTTTCTTGACCTTTATAGCAATTACTACTCCTGGAAAGATTTTTATTTGAAAGTCTTTTCTAAAGTAATGAATTTGTTTGTGGACTCTCCTCATCTTTATTTCTAGAGATAAAAAAATACTTTAAAAAATCTTTATGGTTGTTGGTTTCTTTGAAAGTTAGTGCTGCCGAAAGGATAAGGCATGTTTGATATTACATCAAGAAGGCACGAACTTAACAACTTTAGGTGCGTGGTAAATAGACATCCCATGAGGGACCCATAGGCTTTATTTGAGTTTCTGTCTCTATTTCTTGATAAGCTGTCTTGAATGGATACAATAATTAACAACACAGAATGCAGTTCTACTTCCTAACATAATGATTTACTGTTGTCAAGATACTTTACAAGGTCACAGAATTACTTTTATATATAGCCCTAGGATCAGGCAGATAATAAACACTCTTGATGTATTTCTACTATTAGATTGACATTTTTGTCTCTAGGGTGGGAAAAATGAGTTTGTCTAAAGATAGGATTGCATTAACCTTCATATCTTTGCATTTTCCTCCTGTTTGATAACCTATTTGATATTTAGTAGCTTTGTGTCTGACATCTGGTTTTTCGTCAGTCACATGATTTGGCCAATAATCAAAGAAAACTCTGCTATGATTTTTTTTTTTTTTAAGGTGAAGAAATGAAGATTTTGGTTTTGAACATAAGGTCAAAAAATGTCAAGTACAGATCATTAAATTAAAAGTAATGAAATCAATAGCATTAGGAGGCTAAAAATACTTCTACTCAATATGGAAAGCAAAGAGGCCCGCGAAGGCATCAGATTAAAAAAAAGTTAGTATAATGGAACACATTTCGAATAATTCAAAGCACAAATGAGATGGGGAAGGAGAAAAAAGGGGTAAAGCTTGCATTTACGATGGAAATCTAATAAGATAAATTTGTAGAAACATCCTTTTCTTTGTGACAACACTAGGAAATTTATCAGTGGACATTATTAATGTAAATAGCAAATGCATTGACACTTTTCCCCACATTGTTGGCATTAGGATACTTAAGTGCTCTCTTCCCCCAAACTGTGTGATTTATGTCGGAGCTCATCTTTGCAGGCCACACCGGAGGCACCCTTATCCTCCTGTCTCATCCCTTTATGTTTTCTATAGATCCAGAGAGAATTGTCACACACACACATTTTGTTTTGGAAAATCAGCCCCTCCTGCCACTCCCCTTCCCCTTCTTCAGCACCGGGGCTTGAAGGTTAGGAGGGGCCTATGGGCCTAGACTAAAGTGTAACCATACTCTAAGTCTTCCTTGCCTTATCTGTAAATTGGGAATGTTATTCCATGATTGTCCCTTGAAGTGGTGTATGGAATGGGCTTACATAGTTCACTGACATGAACTAAGTGATCAATAGTGCTTAATTGTGATGTGTTTGTTGTTTTGTTCTTTTCTCATCATACTCTTTGCTGCGTAAGTCCTTCCTACAATGTTCTCCTAGTCCTTACCACATTGTCCTTTTAGGACCTTACTGTTGCATCCTCCTAGGTCCTTGCTATGACGTCCTCCTAGGTCCTTTCTATGACATCCTCCTAGGTCCTTGCTATGACGTCCTCCTAGGTCCTTGCTATGACGTCCTCCCAGGTCTTTGCTATGACATCCTCTTAGGTCCTTTCTATGACATCCTCCTTGGTCCTTTCTTTGACATCCTCCTAGGTCCTTGCTATGACGTCCTCCTAGGTCCTTGCTATGACGTCCTCCCAGGTCTTTGCTATGACATCCTCTTAGGTCCTTTCTATGACATCCTCCTTGGTCCTTTGACATCCTCCTAGGTCCTTGCTATGACGTCCTCCCAGGTCTTTGCTATGACATCCTCCTAGGTCCTTTCTATGATGTCCTCCTAGGTCCTTTCTTTGACATCCTCCTAGGTCCTTGCTGTGACATCCTCAAGGTCCTTGCTATGATGTCCTCCTAGGTCCTTGCTATGACATCCTCCTAGGTCCTTTCTATGATATCCTCCTAGGTCCTTTCTATGACATCCTCCTAGGTCCTTGCTATGACATCCTCCTAGGTCCTTGCTATGACATCCTCAAGGTCCTTGCTATGATGTCCTCCTAGGTCCTTGATATGACGTCCTCCTAGGTCCTTGCTATGACGTCCTCCTAGGTCCTTGCTATGACATCCTCCTAGGTCCTTGCTATGATGTCCTCCTGGGCTTACTGTGATGTCCTTGTAGGCCCTTACTATGTTTTCTTCCAAGGTCTCAAGTGTGATGTCCCCCAGGGCCTCACTGTGATATTTTTCTGGTCCTTACTGTGCTGTTCTCCTGGTTCTTCCTGTGACATCCTCCTTGGTTTTGTTCTCTGAAGCATTTCTGAGTTTCTTCCTCATTAAGCATCATCTCTCTGGAGCACTCCATGTCTTTCTTACTGGCTCTTTAATTTCTCTGACCACTTAAGTGCAGCATTTCCCAAACCATGCTTCACAGAGGGGAGTGATCTGTGAGAGGCTAACAGGTGTTTTGGGAAAGTAACTATGCAAGTGAGATGATTAAAAAATATTTGTAAGAAAAATATTAGACATATTTATGTTCTTCTGCTTATTACTTAGCAATCTGTTTTTCAGTAACGGGCCAAAAGCAAACAGGAAAACAAGCAGAGAAAGAGAAACAAAGGGAACCTCATACATAAAAAGCCAGGAACCTGACGAGCAATTAGCTTTGCATTTACCAACCATCTGTCTTCTCAAAGAACATTTATGTTGGGGAGATTTGACACCTCCCTTGATCTCCACTGGCCACCGTCATCCCTGCACAAGGACGGTGAATGCCTGCCATGTAGGCAAAACAGAGGGTCTACCATGCACATCCGAAAAACAGCGGGCCTACCACGCCCATCCGAATCCTAACTCATTGCCTTCGTCTCCTCTTGCAAATGGATGGCTGCCGCTCAGCCCCTCTATGTAGAAACTCTGTAGCCCAGATTTAATCTGTTCTGGTTTTCTCTTGTTGTGTCATAACCCCAACACCAGTGGCATCAAACGACAAACCTATCATGCTCACGGTGCTGTGAGCCAGGCATCCAGGCGTCCAGGCGTCCAGGTGTCCAGGCAGGTGCAGCAGGGCTGGTTGGTGTCTGCCCTGTGGTTGCTGGGGCGGCTCAAGTAGCCGGATGGGTCAGGGGTGGCTTCACTGGGGTCACTTGTGGAGCCTCGCTCATGCCTGTTGGCTCTTGGTTCCTCTTGAGTTGCAGCTTCGGGTGCTGGAACGTCTTAGAAGCTTTGTCAGTTGCTTCTCTGTCCTCTAGGGTGGGGTGGCTGGAAGAGTTGGGGCTGGCCAGGGACTTCGCTCCCTCCAGACAGCCTGTCCACTTGGCTGGCAGGGGCTTCTCCTCACATGGTGGTTTCTGGGTGGCCAAGGGCCTCACATGGTGTCTGGCCTCCCTTAGAGCAAGGATTCTGTGAGAAGGAGGTGGACGCTGCCGTCATGCTAATGCCTGGGCCCAGACCTGGGCCATCACTTCTGTCTCCTCATGTCGGCCCAGCAGTCACAGGCCCTGCCCATACTCCAGAGGTGGGGATGGAGCACGTGCGGGTAGATGAGGTGTGGGTCAGAGAGGTTGTGGCCATTTCAAATATGCACAGAGGCTTTTATCTTTCTCATCATCTTAGTGTATATTTTTGATATTGTTCGGTGTCATTGTGTATTGAAAGTTAATTAAATTTTGTTAATTTACTCAACTACAACAAGTATTTCATCTGAAGTTCATTTTTCCTGGTCATTTTAATCCAAGAGCTCATTATGGCTCTGAAGT